>NC_000009.12:129789641-130103459 GCF_000001405.40 Homo sapiens
AGGATTGCCTGAGCCTGGGATCTTGAGCCATCACTGCACTCCAGCCTGGGTGATAGAGTGAGATCCTGTATTTAAAAAAAAAAGATTTCATAGAAATAGGCCACACATGGTGGCATGCACGTGTAATCCCAGCTACTCTGGAGGCTGAGGCAGGAGGATTGTGTGAAGCCAGGAGTTCAAGGCTGCAGTGAGCTATGATCACACCTGTGAATAGCCACTGCACTCCAATCTGGGCAACATGGTGAGACCCTGTCTCAAAAAACAAAACGACGAAACAAAAAGGTTGCATAGAAATAAACTGTGTAATATTGATACACAAAATACCAAACAAGAAAAGGAGAATGCCAAATATCATGTACCCCTTGGAAGGCCCCCTGAAAGATAGAGGCACTAACATTTGGATGAGAACAGAATTTAATGTAAACTTTTGACTTTTTTTTTTGAGACAGGGTCTGGCTCTGCCTTCAGGCTGGAGTGCAGTGGCGTGATCACGGCTCACTGCAGCCTTGACCTCCAGGCTGAAGCAATCCTCCCACCTCAGCCTCCCGGGTAGTTGGGACTACAGGAACTCGCCACCACATCCGGCTAAATTTTGTAGTTTATAGTAGAGACGGGGTTTCGCCATGTTGCCCAGGCTGGTCTCAAACTCCTGGACTCGAGCAATCCACCCACCCTGGCCCCCCAACGTATTGGGATTACAGGTGTGAGCCACAGCGCCCAGTGGAACTGTTGACATGTTAAATAATCTAGACTTTTGAACTTTTTCTGTTAAGTTGTTGTTGTTTTTAGCCCATCTGGAGGTTGCAGATAAGCCCAGCTGCAGGTCCTCAAACCTGCAGCTCACCAGCACCCTCTAGTGCCTTCTTGGTGTGAGCACATGAAGTCTCCCAGCTGTGGGCAGTTTCCCGTCTATCAGCACAAGGACACCTCTCTTTAAAATCCTCAAGTCTGACGCTGGGTGGGAAATGGGTGTGGATCCGGGGCGCTGTCTCTGGTCCTGAAAGTCACAGTCAGCTGCGAAACCTAAGTCCAGAGCCCTCTCTGCAGCTGAATCACCCTTCCACACCTTTCCCAGGCCTTCTTTCCATTTATGATGGCCTCGACGAGTAAGCTGGTAGTTTTGAATGTTTTGGATTGACAATTTAAATGTCATAGGCAATGCTTCTGGACAGCAATGATAGAAAGAGTAAGGAGAGTGGCCAGGCGCAGTGGTTCATGCCTGTAATCCCAGCACTTTGGGAGGCCGAGGCGGGCGGATCACAAGGTCAAGAGATTGAGACCATCCTGGCCAACATGGTGAAATCCCGTCTCTACTAAAAATACAAAAATAAATTAGCCGGGCATGGTGGCGCATGCCTGTAATCCCAGCTACTTGGGAGGCCGAGGCAGGAGTATCGCTTGAATTCGGGAGGTGGAGGTTGCAGTGAGCTGAGATCACACCACTGCACCCCAGCCTGGCGAGAGAGCGAGACTCCATCTAAAGAAAAAAAAAAGAGAAAAAAGAAAGAAAGAAAGAAAGAGTAAGGAGAATGGGAACGAGTGTGAGATGAGTAATATGCTGGCCTTCTAGCAACACAGGACGACAGCCAGCACAGACTCGGACAATTTATGAAAACCAAATATACAGTCTTAAAATAGAATGTGGGCCTAAATACCTGGAATCACCCCCGTGGTAAGATTTGTAACAAAAAGATTAATATGAGACCAGGCACAATGGCTCACATCTGCAATCCCAGCACTTTGGGAGGCCGAGGTGGGTGGATCACTTGAAGCCAGGAGTTCAAGACCAGCCTGGGCAACATGGTGAAACCCCGTCTCTACTAAAAATTAGCTGGGCATGATGGCGGGCGCCTGTAATCCCAGCTACTCGGAAGGCTAAAACATGAGAATCGCTTGAACTCAGGAGGCAGAGGTTGCAGTGAGCCAAGATTGCACCACTGCACTCCAGCCTGGACAACAGAGCAAGACTCTGTCTCAAAAAAAAGAATTAATGTGAACGGAGTTAATAATTTGAATGGAGCAGTGGACCCAAGAGCCATATTGGTGCTGACAAAATGGCAGCATTTATTGTATAAAGCTTCAACGTGGTCCTGCAAGAGCTCTGGCACCTAATGACATCTAGAGAAAATGTGAAAGTCCCTCAGCTGCCTGAAGGACAGTGTTATGGCAACTAATCCAAAAGAAGAGCTACAGGTCCTTCTTGCCTTTTTGACTTAAGCAGTCTTCATTGTTCACAGCAGTAAATTTTCTTTTTGGTTGTTGTTGTTTTGTTTTGTTTTTTTTTTTAAGATGGAGCCTCCCTCTGTTGCCCAGACTGGAGTGCAGTGGTGCGATCTCGGGTCACTGCAACCTCCACCTCCTGGGGTTCACGCCATTCTCCTGCCTCAGCCTCTTGAGTAGCTGGGACTACAGTCACCTGCCACCACACCTGGCTAATTTTTGTATTTTCAGTAGAGATGGGGTTTCATCATGTTGGCCAGGCTGGTCCTGAACTCCTGACCTCAGGTGATCTGCCTGCCTCGGCCTCCCAAAGTGCTGGGATTATAGGCATCAGCCACCGTGCCTGGCCAATACCCACACTTTTAAGGGAACAAAATGTTATCCAAGTATTTACAGTAGCACTAACTGGGGGTGGGGAGACCCAGGCACAACGACCCCCAGCCCATGGCTCATTGATCCAAGGTCAACCAGCCCAGGTTGGGCCAATCAGGTCCTCTCTCTGCAAACTCAAAGTTGGACCCAAGCATGCAGGTATGGGAAGTGGCCAAGCCTGATCCACCTGTGGGCAATGTCCCAGCAAAAGGTCCCCCAACTCCTGCCCCTGAGTCCTAGACAACACCCCGGGGACCCTGCTCTTCCTGAGATGTGGTCAGTCATTTCTCACATTTTTGTGAGTCACCCTGACCTCCTCTAACAAACCCTAAAAAAGCCCAAATCACGGTCAGCGTCTGTTGTTTGGAAACAAAGAACTTCAACTGATGGAGCAATTGGCTACTTAAGAGAGTGGGAGATGGGCAGCAGGTGCTTAGCGAATTGTGGGGACTGGGAAGCGATTACTGAGCCCACATGGGGAAAAATGCAGAGAGGCACCCCCCTTCCCACCATCCATCTTCCAGGAGAGGGGAGTACCAGTGCCCACAGTGACAAAGCAGCTAAGCCAATTTCACCTGGACCTCCCTGAGGACCACCTACCTCCAAGAGGTCAGCTCCAGCACCCTGGGAAGTCACTGCCTCAGGCCAATCAATGGAGGGGTGACAGAGGCCAAGATCCCACCACCACCAGCACCAGGGCAGAGCAGTGGCTCTTCATGAAAGTGGGACCCTGAAATCTATTGAAAGATACCTTTGCTGGGCATGGTGGCTCACGGCTGTAATCCCAACGCTTAGAGGCCGAGGCGGGAGGATTGCTTGAGCCCAGGAGTTTGAGACCAGCCTGGGCAACACAATGAGAACCCATCTCTACAAAAAATAAAAAATTAGCTGGGCACAGTGGCACACGCCTGTAGTCCAAGCTACTCAGGAGGCTGAGGTGGGAGGATCACTTTTGCCTCAGAGGTTGAAGCTGCAGTGAGCGGTGATCACACCACTGCACTCTAGCCTGGGTGACAGGGTGAGACCCTATCTCTAAACAAACAAACAAACAAACATATCAGTGCTATTTTGGCAAGCTGTAATCAATGGAATGCTGACTCAATTCGGAATTTTAACATTCAGAGGCTCATGGTCATAGGAACTTAAAAAAATTTTTTTTGAATTTTAATTGTGCTAAAAAACACATCATATAAAGTTTACCATCTTCACCATTTTTCAGGGTACAACTCAGTGGCATTAAGCATATGCACCTGTTGGACATCCAATCATCTCCAGAACTTTTCCTCTTCCCAAACTGAAGCTCTTGTCTCCATTAAACACTAACTCCACAGCCCCCCTTCCCCAGCCTCTGGAAACCACCTTTCTACTTTCTGTCTGTATGATTTTGACTTCTCTAAGGACCTCATAGAAGTGGAATCTTACAGTGTTTGTCTTCTTGTGATGGCTGATTCTACCTAGTATGATGATCATAGAAACTTTTGATACACTTTAAAATTTCACTATATAGGCCGGGCGCGGTGGCTGACGCCTGTAATCCCAGCACTTTGGGAGGCCGAGGCAGGCGGACCACCTGAGGTCTGGAGTTCGAGACTAGCCTGACCAACATGGAGAAACCCCATCTCTACTAAAAATACAAAATTAGCCGGGGGGATGGCGCATGCCTGTAATACCAGCTACTCCGGAGGCTGAGGCAGGAGAATGGCTTGAATCCAGGAGGCGGAGGTTGCTGTGAGCCGAGATCGCGCCATTGCACTCTAGCTTGGGCAACAAGAGTGAAACTCCATCTCAAAAAAAAAAAAAACAATTCACTATACAGCCAGGCGCAGTGGCTCATGCCTGTAATCCCAGCATGTTGGGAGGCCGAGGCGGGTGGATCACCTGAGCTCAGGAGTTTGAAACCAGCCTGACCAACATGGTGAAACCCCATCTCTACTAAACAAAAATCAGCTGGGTGTGGCAGCGGGTACCTATAATCCCAGCTACTCGGGAGGCTGAGGCAGAAGAATCGCTTGAACCCAGGAGGCGGAGGTTGCAATGAGCCAAGATCATGCCATTGCACTCCAGCCTGGGCAACAAGAACAAAACTCCATGTCAAAAAAAAGAAAAAAGACACCAAACATGTGAGGTGGGCAGGAAACATGGATGGAAAACCCCCACTGTGCTTTCCTGTACCTGGGGTGGTGGAACTGCTGAGGGGTCCCTAGAGGCAGAGATGTCCAAGGCACGACTCCTGACATGTAACGGGGCTAGAGTTGCCGCCCGAGAAAAGGTCCCCCAAGCCCATCAGATTGAGCCTGCTTGGAGGCAGCCTCCCTAACCTCTGCAGAATAGCCCCCCTGGGGGTGCTAGCTTTTGAGTTTTTGAAGCAAAGTACCTAGAAGGACTTAGCTGAGATCACAAAAGAAATTGAGTTCACTGCCATAGGGCCCCCAGCACTTGCTTATGATGACATAGGAGCCGCACTAAACCCGCTGCACTGGAAGGGATGAGAAGCCTGAGGCTCAGAGAAGGTGGGTGACTTGCCCTGGGTCACACAGGAAACATGACAGCCAGAATGTAAACTCAGGCGGGTCTGCTTCCGGAGGCAGCATTTTGGAAAATTCTTTGTCCGACAGAAAGGGAGTGTGTTTTTCACAAATATTTGACATACGCCTTGGACATAGTACCGCACTAAGCACTACAGGTGAACAGAACAAATCCTGCCTTCGAGGTTACCGTACATTCAAGCAAACAGGGAAACGAGTCCCATTAGAGTATGAGAAACAGGACAGGCAGGGATGGGATGGGGAGGAGCAGGAGGACACCTGGGGAAGGTGGCAGGTCAGGGGAAGAGGCTGGGCCTGGAGCAGTCACCTGGCCTGGGGCTTGTCTTAGCTTCTCCCAGTAGTTCCCTCACCTGCAAATGAAACATTTGTTTCACAAGGTGTCATGAAGACACCTGGCTCAATCTTAGATGCTCAATTAAGGTAAACTCCTTTCATTTCCAAGGGGAAGGAGAGGAGCAGGGAAGAGGTTTCCTGAGACCTGTGGTGGATTAGAGATGCCCAGAGGGTCCCCAAAGGGGATGTCCTGGCCCTTGTGTGGTCAGTCCTTCATGGTGGGGACAGGCCCTTACTCTGCAGGGCCTTAGGCATCCCTGGCCCGCAGATCAGTCTGTCCTCTTGGAGAGTGTTCTATCCTTGAACACCAAGCACATATTTATGGAGCACCTACTGTGTCCTGGTCAGAGTTCTGGGAATTAGAGACACAGAGGACAAAAGACAAGGTCCCTGCCCTCCTGAAGCTCTCGTGGCAGTGGGAGAGGAGGGCAATAAACAAGGACTCAGATGGGGTGATAGGAGAGAGAGCAGGTGCCTGGGGGGTAGGAGTAAGTCTACTGTCGACGGGGGAGGTGGGCTTGGAGCTGAGGGTTAGAAGCTGTTAGCTGTGTGGGGCTTGGAGGCAAGAGTCCAGGCTGAGAACACGTTATATGTGAAAACTCCGAGGCAGGAGAGAGAAGGGGCGGGGGGCCTGAGAACGAGGGAGCCTGTGGGATGAGAACGAGGGAGGCTGTGGGATGAGAACGAGGGAGGCTATGGGATGAGAAAGGCTCTCTGAGAGGAAAGTGTGCACATCACTGGGGCTGGGAGGTCAGAGGAAGGAGGGCACCTTTCTTCCCAAGGGTTTTGGGAAGCCATCGACAGGTACCAAGCAAGAATAGCAGGACCCAGTTCCTTGTAAAAAGACCACCTGTCCCTGTTGTAGGGAGAATGACTCAGAGAGGATGGGGTGAAGATGTTTGCACTTACCGTGACAGACACCCCGGTGGGAAGGACTTTTTTTTTTTTGAGACAGAGTCTCACTCTGTTGCCCAGGCTGGAGTGCAGCAGCACAATCACAGCTCACTGCAAACTCCTGGGCTCAGGTGATCCTCCCACCTCAGCCTCCTGAGTAGCTGGGACCACAGGTGCAAGCTACCATGCCTGACTAATTTTTGTATTTTTTGTAGAGATGGGGTCTCGCTATGTTGCCCAGGCTGGTCTCAAACTCCTGAGCTCAAGTGTTCCTGGGAGGGACATGTTTGGGGAAAGTGACCAAGGCTCCCATTTCAACTGTGCAGCTACTGGGCTGTCTAGGGAATAGCCAGAGGTGTCCTGGGTGTGGCCAGGTATGGGTCCTGGAGAAAGTTGGGGGCCTCTCACCCAGGGAGAGAGGGGAGAGAAAGAAGATCTGGAACTGAGCCTAGGAGCCTCTCAGGATTTTAAGTGGGGAGACGGGGAAGCAGCAGCAACCTAGGAGGCTGGTGGCAGGGAGGGAGGATACCATTTAGCCAGGATGCAGGCTCCAGATCAGTTCCAAAGTCCCTCCCTGGCAGCTGCTGATTCAGAAGGGGGTTTCTAGCACCTGCAAGAAAAAGCATGACGCGGACGGGAGGATGGAGGGGGAAGGGGCTGCCAGGCAGAGCATGATTTGGGCAGAGGTTGTCACACATTTTTGCTCACACATCAGATTAACATTGAAAATTTTCATTGTGAGTTTATTTATTTATTTATTGAGATGGAGTCTCACCCTGTTGCCCAGGCTGGAGTGCAGTGACGCAATCTTGGCTCACTGCAACCTCCACCTGCCAGATTCAAGAGATTCTCCTGTCTCAGCCTCCCGAGTAGCTGGGATTACAGGTGCACATGCCACCATGTCTGGCTAATTTTTGTATTTTTAGTGGAGATGGGGTTTCACCATGCTGGCCAGGCTGGTCTGGAATTCCTGACCTCAGGTGATCTGTCCCCCTCGGCCTCCCAAAGTGCTGGGATTACAGGCGTGAGTCACCTCGCCCTGCCCATTGTGAGTTTAAATGGTCACAAAAGACATAATTTTTGCACTTTAAGATAACACTGTAGGGCCGGGCGCGGTGGCTCACACCTGTAATCCCAGCACTTTGGGAGGCCGAGGCGGGCGGATCACGAGGTCAGGAGATCGAGACCATCCTGGCTAACACGGTGAAACCCCGTCTCTACTAAAAATCCAAAAAAAAAAAAAAAAAATTAGCTGGGTGTGGTGGCGGGCGCCTGTAGTCCCAGCTACTTGGGAGGCTGAGGCAGGAGAATGGCGTGAACCCGGGAGGCGGAGCTTGCAGTGAGCCGAGACCTCGCCACTGCACTCCAGCCTGGGTGACAGAGCGAGACTCCATCTCAAAAAAAAAAAAAAAAAAAAAAAGATAACACTGTTGCATTGCTTGTCTAATTACTCGGTGGAATCTAGATGCCACAGCAATGTAACCTCCCATCCATGTATCAAACACATGAACAAGTCAGACACTTATGATCTTTTTTGTACTAGAACCCGTATTTCCATTCCACTCTCTCATCAAATGTCATGTTAATGAAATTTTTTTCTTCCCCTTTTTTTTTTTTTTGCCTAACAGTCTTATTGATCATGCTATCTTATTTCTCTGCAACAAAAATATGTATATACTACAAATGAAAACTTAACATAGGCCCGGTGCGGCCTAAAACTATAAAACCTAATATAGTTTTTTTTTTTTTTTCTGGTGACCACAAAACCCTAGGTATTAAATATTTCTTTTGGATTATTTTTAGTATACAATTGCTCAAAATAACATAAATAGGTTACAAACTTTTTTTTTTTTTTGAGAAGGAGTCTCACACTGTGGCCCAGGCTGGAGTGCAGTGGCACGATCTGGGCTCACTGCAACTTCCGCCTCCCGGGTTCAAGGGATTCTCCTGCGTCAGCCTCCTGAGTAGCTGGGATTACAGGTGTGCACCCCTATGCCTGGCTAATTTTTGTATTTTTAGTAGAGACGGGATTTTGCCATGTTGGCCAGGCTGGTCTCAGACTCCTGATCTCAAGTGATCCGCCTGCCGAGGCCTTCCAAAGTGCTAGGATTACAGGCATGAGCCACCACGCCTGGCCAAAATTTTTTTAAAAAGAAAAAACAATTAAAAAGAAATTTATTTCTCACAGTTCTGGAGGCTGGGGAGACCAAGATCAAGATGCCAGCAGATTTGGTGCCTGGTGAAGGTTGCCTTCTGCTTCCAAAATGGTGCCTTCTTGCTGTGTCCTCACGAGGCAGAAGTGGAAGGGTCGAGCTAGTTCCCTCAAGCCCTTTTTTTGAGACAGTCTTGCTCTGTTGCCCAGGCTGGAGTGCAGTGGCACGATCTCGGCTCACTGCAACCTCTACCTCTTAGGCTCAAGTGATTCTCTTGCCTTAGCCCCCCGAGTAGTTGGGATTACAGGCACCCGATACCACACCTGGCTATTTTTTGTATTTTTTAGTAGACAGGGTTTCACCATGTTAGCCAGGCTGGTCTTGAACTCCTGGCCTTAAATGATCCACCTGCCTCCCCAAATGCTGGGATGATTGGCGTGAGTGACTGTGCCCAGCCCCTCAAGCCTTTTTTTTTTTTTTTTTTGAGATGGAGTCTCACTCTGTCGCTCAGGCTGGAGTGTAGTGGCATGATCTGAGTTAACTGCAACCTCCGCCTCCCGGGTTCAAGCGATTCTCCTCCCTCAGCCTCCCGAGTAGCTGGGATTACAGGCACATGCCACCATGCCCGACTAATTTTTTGTATTTTTAGTAGAGATGGGGTTTCACCGTGTTAGCTAGGATGGTCTCGATCTCCTGACCTTGTGATCCGCCCGCCTCGGTCTCCCAAAGTGCTGGGATTACAGGCGTGAGCCACTGCGCCCATCCTCAAGCCCTTTTTATAAGGGTATGAATTCCATTAATGAGGGTAGAGCCCTCTTGGCCTAATCACCTCGAAAAAGGCTCCACCTCTTACGACCACCACAATGGAGACTAACCATGGCACCAATCCACTTGTGTCTTGCAGGACATCGTGTGTATTTTGCTTGATGAATATCAGTTACTGAGTTTTGTAATTCCAGATCTATCTAAACACCACTCATCAAATCCTGCCAGCACCCCGGTATAATCCTTAAAGACAACAAACATTTCCTTTGTGAGCTAAACTGTCTCTCCTGACTTGTGAACTTCACAGGATGGTTGAGAGGGTCAAAGGAGGTGATAGTCCCAGCAAATGGTTCCTGTTGAACTCTTACTCTATGCGGTGCTAAGTGCTCCACGTGCATCAGCTCACTGGTACCCCAGCAACTCCAAGAAGGGACTGTTGTGATCCCCACTTTACAGTTAGGGAAACTGAGTCCCAGAAAGGTGGCATCACATTTCCAGAGCCACTCAGCTAGGAAGAAAGGGAACAAACCAGGTTGTGATTTATAATCCCAACCTCCTCTTCTCCCTCCCAACTCCTGATGCTGCAAAGCCTCTGGAGACAGCAGAGCTGCCCCTTTGTCCCACGTGGCTGCGCCCTGATGAACACACCGGACTTGTCCAAGGCAGCCTCTTGGTCCTCAGGGTCAGCTGGAGAAGCATTTCAATTAGACAGACAGCATGGCCCTGGGTGCCAGGCTGCTTGTTAGACGGCCCTTGGAGAGATGCCGGGACAGCCTGACTCTTTCGGGCAGTGGTGGTGACATTCCTTGTGGTGGGACTTTCCTGCCTTAGGCCAGGCCTCTTCAGCCTGGGGTATGTGACCCTCTGAGGTAGGTGAAGACTTCCTAAGGGTGCATAAGAGTGGATCACTCTAAGGATCCTAATTCCAGAAACTCAACCTCTTTCTTCTTTCCTCCCTGGGTATGGCACCGGTGGCCCCAGCGGCCCCATGCTCCTTCTCATTTCCCCTTTCCCATTGGACTCTGGCTACTTGGAAAGGGGAAAAGTCACTTAGTAATTTCTTCCTATGGATATATGAAGTAAATGGAAAAAAAAAAGAGAACCCCAACCATCCTATTAAGAGATACATTTTCCATACACTTTTAGTTATTTAATTACTTATAAAAAGTTTGTGGGCTAAGAGTGGTGGTTCACATCTGTAATCCCAGCACTTTGGGAGGCCGAGGCAGGCGGATCACTTGAGGTCAGGAGTTCCAGACCAGCCTGGCCAACACGGTGAAACTGCATCTCTACTAAATCTCTACTAAAACTACAAAAAGTAGGCCGAGCGCGGTGGCTACACCTGTAATCCCAGCACTTTGGGAGGCCGAGGTGGGCAGATCACGAGGTCAAGAGTTCGAGACCAGCCTGGCCAACATGGTGAAACCCCGTCTCTACTAAAAACAGATGGGCATGGTAGTGCACACCTGTAATCCCAGCTACTGGGGAGGCTGAGGCAGGAGAATGGCTTGAACCCAGGAGGCAGAGGTTGCAGTGAGCGGAGATCATGCCACTGCACTCCAGCCTGGGTGACAAAGCGAGACTCCATCTCAAAAAAAAAAAAAAAAAAAAAATAGCTGGGCATCGTGATGCACACGTGTAATCCCAGCTACTCGGAGGCTGAGGCAGGAGAATTGCTTGAACCTAAGAGGCAGAGGCTGCAGTGAGCTGAGATCATGCCACTGCACTCTGCACTCCAGCCTGGGCAACAGAGTGAGCTGCTGTCTCAAAAAAAAAAAAAGTTTAAGCCACTTCCCACGGCCAACTTCTATTCTTTTTTTTTTTCTTCTTTTTTTTGAGACGGAGTCTTGCTCTGTCGCCCAGGCTGGAATGCAGTGGCGCAATCTTGGCTCACTGCAACCTCTGCCTCCTGGGTTCAAGCCATTTTCCTGTCTCAGCCTCCCGAGTACCTGGGATTACAGGCGCGCACCACCACACCTGGCTAATTTTTGTATTTTTTGTAGAGACGGGATTTCACCATGTTGGCCAGGCTGGTCTCGAACTCCTGACCTCAGGTGACCTGCCTGCCTCGGCCTCCCAAAGTCCTGGGATTACAGGCATGAGCCAGTGCACCTGGCCCTTCCATTCATTCTTTAGATCGCAACTGAGATAGGGAGGAGAAGATCCCTCCCCACCCACAGGCCTCTGTGCATCCTGCATTACAGCCTTGGCCCACCCTGGACATAAGCTGCCTGCTTGCTCATCTGTCTCCCTGACTAGTTACCTGGACCACGGCAACAGCCTCTTCACTGGCTCTCTGCCTTCCATTTCTTGTGAACCCAGCAGCCAGAATGATCTCTGATCTGACCATGTTGCTTCCTGTGTAAAACCCTCTGTGGCTCCCTATTACCCCCCAGAACAGAGGCCAAACTCCTTACAACATTCGCAAGGACTTCACCTTCCAGTCTCTGCCTGATTCTTCATCCCTATCTCTCACCACCTTCCGCCATGTGGAATCCTTTCAGTTCTCCAAACTGACTGTTGTTTTCTGCCTAAAACACTCTACTCATTTTTTGCCTGGCCTAACTCCCTCAGTGCCCAGCTTAGACAAAAGCCTTCCCTGTACCACTGTCCGATACTTCTCTGCCCACTCAGCATTGAGTCTCACCCCTTTGTCGGCCTCCCCCATAGACCGTCAGCTCTGAGAGGGCAGGGGCCAACTCCGTCCCCTCCTCTGCTGTCGTTCCTGGCATCCAGCAAGGGGCCTGCCACCTAGCGTGCTGAATGAAAGAATGGACCTCGGGATTTCAGTGTGGAAGCCTGGGCAGGTCTGTCTTGGGGCCGCTGCATCCCCAGTGCTCAGTCTAGGGCGCAGCACGGAGAGTTCGCAACTGTTTCAGGAAGAAGGCAGGCGGGTGGGCCGACCCAAGAAACGCACATTATACCTCCGGCGAAGTGAAGGGAGGGATAACAAAGCAAAGCTTGAGGGCTCCGAGAAGCTCTGAAGAAAACAAATCCAGCCATAAGCCCACTCCTGTAACCCCAGGCTTTGGAAGACGGAGGCAGGTAGATCGCTTGAGGTCAGGAGTTCGAGACCAGCTTGGGCCACATGGCGAAACCCCGTCTCTACTAAAAACACAAAAGTTGGCTGGGCGTGTTGGCGGGCACCTATAATCCCAGCTACTCCAGCAGCTGAGATGGGAGAATCGCTTGAACCTGGGAGGAAGAGTTTGCAGCGAGCCGAGATCCTGCCACTGCGCTCCAGCCGGGGCGACAGAGCCAGACCCTGTCCCCAATATACATATCAGATAAGAAAAAAATATAAGAAAGTTTAAAAAAATTTTTTTTGGCTTTTTTTTGTTTTTTTTGAGACGGAGTCTCGCTCTGTCGTCCAGGCTGGAGTGCAGTGGCACGATCTCGGCTCACTGCAAGCTCCGCCTCCCAGGTTCACGCCATTCTCCTGCCTCAGCCTCCCGAGTAGCTGGGACTACAGGCGCCCGCCACCATGCCCGGCTGATTTTTTCTATTTTTCGTAGTGATGGGATTTCACTGTGTTAGCCAGGATGGTCTTGATCTCCTGACCTCGTGATCCGCCTGCCTCGGCCTCCCAAAGTGCTGGGATTACAGGCGTGAGCCGCCGCGCCCGGCCAGCCTTTTTTTTTTTTTTTGAGACAGTTTCGCTCTTGTCGCCCAGGCTGGAGTGCAGTGGCACGATCTCGGCTAACTGCAACCTCCGCCTCCTGGGTTCAAGAGATTCTCCTGCCTCAACCTCCCGAGTAGCTGGGATTACAGGCGCCCGCCACCACACCCATCTAATTTTTTGTATTTTTAGTAGAGACGGGGTTTCGCCACGTTGAGCAGGCTGGTCTCGAACTCCTGACATCAGGTGATCCGCCCGCTTCAGCTTCCCAAAGTGCTGGGATTACAGGCGTGAGCCACGGCGCCCGGCCAAAAAAAAAAAATTTTTTTTTTTTTTTTTAGATATTTTTTCACTCTTGTTGCCCAGGCTGGAGTGCAATGGCGTGATCTCGGCTCGGCCTCCCAAAGTCCTGGGATTACAGGCGTGAGCCACCGCGCCCGGCCCGAAAAAATTTTTTTAAAAGAAAAGGGAAACAAAACAGTCTCCTACACCTTCGGACCACTCCCAAGAACGATGGCACCGCCCTCCTCTCCGCCCCTCACCAACATGGCCGCCCCCAAGGGAGTGGGCGGGTCTGCGGGGCGGAAGTGACGCACGAGAGGAAGTCCGTCCTGCCGCTTGGCCGCGGGGCGCCTGGCTCAGTGGCTTCTGCGGGCTTCGAGGAGCGGGATGTTGCGGGCTGGGTGGCTCCGGGGCGCGGCGGCGCTGGCGCTGCTGCTGGCGGCCCGAGTGGTGGCGGCGTTCGAGCCCATCACCGTGGGCCTAGCCATCGGGGCCGCGTCGGCCATCACCGGCTACCTGTCCTACAATGACATCTACTGCCGCTTCGCCGAGTGCTGCCGCGAGGAGCGGCCGCTCAACGCTTCGGGTACGGCGCGCGCGCGAGCTGTGGGTCGGCGCTGCGGGGGGCGCGGGGGCGCGGGGGCGCGGAGGGACGGCCTCGTGGGCGCCTGGCACGGACCGGGCCCGTGGCATCTAGACGGCGGTGGTCCCAGCTGGGGTGGGCGGGGAGCGGATGGGGCGGCCCCGGAACCGTTCGCGGGAACGCAGAAGCGGTGCCTTCGCAAACAGTCTCCAGATCGTGGGGCTGCCCCAGCGCCTTTCTAAAGCTCCCGTTCCTTGGGATCACAGGTGGAAGAAACGGAAAGTAGGCGGGCGGCCCTTCTGCGCCCTGCCAACCCTATTAAGTAGTTTTCAGACGTGCTGCGTCGCCCAGAAAGCCCACATTTGGCCCCTGGTTTTCCTGCAGGTCAGCAAGGGTGGCTGGGATTAGCAAGCGCTCAGTCAAGCGATGGTTCATCTCTGAATGAATGAACATTTAGCTTCCTTATCAGACCCCGAAGCGTTAAGGACCTCCACATAATCTTGAAAGTGGCATCGTTTGACTGCCTCGGCCCTAGGGTGTGGCAGACACCCTGCTGTGTCCCTGGATAATCTGTGCTTCTTGCTTTGGCCAGCTAAGAAAGTGCTGCGTTGCTGATGCATTTTTAAGGTCTGTTTCTCTCTTTGTTCTGGGGCTGTTCTTGCAGCTCTCAAGCTGGATTTGGAGGAGAAGCTGTTTGGACAGCATCTAGCCACGGAAGTGATTTTCAAGGCGCTGACTGGCTTCAGGAACAACAAAAATCCCAAGAAACCACTGACCCTTTCCTTACACGGCTGGGCTGGCACAGGCAAGAATTTTGTCAGTCAAATTGTGGCTGAAAATCTTCACCCAAAAGGTCTGAAGAGTAACTTTGTCCACCTGTTTGTATCGACTCTGCACTTCCCTCATGAGCAGAAGATAAAACTGTACCAGGCAAGAGAACCCGCTATTATCTCGTCTGCAGGCCAGTCGGACTGGTCCGGGTGACCTGCTCACTAACTCTGGCCTCTGCTTCTCTTTCCTTTGTGTTGCTGTAGCCCCCGGCTCCACTGAGTTAAGGCACACTTAGTCCAGGTAGTTACAAAGCTCTCCTACAACATTTCTCTTACTTGGTTCCAAAACAGTCCAGTGGGGTAGGGGATGTTATTTCCATTAAAAGATGGGGAGCCAAGGGCCTGGCGCCGTGGCTCACGCCTGTAATCCCAGCATTTTGGGGAAGCCGAGGCGGGCGGATCATTTGAGGCCAGGAGTTTGAGACCAGCCTGGCCAACATGGTGAAACCCCATCTCTACCTAAAAGTACCAAAATTACCTGAGCACGGTGGCACGCACCTGTAATCCCAGCTACTTGGGAGGCTGAGGCAGGAGAATCGCTTGAACCTGGGTGGCAGAGGTTGCAGTGAGCTGAGATCGCGCCACCGTACTCGGTCTCAAAAAAAAAAAAAAAAAAAAGGCCTGGCACAGTGGCTCACGCCTGTAATCCCAGCACTTTCGGAGGCCGAGGGGGGCGGATCACGAGGTCAGGAGATGGAGACCATCCTGGCTAACACGGTGAGACCCCGTCTCTACTAAAAATACAAAAAATTAGCCGGGGATGGTGGCGGGCACCTGTTGTCCCAGCTACTCGGGAGGCTGAGGCAGGAGAATGGCCTGAACCCGGGAGGCGGAGCTTGCACTGAGCCGAGATCGCGCCACTGCACTCCAGCCTGGGCGACACAGTGAGACTCTGTCTCAGAAAAAAAAAAAAAAAAGAGAGATGTAGTCAGGGCCAGGTGCAGTGGCTCACGCCTGTAATCCCAGCACTTTGGGATCCGCCAAGGCGGGCGGATCACCTGAGGTCGGGAGTTCGAGACCAGCCTGACCAACATGGAGAAACCCCGTCTCTACTGAAAATACAAAATTAGCCGGGCGTGATGGCGTGCGCCTGTAATTCAAGCTACTTGGGAGGCTGAGGTTGCAGTCAGCTGAGAATGGGCCACTGCACCCCAGCCTGGGCAACAGAATGAGACTCTGTCTCAAAAAAAAAGAAAAAAAAAAAAGATGGAGCCTGGAGCCCAGAGGCAAGGTGACTTACTCCTACAATCTTTGTAGCAGAACAGGACCTTTGTAGCAGAACCAAAACCTCCCAACTCCCAGTTGACATGGTAGCCACCTTCTCTGGTGAGTGAAGGGATTCCACATCCCCAGCAGTGCAGTTGGTGAGAAGGGGCAGTCAGTCTTCAAGGATTTGCTCCGGTGTGGCTTCATTCAATGCTGCCCACCTCTGGTGCAGCCTCAGCTTTGCCTCTGCTCTTTGCAATGTAGCCTAGAGGTCTTTTTTCTCCTTAACAGGTTTTATTCCCTTTGTTCCTCCCATCCTTCATGTCCTTGGCATTGCTTTCTTCAAAGGAAGCCTCAAAGAACTGAACCTTGAGACTGTTTCTCCTTTTGAGATATTGTTTCCACATTCATTTTATATTAAGTTGTCTAGGAGGGTTAGTTCTCATTTAAATGAATGTTGTCCTTGTCAAGGTTAACATTCCCACTGGCAACATAGCAAGACTCCATCTCTACAAAAAATAAAAAAATTAGCCAGGTGTAGTGGCATGCACCTGTAGTCCCAGCTACTTGGGAGGCTGAGATGGGAGGATCGCTTGAGCCCGGGAGGCTGAGCCTACAATGAACCATGGTCATGTCACTGCATTCCAGTCTGGGCGACAGAGTAAGACTCTATCTCAAAAAAAAAAAAAAAAAATTCCTCCTGTTAGGTGGGGACTGAAGAAAGAAATAGAAACTTAACTGAACAAGGAAGTAGAAGTGTTTGCCCAACAAACTGACGTGAGACAGGGAAGACTGCTAAAAAGGAAGGAAGGAAGGATTTTCTTGTTCTTTACATTCTTCATAAATCTCCGGAAACAGAGTAATATAAATGGTTGAGGGCATGTCTGGGGGAGTTTCCTGGTATAGCCTTTCACGCTTTGGGGTTGAGGGCTTGTTGCTTGAGTGTCTTTATGTTTGTTTGAAGAAAACATCTGGAACAGATGCTTTTCATGAAATGTCATTGAGTCAGCTCTGTTGGTCTGGGGCACTGTGTACTGTGCAGGTCTTGATCTAGTTCCTTATTCCTCAGTATGTCTGATAGTACTAACTTGAGATTGTAGTCCAAGAGAGATGAAAACTATGGCTACGTTAGCAGTGAATGATATTCACGGATCTTGCCGGGTGGCTCATTCCTGTAATCTCAGCACTTTGGGAGGGTGAGGTGGGTGGATCACCTGAGGTCAGGAGTTTGAGACGAGCCTGGCCAACATGGCACAACCCTGTCTCTACTAAAAATACAAAAATTAGCCAGGCATGGTGCAGGGGATCGGGGCGCCTGTAGTCCCAACTACACGGGGGGCTGAGGCCGGGGAATCGCTTGAACCCAAGAGGCAGAGGTTGCAGTGAGCTGAGATCACGCCACTACACACCAGCCTGGGGGATAGAGTGAGACCCTGTTTCCAAAGACAAAAAAGAGAAGAAAAGAATCACGGATCTTGTACCTCTTATACCTTTAAAAAGTCAGATTTAATAGTCATTTGAGTTAGGAAAAAACTTCTCTGCATTTTAGCATCTATCTCTGCCAATTTCCACTTTTTAGAGATAAGGTTTTAGAAAAGCTGCTACCTAGCGAGTGGGGGTGAGGGTGCCATTCTAAGAGCTCTGACCTCGTCCTTCAGTGCATGAGGAGCAGATGGAGCCTGCGCGCCTCTTGGTGCACCCTTTGAGCTTCGCATCCTGTTTCTTCTTTCATGGTTGGTCCAGGACCAGTTACAGAAGTGGATCCGCGGTAATGTGAGTGCATGTGCGAACTCTGTTTTCATATTTGACGAGATGGATAAATTGCACCCCGGGATCATTGACGCAATCAAGCCGTTTCTAGACTACTACGAGCAGGTTGACGGAGTGTCTTACCGCAAAGCCATCTTCATCTTTCTCAGGTCAGCGGGAGGCGGTTTTTTGGGGCACACAAGCCCTTCATTCTCTCAATGATAAAATGAGGTCCTGAGGACCATCAGCACTTTGTTTACCAGGACGAAAGTGCCTGCTTGGCACAAGGCACTTACCTACTGCTTTACTTTTCCTTTGCCAGTCTCAGCATGGCACACAGTGTGGGTTGTGGAAATGAACTAAAGAAATAATCACTGGGCCAGGCGCGGTGGCTCACACCTGTAATCCCAGCACTTTGGGAGGCCATGGCGGGCGGATCACCAGGAGATCGAGACCATCCTGGCTAACATGGTGAAACCCTGTCTCTACTAAAAATACAAAAATTAGCCGGGCGTGGTGGCGGGCGCCTGTAGTCCCATCTACTCGGGAGACTGAGGCAAGAGAATGGCGTGAACCCGGGAGGCGGAGCTTGCAGTGAGCCGGGATCACACCACTGCACTCCAGCCTGGGTGACAGAGTGAGACTCTGTCTCAAAAAAAAAAAAAAAAGAAATAATCACTGATAGCAGGCAATTTTAGCTGGGCATCGTGGCATGTGCCTGGAGTCCCAGCTCCTGGGGAAGTCGAGGCAGGAGGATTGGTTGAGCCCAGGAGTTCAAGGTTTTATTGAGCTATGATCATACCACTGCACTCCTGCCTGGGTGACAATCAAGACCCCGACCCTAAAAATGAAACAGAAATGAAAACAGTTAATTTTATTAACTGTGCATGTTGGTTTTTAGGGTTATAAAGGGCCATAGCATTATCCCAGCTAGTTGTGAATAAACACTTTAAGTTCCATGAGAGCACACTTTTTTGTCTAGTAGCACTCAGTAAATATTCCTTGATGAAAAATAGATCTTCGGCCGGGTGTGGTGGCTCACACCTGTAATCCTAGCACTTTGGGAGGCCAAGGTGGGCAGATCACTTGAGGTCAGGATTTCAAGACCAGGCTGGCCAACATGGTGAAACCCCGTGTCTACTAAAAATACAAAAATTAGAAGGGGCGTCGTGGCAGGCGCCTGTAATCCCAGCTACTCAGGAGGTTGAGGCAGAAGAATCACTTGAACCCGGAAGGTGGAGGTTGCAGTGAGCTGATATTGCGCCACTGCACTCCAGCCTGCGTGACAGAGTGTCTCAAAAGGAAAAATAGACTTAGAGCAGATTCATTTCTTGGTAAGACACAGAAGTCTTTTTTTTTTTTTTTTTTTTTTTGAGACCGAGTTTCATTTTTGTTGCCCAGGCTGGAGTGCAATGGCATGATCTCGGCTCGCTGCAACCTCCACCTCCCGGATTCAAACGATTCTCCCACCTCAGCCTCCCATGTAGCTGGGATTACAGGCATGCACCACCATTAGCCTGGCTAATTTTTGTGTTTTTAGTAGAGATGGGGTTACTCTATGTTGGTCAGGCTGGCCTTGAACTCCCGACCTCAGGTGATCTACCTGCCTCGGCCTCCCAAAGTGCTGGGATTACAGGCATGAGCCACCACACCCAGCAGACACAGAAGTCTTAATATGTGATTTTAATCTTTATTTCTCTGGCAAACTCAGCAATGCAGGCGGGGACCTTATAACTAAGACGGCTCTTGACTTTTGGCGGGCCGGAAGAAAGAGGGAAGACATTCAGCTGAAGGACCTGGAACCTGTACTGTCTGTCGGAGTCTTCAATAATAAACACAGTGAGTCCACCAGGGTAAAGGAGCCCCTTAACTGTCCAGCAGTGAGCCGTCTGCTCTTTCATTGAGTGTTTCACAAAGCCACAGGATCCCACTGGATTTCCTCACTTTGCTAAAGTCAGGAATTTTCTTAGGGCATACTGTGCTAGAAACCAGTGAGTGAGTGTCCAGCTGAGTCCTGCATGGGCTTGTTGCACACTGACAAGAGACTCTCTCAAGGGGTACGGACATGAGGAATGTGCTGAGGGTCGGGACTGGAGCTTGGCCAGGTGGCGGTGGTGGCAGGAAACCCAGCTGTGTCTTGTTCTGCAGGTGGCCTGTGGCACAGTGGACTGATCGACAAAAACCTCATTGATTACTTTATCCCCTTCCTGCCTTTGGAGTACAGACATGTGAAAATGTGTGTGAGGGCCGAGATGAGGGCCCGTGGTTCTGCCATAGATGAAGACATTGTCACAAGAGTGGCAGAGGAAATGACGTTTTTCCCCAGAGACGAGAAAATCTACTCAGACAAGGGCTGCAAGACTGTGCAGTCGCGGCTGGATTTCCACTGAGCTCCTATCCAGATGGGGTAGGAGACAGCTGGGAGGCTCCGCACGCCAGAGGCCTTGCCTTTCAGAAGAACCCTGAAGACCGCTTTGGGGTTTTGCCTGTTTGCACCTTAGACTTTTGGGTATAGAATCTTTTTTTTGAGAAGAGGTCTCACTCCGTCATCCAAGCTGGAGTGCAGTGGTGCAATCCTCAACTCACTGCAACCTCCGCTCCCGGTTTGAGTGATTCTCATGCCTCAGCCTCCCGAGTAGCTGGGATTACAGGCATGAGCCACTGTGCCCAGCTGGGATATAGAATCTAAGAGTTGATTGTGGAAAACACGTGAATCTATTGCGCGCATTTGTCATTTAGCAAGATGGCAGCAGTCCAGCTGTTCTTTGCAGCTGGAGATGAACTTTTAAAAATCCCCTTCACACTTAATGTACTGACCGAGACAGAAGTACCTGAAAACAGCTGTGCATGGCAGGCCCGGCAATAGCTTCTGACCCACAGCACCCGCGCCTCAGAAGCTACGGTCACAACTAAAGGAGTCCAGGGACTTGCTGCAGGCTGGGGGGCACTGGGTGGTTCTCACCAGCAGGCTGCGGGGCACTGTGTTCTCATTGGCCAAAAACATCCTTTTGCTCTGTCTCGTTCTTTACACAGAGTTCACTGACTTGAAGTATACTCAGTTAAAATCGGGGCTGGAGGTGCAGACGGTGTCTGACCGGAGGATGTGGCCGTGCCCGCCGAGCACTCTTGATCTGAGCTGACCTGTGTGTGTGTGTGTGGGGGGGTGGGGCCTTCACCTAAGACCTCTGCAGCAGACCTGGACAGACAGGCCCCTCCCGCCTGTCCATCGCTCTAGCTGCTAATACAGCCCTGGCTGTGGAATCCTTCACCGTCTCAGCTGGTATCAGCCCCAGCCTGCCTTGTGCCATATCTCAGCTTGGATCTCTGCTAGAGTCCCCCCAACCATATATCATAGAGTTGAATCACAATGAGACCGTTGGCTTTGAATTTGAGTCGTTGGTTCCCATGGTGAGATGCTTGTTAAGACTTTATACTTGGGTCAATCTCTCACTTTATTTTGTAGAACCATTTGAAATCCTAGGATGTGCTTGTTCTGGAAGGATGACATGGGCCCAGACTGAACAAGTCAGCTTGATGATCTTAAATGATGGAAGTATAGGACGTTGCTTATTTTAAAACAAGGGAAGGACACAAAATGGAATGACTGCTTAGTCCTTTCTCAGATACTCTTAAAACAATTTTTTATTGTTAAATTTGTGGTAATACATGGTCACAACCGTGGATCAAACAAGGTCAGTCTAAAGTGGCAGGTCCTAGGTGTGACCTGATACCACCACCCTTTGTGGCAGCACCGGGCTGGACTGCCCTGATCCCTGGGACGTGAGACTTAGCTTCCAGCCAGTGTGAATCATTGTATCTGTCTCATAATCACAGCACAGCTGCAGACACAACAACGTGCAGCATTTTTTACATAAAAATATGGTAGAATTAATTTATGACATGGAAATGCCTTACGTGGTATCACACTTAGTCTTGAAAAAAACACCAAGGTGACGTTTAAAATTTTTAGTACATATCCTCAAATTGGAGCTAAGTTATACTTCTTTTATAACCTTTTGGGCATCTGGTCGAGAGAAGACAAGATTTTCTCTATTTACAGTGAGGCAATAAATATGTTTGCCACCTTTGGACTGCCGTTACTGATTTGTAACTTGAAAAGGCTACGGTTGATCATGACCCCGCCTCCCCCACCTCCCTTATAAGATGTGGACGAGAGCTTTATTGACCTACTGACTATAAAATAGTAAATTCTAGATTTTATCATGTGAAATGCCACTTGCTAACTTTTTCTAGTTTATTTGGTTCCAAAGTTCAGAATGAATTTCAGCAGCACAGCTGTGAGACTCACCATATCCGGGACAGGCGGGTGGGCAGTCAGCGCGATACAGAAGCAATATTTACCTTAAAGGCTCTTCCCCAGACAAATAGAAGTTAAATTAGCTGATGGATATTTCATCAAAGAGATGGACTTTCTCCCAAAATTAACGTGGGAGGAAATTGAGGTACTGGTAAAGTAAAACTCACCTCTGACAGCCTGAACCTGAGCTCAGGTGAGGAAACCTAACCATTGAAACTGGTAAATAAATCCTGGCCGGGTGCGGTGGCTCACACCTGTAATTCCAGCACTTTGGGAGGCCGAGGTGGGTGGGTCACCTGAGGTGGGGAGTTTGAGACCAGCCTGACCAACATGGAGAAACCCCATCTCTACTAAAAATACAAAATTAGCTGGGTGTGGTGGCACATGCCTGTAATCCCAGCTACTAGGGAGGCTGAGGCAGGAGAATCGCTTGAACCTGGGAGGCAGAGGTTATAGTGAGCCGCGATCGTGCCATTGCACTCCAGCCTGGACAGTAAGAGTGAAACTCCGTCTCAAAAAAAATTCTAGTTATGCTAATCTGATCTCAGCTTAATTACACATAATCCAGTATTGTCTCATCAGTGAATTGCTAACACCCACCCTCTTCACAGGATTAAGGATTAGCAGATTTACTAGAAAGCACAAACCCTCATCACCATCACCCCACCCACTCCCTTATTTTCTCAGCTGAAGTTACTCAATTCCCAGGAGACTGACTTTCTAGGTCTGGTTCTCAGTCTTAACGCAGTTCCTATTCTACCTACACTGCCTCATCTACTAAGACTGAACCTTCCAAAACTGTCAGGGGACCCGTGTTCTCTAACTAGGGACTTCTGGTGCCTGGGCCACACTCTTCAAAGGAATGATTAGACCTAATCTGTGACTCCCAGGGACATAGCAGGCTGGCTGCAGCTCAATACCAAGAACTTTCTAACGCTTGGAGCCATCTTTAGGTGCCCTGGGCTGCCCTAGGGGGACCCCATGCAGGCTGGGAAGCCATAAGGCAGAGGGTTCCTGCGTTAGACCTGCAGTCGAGGCCACAAACTCGTCTTCTGTGCCTACTAGAAGTGGCCCCTGCAGTGCTCTCTGCAGCAGCCGCACCCATGGGAGCACTGCCCACGTGCTGGGACACAGGCATGTTGGATAAAATAAGGTGTGCTTACCTTAGTCTACGGCACTGTTCCTGCTGGCATCTCAGCTGTACTTGAACTCCGTGGCTGGGTGTCAGGAGCTCCAAGAACCCCACAATGGAGGGCGACTTCCCAGACCACTGGGCGAGGGGACAGAGCCATCCTAGGATCCTCAGATCCCTGTGTGAGACTTCGTTTCTTTCCAACCTGGATTGTTCTGCTAGGTCTTCACTCGCAGCCTTACCTCATAAGGTCTACAGTGGAGGGGCGCTTCTCCCTCTTCAAAAACGTACTCACCAATGGCACATGCAAAATTTTATTGTAAAACGGTAGCCATTTGCATTTATAAAGAAAGACACCGTTCTCAGCATCCTCAGAAGGGGCAGCTAAGCTTTATAGGAGGTTTCGGGGATTCTGATTGAACGTAACAAATAATAGTATAAATGAGGAAGATTTAATATGGCAAAATTCACATAATTTAGAATCCAGCAGAGAGCACGTGTGGGCTATTTGGAATGGACAGTGAAGGGCCACCTTTTGCAAAACGGAGTGACTGGCAAGTGACAAGTTGGAAATACTTTTCTTTCAAAAGACTGGTTCTAACAAATGTTGACAGTGTGGCCAAAATCACTCCCACAGCTCCCATTGTTGCTAAGGTGAAAACCCTTGGAGAGGCTGTTTCAGGCTTATCTGTGGTGCCTGAAGGCGTCCTCTTACCTACTTGTCCTTCACCTAAACACTTCACTGCCCCTGGCAGCATCCGCTGGGACCATCCTGGGACAGAGCTGGCTCATGCTCCAGCCACATCCCCAGGGATGCCCTCCTGTGGAACAAATGCCATGCATGTGTGCTTGGGCTCATTTCCAGTAAAGATACATCACAGTCTATGTAATAATGATGAGAACTTAAAAAAAAACACACACACAAGGCCAACAACTTAGAATCTGAGCAGTCTCTCATAATGTTAAAAATCATTTTAAATAAAGTTACCACATTTTCAATAAAACTTATTCATCCTTCCTTGAAACAGAAACACTTGGAATTAAAACATAATTTGTAAAAAATCATGAGCCCTGCGATGAGTGGGCTGGGAGCTGGCTCCTTCCTTCTGTGCGTGTTCGGGAGGCTTCACGTCCTCGCCCGTGGTCCCTGGGTGGCCTGCAGGCACCAGGGGGTGGAAACAATGCCAGGGAGAATTCCTGTCACATCAAACAGGAACATTCACTGGATTCCTCTTCCAGGGAAAGGAGCTGGGGGTGGAAGTGTGGAAGGACTGAGTGTTGTTTCTTTTCCAACTCCAGGCAGTGACTCCGGCTGCCAATCATGACTGTCAATCATCGTAGTAATAATCTAACTTGGTGAACACCGTTTTGCAGCCTTTATCTGAGAAAACTCTCTCCTCTTTGGGGAAAAATGTCATCTCCTCAGCCACTCTGCTTACAATGTCTTCATCAATTTCATAGCCTCGGGACTGCATTTCCACTCGGATACACATTTTTAGGTGTTTGTATTCCAGGGGGAGGAAGGGAACAAAATAATCAATGAGGTTCCGGTCAATTAAGCTGCTGTGCCAGAAGCCACCTGGGAAGAAGAAACAAGGTGCTGTTCATCCACATCCACCCACCTGCCCTATAGACGCCTCCTGGGGGTCACTTACCTACCCTCCCATCCGTCCCACAAACGTCTACTGGGGGTCACCTATCCATGCCACACACACCTACTGGGGGTCACCCACCCACCCCCCCCACATCTACTAGGGGTCACCCACCCTCCCATCCATCCCATACACACCTACTGGGTGTCATCCACCCTCCTATCCATCCCATACACATCTACTGGGTGTCATCCACCCTCCTATCCATCCCACACATACCTACTGGGTGTGCCCTCTCCCTTGTGGAGCTCCAGATCAGTGGGGAAGGCAGATGTTAACAGGCACCTGCACATTGTAATGCTTCTGTGACAGCAGAAGCTGTGACAGCCCTCTTTACACGGCGGGCTGGGGGAGGCCTCCCAAGGTATGACTTAAGAGATCGAAGATGGGAAAGAGGTCCTGGGGCCCAGGAACAAGCAGAGAGGCAGAGTGGGGAAGGCAGAGTTCCACAGAAAGCGGGAAGCAAGAAGAATTCCCGGGAAGGACTACCAGCCACGCCTCTGTATTTGGGAACTTTTTGACTCTCCCTGGAGTTTCAGCAGCTGGACTAGCAACAGGGAAGCCTGCTGCCGCTGCCACAGTGCCCAGACCCTGCAGAGCATGTGGGCACCAAAACTAGCCTGGAGAGTGCAGATGTGCAGCCCACGCTGGGCTCCCCGTGAAGGCCTGGCCTTGGCCGTGTTTTCTCCCCTGAATGCGGGCTGGCTCTGCACTGACCCGTCCACTCCTCCTGGGCTCCTGGAACTCCTGACCCAGGACACTTCCTCCCAGCCCCAGATGACACAGCACACACTGCGTCGCCCACGAGCCCATGCGTGTCTTCTACTGAGCTGATTCCCTTCTGGTCTGCCATGTAATTCTGGGGCTCCGTCCCCAACCCAAGCTCCTCCTCATTCACTGGGTTAATGCTTTTCATGCCCAACAGTGCTTTGCACACAACTGGTACTCAATAAATGTGTGGCTGACTGACAGAGTGGAGCCTATGGCCAGGGAAAGAACAGAACCAACCACTGAATGGGAACGAGGGGCTGTCTTGCTATCATGAACTCACGTGGGAGGCTGGTTCTCAGAGGCCTGCTCTGTGCCAGGCACGCCCTGGGCCTGGGGACACAGCTGAGGGCAGACGGACCTCACGGCTTTACCACTCTAGGGCAGGAAACAATCTCAGATGGTGCTTGGAGTGGCGAATGCCACACAGCAGAACGGACATGGAGAGCGGGAGGTGGAGCAGGCTGGGCAGGACCTCAGGGCAGAGCCCGAGCAACAAGGACCCAGCCACGCAGACCCAGGAGTGACGGCAGAACAGGTGACCTCAGGCAGCCCTGAGACTTCACAGTCATCTCCTGAGGACTCCCAAGTTTGCCCTCCTGGCCTGATGGCCTCCCTGGAGCTTCGTGGCTCTGCTCTGATGCCCTGATGCCATTGCCCACTGAGCTCGCCCGTCCTTCCTGCTGTCCCTTCCCTTCAATGGCAGTGCCACCCTTCCCATCGCTCAAGCCAGGTCCTTGATTCTTCTCTCATTCCCATATACAATTCTGCAGGAAGTCTTACAGGTTCTACCTTCAAAACACACCCAGAAGCCAACCGTGTCCCTCCACCCCCACCGCTTCCACGCTGGGCTCCCTGCCCCTGTGGCTGTGGGTCTGTCCTCCATCCAGTTGCCAGCAAGGTCCTGTGAAGGCCCCGTCAGATCACAGCACCACCTGCCCAGGACCCTCCAGGCCTCTCTCTTCCACTTGGAATAAGACTCAAGGTTCACCATGGCCCGCCAGGCTTCCCACGGTCTGCACCTCCACCCCAAATCTCGCCTCTTCTATCACCTCCCGTTTCCCTCCTCTGTTTATCCTCAACCAGTCACAGGGACCCCAAGCACAGGCCCCCCTCGGGCCCCTGGACGTGCTGTCCGCACTGGGGAATGCTTTTCCCTCAGACATCCACATGGCTCACTCCCCCGGGTCAGCCCAAATGCCACCCTCACAGGGAGCCTTCCCTGTCCACTCTATTAAAGCAGAGCCCATCCTTACCCTGAACCCCAAAGCCTTTCTTGATTTTTTTCCCCTACTGGCCCCGGGGGGAAAGATATCTATATGTCCACATGTGTACATGTGCGATGTGTGCATATGTACTGCATGTATACACACAAACACATCACACACATCAACATATCTATCCCCCATCATCTGATACATTTTCTTTCTTTATTATCACTAGGATGTAGGATTGATAAGGGCAAGAATTTCTGTGTTTGTTCACTGCTGTGTCCCCCGTCCTAGGTATGATGCCTGGCACTTACCAGATGCTCCATATACATGTGCTGAATCAATGTTCAGCCATCTGCCTGAGGTCACAGTCAGTCTGTGGGCCAGGGCTGCCCGACTCCCAGGTTGGCACTCCTAAGCACCGTGTAACCTCCACAGCGTGGATTCTAGGCCACGGGGCTCATCTGCCTCAGCATTAGGCTAAAGTTTCCACTGCATGTGCTCATGTTTTTTGGCAAGGCAAGAAACTATCCAACATGTTACAAAATACTTGTCTTTCCTCAGTAGTATTCCACTTGCACACACTGACATACTGTACCCCATGCTGTTCACTAACTGTAGGATTAATTTCTTGGCAAGTCTGTTTCAAATGAGCCCTTCTGTTTTGTCATCTCCAGAACCTGAAGCGCAAAGACTTGAACAGCCAGCCCTGCACAACTCACAGGTCTTAGCCAGTGAGTCAGCCTCCATCAGGCTGGCTTTCCACCTCCCCAGGTTCAAGGTCAAAGGTCTCATGACATTTGGAGAAGTAGTGAGCTAAAACTTAAAAGCTCAGGTTTTAGAATCAGAGATACCGAACAGGCTGCATGGCCCTGGGCAAGCTGCCACATCTCTGAGTCTCAGTCTCTACCCTGCGAGGTATGGTGAAGACTGAGTGAAATCCGCAGGCAGGCTGTTTCACACGGTGCCCAGTACAAAATAAGGGCCGAACCGCTATTTGGCTGTTGCTCTTGGGCAATGCAGAGAAAGGGAGGAACTAACAGGTCATCTCTCCCCCTGAGCTGCCCACGGCATCCTTCCTTGCTCAACCACTGGCTCTTTCTTCTACAAAGAAAATCATGTAGCTGAAGAAAATGGGGGAACTGGCCAGGCGTGGTGGCTCACGCCTGTAATCCCAGCACTTTGGGAGGCCGAGGCAGGCGGATCACGAGGTCAGGAGATAAGACCATCCTGGCTAACATGGTGAAACCCCGTTTCTACTAAAAATACAAAAAATTTGCCGAGTGTGGTGGCAGGTGCCTGTAGTCCCAGCTACTCGGCAGGCTGAGGCAGGAGAATGGTGTGAACCTGGGAGGCAGAGCTTGCAGTGAGCCGAGATCGCGCCACTGCACTCCAGCCTGGGCAACAGAGCGAGACTCCATCTCAAAAAAAAAAAAAAAACAGCAGGCCAGGTATGTAGCTCATGCCTATAATTCCAGCACTTTGGGAGGCTGAGGCGGGAGGATGACTTAAGTCCAGGAAGTCAAGACCAGCCTGGGAAACATAGGAAGACCCAGTCTCTACCAAAAAAAAAAAAAAAAAAAAAAAAAAAAATTAGCCAGGCATGGTGGCGCAAGCCTGTGGTTCCACCTACATGGGAAGCTGAGGCTGGAGGATCACTTGAGCCTAGGAAGTCAAGACTCCAGTGAGCTGAGATCACACCACTGGACTCCAGCCTGGGTGACAGAGTGAGACTCTGTCTCAAAAAATAAGCTGAGCACAGTGGCTCACGCCTGTAATCCCAGCACTTTGGGAGGCCGAGGTGGGCGGATCACCTGAGGTAAGAGTTCAAGACCAGCCTGGCCAACATGACAAAACCCCATCTCTACTAAAAATACAAATATTAGCTGGGCATGGTGTGCACCTGTAATCCCAGCTACTCAGGAGGCTGAGGCACAAGAATCGCTTGAGCCCGGGAGGCAGAGGTTGCAGTGAGGCAAGGTTACGCCACTGCACTCCAGCCTAGGTGACAGAGTAAAACTATCTGAAAAATAAAAATAAAACAGCACTTGTCAAACATTAGTGTTCATAAAAGTTACCTGGAGTTCATCAGCAAAGATTCCCCTCATGACTCGGAAGGGGACTGAGAATCTGCATTTCTTTCTACCCAGCTCCCAGGTGATGCTGACAGTGACCCTGATGCTTTTAACACTTAGGGTGCAGGATTAGGAACCAGATGGGACTGGCGGTGGATGGCCCTACTCACTGTTCTTGTTATTGAAAACCGACACAGACAACGCGTGTTCAATGTCTTTGAGCTTGATGTCTTCCCTCTGCTTTCCACTCCTCCAGAAATCCAAAGCCACATCTGTGATCCTTTCTGCTCCAGCATTGCTGCAAAACAATCCCAGTGGGTAAGGACAGGGTTTTCTCCTGGAGCTCAGAGGCTTGGGCTCGGGGCCCATCCATCATGTCCTAGCCCTGACCTTACCTGAGAAATATGAACATGGCTTTCTGGTAGGAGACCCCATCCACCAGGTCATAATAGTCGAGGAAAGGCTTGATGGCATCTATGAGGCCTGCATGCATCTTATCCATTTCATCAAATATGAAGATGGACCTCGCACAGGCACTCACGTTGCCTCGAATCCACAACTGTAACTGATCCTGAATTAAAAGGGGAAAAAGCGAACACAAAGTTCTCAGCCAGGGCCATCAATCAGCTCCTTCTACCACTAAGAACCGCAGCTTCACTTACAGACCACTGTGCACTCGGCACTAAGAACTTTACATGCCCAAAATCTTCTTTGTTCCTACCAACCCCATGGAGTGGGCACTATCGTTCTCATTTTACAGATGAGGGAACTGAGGCACAGAGAGCGCTTACTCCACTTGCCCAAGACTATATGTGGCAGAGCTGGGACCTGAACCCAGTCCTGTCTCACTCCAAAGCCCGATACTTTGGTTACGGTTCCCGCACTGCGAGATGCCACACGGATGCTGTCAGAGATGCTGCTCTTTTGTCATCAAAGGGGCAATGTGGGATGTCATGAGGATACTGATTTTTATTTAAAAAGGGGGTGGGGTCGGGCATGGTGGCTCACACCTGTAATCCCAGCACTTTGGGAGGCTGAGGCAGACGGATAAGTTGAGGTCAGGGGTTTGAGACCAGCCTGGCCAACATGGTGAAACCCCATCTCTATTAAAATACAAAAATTAGGGCCAGGCATGGTGGTTCATGCCTGTAATCCCAGCACTTTGGGAGGCCAAAGTGGGTGGATCACCTGAGGTCAGGAGTTCAAGACCAGCCTGGCCAACATGGTGAAACCTGGTCTCTACTAAAAAAAATACAAAAAAATTAGCTGGGTATGGTGGCAGGTGCTTATAGTCCCAGCTACTCAGGAGGCTGAGGTAGAATTGCATGAACCTGGGAGGCGGAGGTTGCGGTGAGCCAAGATCAAGCCATTGCACTCCAGCGTGGCGACAGAGCAAGACTCCATTAAAAAAAAAAATACAAAAATTAGCCAGGCATAGTGGCAGGCGCCTGTAATCCCAGGTACTTGGGAGGCTGAGGCTTGAGAATCGCTGGAACCTGGGAGGTGGAGGTTGCAGTGAGCTAAGATCACCCCACTGCACTCCAGCACTCCAGCCTGGGAGACAGAGCAAGACTCCGTCTCAAAAAAAAAAAATAATAATAATAATAAATAAATAAAATAAAATAAAATAAATAAATAAAATAAACAAGGATTCACTCAGACCTGTTAGGCTCCAGCAGCCAAGGTTTCTCACTCTGGTGACCAAACTTATATGCAATAACAGGGAACATGCACTGAGTGTTCACTATGGGAACAACAATATTCTAAGCACTGTTCATATAACTTTTTTTTTTTGACAGTCTCGCTCTGTTACCCAGACTGGAGTGCAATGACATGATCTCAGCTCACTGCAACCTCTGCCTCCCAGATTCAAGCGATTCCCTTGCCTCAGCCCCCTGAGTAGCTGAGACTACAGGCACCTGCCACCACGCCCAGCTAATTTTTGTATTTTTAGTAGAGATGGGGTTTCACCATCTTGGCCAGGCTGGTCTTGAACTCTTGACCTTGTGATCCACCCGCTTCGGCCTCCCAAAGTGCTGGGATTACAGGCGCGAGCCACCACACCTGGTCTGTTCATAGAACATTTTACTGTGACCTCCCAAAACCCATCACGGTAGTTACCATTGTGCTCCTTCTTTTACAAATGAGAAAACTGAGGCACAGACAAGTGAAGTAACTTTGCCCAAAGTCACAGTTATTGTTAGTGAAGCCTCAATTCTAAGATGATCAACTTATCCTGATTCGTCTAGAATGGTTCTTGTTTGTTTGGGACAGGGTCTCACTCCGTCACCCAGGCTGGACTGCAGTGGCTGTCTGCTCACTGCAGCCTCGACCTCCCAGGTTCAAGCCATCCTTCTGCCTCAGCCCCCTAAGTAGCTGGGACTACAGGTGCATGCCACCATGCCTGACTAATTTTTTTGTATTTTTTTAGTAGAGATGGGGTTTCACCATGTTCCCCAGGCTGGTCTGGAACTCTTGAGCTCAAGGGATCAGCCGGTTTTGGCTTCCCGTAGTGCTAGAATTATAGGCATGAGCCACCACACCCGTGGAACATTCGCATTTTAGTACAGAACCGCTGGACAGTGGGTGACCCACACGCTCACCCAGACAGAAGGGAAAAATGTGTTCACATTTTTCCATAGATACAGTCAGGGATAAATAACTGATTGAGGCCAGGCATGGTGGCTCATACCTGTAATTTCAGCACTTTGGGAAGTAGAGACAGCTGGATGACCTTGAGGTCAGGAGTTTGAGACCAGCCTGGCCAACAAGGTGAAACCCTGTCTCTATTAAAAATACAAAAATTAGCTGGGTGTGGTGGCAGGTGCCTGTAATACCAGCTACTTGGGAGGCTGAGGCAGCAGAATCACTTGAATCCGGGAGGCAGAGTTTGCGGTGAGCCGAGATCAAGATCCAGATGGTGCTACTGCACTCCAGCCTGGGTGACAAGAATGAAACTCAGTCTCAAAAATAAATAAATAAATAATTGACTGTTTTGCCCATCTTGCAGGTCTGCTACAAGGATCTAAAAGGCAACAGTTAACATTTATTTGTAACATGCACCAGGTACATGTTATGCACTTGACAGACAGAGCTCCCTGGATTGTTACAAGCAACACTTTGTAAGTCAGAATCTGAGTCTCAGGTCAGGCAACTTTCCTAAGACTACGGAGCTGGGAGAGTGTTAGGACTCAAATCCAGATGTGTCTGCTGCCAAAGCCCAAGCTGCTCATCAGTGAGTTCAACCATAAAAGCTGTTTGCGGCTGGGCAAGGTGGCTCACGCCTGTAATCCTAGCACTCTGGGAGGCTGAGGTAGGCAGATCACTTGAGGTCAGGAGTTCGAGACCAGCCTGGCCAATGTGAGGAAACCCCATCTCTACTAGAAATACAAAAATTAGCCGGCTGTGGTGGCACATGCCTGTAGTCACAGCTACTTGGGAGGCTGAGGCAGGAGAATCGCTTGAACCGGGAAGGTGGAGGCTGTAGTGAGCTGAGATGGCGTCACTGCACTCCAGCCTGGACAACAGAGTGAGACCCTGACTCAAAGAAAAAAAAAAAAAGGCAGTTTACAACAGTAGGTTCAACAAACTTAGGACTCTACATGTTTCCTCTTTCACAAAATGAGTGAGATGTGGCCAGGCATGGTGGCTCACGCCTGTAATCCCAGCACTTCGGGAAGCTGAGGCAGGCACATCACCTGAGATCAGGAGTTCGAGACCAGCCTGGCCAAGTTGGCAAAACCCCATCTCTACTAAAAATACAAAAATTAGCTGGGCATGGTGGCAGGACCCTGTAATCCCAGCTACCCGGGAGGCTGAGGCAGGATAATTGCTTCAACCGGGAGGCAGAGGTTGCAGTGAGCTGAGATCATGCCATTGCACTCCAGCCCGGGTAAGAAGAGTGAAACTCCGTCTCAAAATAAAGAAAAAAATAAAAAAATGAGTGAGATGTGTTGATCTCTAAGATGGATTTGATCATGTCCACCTCTAAAATCCCATGACCCTACATACTCACTGGACCGATTTTCAGAACCCACCACAAAGCTTTGATGGTATTAACTGCTCCACGCATCTCAAACTCTTAACTTCTACACCTTTCCAAGGGGAACTGAGACATGAACCGTTTTCCGGGCTCACTCATTTCAACATAGAACTCCCAAATCTCATCCCACAACAAAGAGACCCCAAACCCGATGACATCCAGGAAGGGATTCCAAACTTCCATCCTTGCCTTGTACAAGGTGATGTTTGAAGCATGTGGAAAGTGCAATGTGGCCACAAACAGGTGGACATAGTCACTGTTCAGACCACCCTCGTAAATATTCTCTGCGATGATCTTGCTGACGAAATTTTTGCCGGTGCCTGTCCACCCGTGCAGGGAGAGCGTGAGAGGTTTCTTGGGCTTTGGGTTGTTTATGAAACCAAACACGGCATTTAAGATGATTTTCTTTGCAAGATGCTGTCCAAAGAGGTTGTCGTCCAGATCCTTCTGCAGTGCTGGGAAAGACAAAGCCAATCAGGAGTGGGGAAGAAACAGCGGCAAAATGTAGCCACATTTACAGCCCATAAGAAAGCCAGCAAAGCCGTCTAGACGCCCTCCAAGCACCTTGCGAAACCTCAAGTACTGCGGTCTGTAAGCTCCTGGCCCAGAGGGGACGGCGGTCCAGGGAGCCCTCCCTTTGCTGGTCCTGCCTATTCTAAAGCCCTGGCCCGACTCCTTCCCGAAAAGCCCCTTGGTGCCACTGCCACTGCCACCAGTTTGCACCCCTAACCCCTGTGCTGCTCCTCCCACCCCAAGGCAGAGCCGGGAAAGGAAACAGTTTGGTCCCTCCTGGTCGGCTGCGGAAGAGTCCTCACCATCCTTCCTGTCTCCCGCTAGGCTAGAAAGGAGGCAGAACCCACTTCGGAGGGAGGTTACCACTGGTCCACCCCCAGCTTAGCGCAAAGTAGGCCAACCTGCAGCCTGGCTCCTCAGGTCTCCGACTTAAGTCTGGCACGTCTGTGGTCATGGCCGAGGAGCCAGGCCTCATCCTGCAGGCCGGCCGCTTGGCTTCCGGGGTCCGGCCCCCGCGGACTCAGCTCTGCCCAGGCCCGGCCCTCCTGGGATGTGACCCCTACCCCGGCCTGGCCCTAGTGCCATCCCCCAGCCCCAGCCCCAGCCCCAGCCCCCGCTCCTGAGCCCCAGCCCCCAAACTCCGCTCCAGCCCCAGTCCTAGCCCGGCCCTACTGCCATCCCCCAGCCTCCATCCACCATCCTCAATCCCCTAGCCCCAGCCAACCGCCCTGGTCTTAACCCAGCCCTAGTGCGATCCCCCAGCCCCACCCCCAGCCCCCGGGCCCCGCTCCATCCCCCAGCCCCAGCCCCAGCCCCAACCCGGCCCTAGTGCCATCGCCCAGCCCCAGCCCCCAGGCCCCGCTCCAGCCCTAGTCCTAGCCCGGCCCTGGTGCCATCCCCCGGCCTCCATCCTCCATTCTCCATGCCCTGGTCCTAGTTCAGCCCTAGTGCCATCGCCCAGCCCCAGCCCCAGCCCCAGCCTCCAGCCCCCGCCCCAGCCTACCCTCCCGGCTAAGGCTCCGCTTCTGCCCGCAGCACTCGGCGAAGAGGCAGTAGAGACGCGGGTAGATGTAGCCGGTGAGGACGCCGGCCAGGGCCAGTCCCAGGCTGATGGGCTCCACCGCCTGCACCACGGACGGCGCCAGCAGCAGCAGGCCCAGCACGGCCCGGCCCAGCTTCATGCCCGGACCCGCGCCACCCTGCTTGTTCTCGCGCCGACCGCGAACCGGTGCAGCCGCCAGACCCACGCTTCCGGTTCCTCCTCTCGCGGAGGCCATCTTTCTTCAGGGCAGCCCTCCTCCCGACGCCGGCGGCCGCCATCTTTGTTCGGTACAAAGCCCTGTTTTGCTTCCGGAAACTCGGTTCTGCTCCGCCCCTGTTGGCCACGTGTTTTTGTTTATGGACGTTATTTTTGCCAGGCATGGTGGCTCCTGCCTGTAATCCCAGCCCTTTGGGAGGCTGAGGCGGGCGGATCACCTGAGGTCAGGAGTTCGAGACCAGCCTGACCAACATGGTGAAACCACGTCTCTACTAAAAATATAAAATTAGCCGGGTGTGGTGGTAGGCACCTGTAGCCCTAGCTACTGGGGAGGCTGACACATGAGAATCGCTTGAACCCAGGAGGCGGAGATTGCAGTGAGCCGAGATCTCACCACTGCACTCCAGCCTGGGAGACAGAGCAAGACTGTGTCCCCTCCCCGCAAATAATAATAATAATAATAATAATAATAACGGACGTTATTTTTTAGAACAGATTTACAGAAAAATTGAGAAGATAGTAGAGAGTTCCCATGTGCCACCCATCCCTGCAATTTCCCCTATTACTAAAATCTTACATTATTAGTGTGCTACATTTGTTAAAATTAACGATGCACTGTTGTCATATTAACTAAAGTGTAGTTTATTCAGATTTCCTTCCTTTTACTTAATGCCTTTTTCTGCTGCAGGTTTCCATTCAGGATACCACATTATATTTCGTTGTCATGTCTTAGACTACTGTTAATGACAGTGTCTCAGCCTTTTATTTTTATTTTAGCTGGAGTGCAGTGGCATGATCTCAGCTCACTGCAACCTCTGCCTCCCAGGTTCAAGCGATTCTCCTGTCTCAGCCTCCTGAGCAGCTGGGATTACAGGCACACACCACCATGCCCGGCTAATTTTTGTATTTTTGGTAGAGACGGGGTTTCACCATGTTGGCCAGGATGGTCTTGATCTGACCTCATGATCTGCCCGTCTCAGCCTCCCAAAGTGCTGGGATTACAGGCGTGAGCCACCGCGCCTGGCCTCAGCTTTTTATTTTTGATGACCTTGATAGTTTTGAGGAGTACTGGCCAAATCTTTGGTGGGCTGGCCCTCTATTGGGATTTGATGTTTTTCTCAGGATTAGACAAGCGTTATGGCGTTTTGGAAGGAAGATCACAGAGGTAAAGTGCTATGCTCATCACATCCTACCAAGGAAGGGTTCTTACTGTTCAACGTTACTTACCACTGTTGGTGCTGACTTGATCACTTGACTGAAGTAGTGTTTGTCAGGTCCCCCCACCCCTCTTTTCTCTACTGTACTCTTTGGAAGGACGTCCCCATGCACAGCCCACACGTAAGGAGTCGGGGATTTTGCTCCACCTCCTTGGGGGCAGAGTATCTACAGAAATTATTTGGAATTCTGCATGGGAGATTTGTTTCTTCTCCCCCATGTATTCAATCATTTATATCAGTGTGGACCATTGTTATTTTATCCTTTGTTATACTACAGTACTAATTTTTTTTTCAAATTGTTCTCATTTTGGCCACTGGGAATTTGAGTGGTTCCTTGTGCTCCTTTGACATACACCCAGTGTATATACCAGCTTATTTGGGTTTGAGTGCCTCTTTCCTTTCTGACACTACAGGATACTCCGGGCTCATCTTGTATTTCCTGCCCCAGTCCTAGAATCCTATTTTCTACGAGGAACCCTGATTCCTTTCATTGTAAAATGGCATTAGAAACTGGCTGGGCATGGTGGCTCATGCCTGTAATCCAGCATTTTGGGAGGCTGAGGCAGGTGCATCACCTGAGGTCAGGAGTTTGGGACCAGCCTGACCAATATGGTGAAACCCCATCTCTACTGAAAATACAAAAAAATTAGCTAGGCATGGTTGCGTGTGCCTGTAGTCTCAGCTACATGGGAGGCTGAAACAGGAGAATTCCTTGAACTTGGGAGGTGGAGGTTGCAGTGAGCCGAGATCGCACCACTGCACTCCAGCCTGGGTGACAGAGCGAGACTTCGTATCAAAAAAAAAAAAAAAAAAAAAAAAGAGAAACCAAGGTCTGGGTGCTAGGTGTGCTTCTTGCTATTGAGATGTCATTTCTTTCAGTCTCAGCTGACAGAAAAAAATGTGTGTATATACTGTTAAACACACACATATCTATAAATATTTTTATAGGTAAACATCTGTACCTATATTAAGCTAAACATGAGCTCGTGCTGACATCTCCAACTCTAATCCATTACACAGATCATTGGAGCCTCCTCCCCTTGTTTATCTGTGAATTCCCACCCCAACAGTGAGAGAACCAGCTCCCTCCATCTGGCAGCCACTTTTAAGCTGGATAAAAGATTACTCATTTTCTAGCAAAGGGAACTCTGGCAAGTGAGAACTGTTGACCATCCACTTATTTGCCTGTTCATCCCATAAACACGTGTTGCGTTGCTGTGTGCCAGATGTGCTAGGCCTTTAGTATTCATCTTGGGTTACCCCTGCACATCGCTGGGACCTGTAAATGTTTGTTGAAATATCCTGAAAATATTTTTTAAGTTTCGACTTTTTCGTATTGGATTTAAAATACTTTTGTGCACCTGTTACAAGCCAAACACTATAGGGATCATTCATAGTTTTGAGGACTGCCTATCTGTCAGATTATGGGCTATGCCCTGGGGATTCAAATTTAAAAATTAGGCACACATGGTTCCTGCCTTCACTGACCATATTCAAGTGGAGGAAAAAAAAAAATCTCCATTTTACAGATGAGAAAACTGAGGCTAAGAGTGAAAAGGATCTGTCCAAGGACACAAGTAGTAAGCTGCGAGGTGGGCTCAGATCTGACTCCTGGGCCAAACCACTGTAACCACAATACCTGCTCTAAATCCACCCAGAAGTCAGCCAATCTGCTCTTTCCTCTTTTGGACCCCTGTGGATGCCTCAGGAAAAATGAGGGCACAGGTAAGAAGGTACTTGACAGCAGGTTGCAGCATGTCTATGCTGCAGTGGTCCAATCATAGCTCACTGTTTGAAATAAATGAGAAAATCCATCTCAGTAATTCAGTTTTACATTTAGGCTACCCAAACCATGGGCTTTAAAAACATTACCTGATGCTGGTATAAGAAACATAATACAAACAATAAGGTTGGATTCATTTTGAAATTTAATAATTCTAATAGTAATAAGAAACATAGTTTATGCTTTTTTTTTAATGAAAACAAACAAGTAATTTTGTAAAAGTCAGAAAACACCAGTATCCTTCTGATCTCATCCTGGATTTTTCTGTCAGCTGGAGGATGCATTTCTGACCCCATCCCAGACACGTGAAAGCAGAAGACATGATGCATCTATAATAATGAAAGCACAATCTAAAGAGTATTATCACACCGTGAACAGCTTCTTCCTGACCCAGAGCAAATATTAAGAGAAAGACAATATATTTACAAACAAGATTTAATAATGCTCACAAGAATAGAGTTTGCCCCCAAATGGAAAATTACACATTATTTTGTTTCAAAAAGTTATAAATTTAGTGCTTGAAAAATCCAGCAGGTAAGTAGAAGGACTAACAGGGTCTGTTTCTGGAACTGTCCGCCAGCAAATGAGCATGCTCTGTCCTGGAAGCCATTTTTCTTTTTCTTTTTTTTTTTTTTTTTTTTTTTTGAGACAGAGTTTTTTGCTCGTTGCCCAGGCTGGAGTACAAAGGTGCAATCTCGGCTCACCACAACCTCCGCCTCTTGGGTTCAAGCAATTCTCCTGCCTCAGCCTCCTGAGCAGCTGGGATTACAGGCATGTGCCACCACGCCTGGCTAACTTTTCTGTATTTTCAGTAGAGACTGGGTTTCTCCATGTTGGTCAGGCTGGTCTCAAACTCCCGACCTCAGGTGATCCGCCCACCTCGGCCTCCCAAAGTGCTGGGATTACAGGCAGGAGCCACCACGCCCGGCCAGGAAGCCATTTTTCATGGGAGGGATATAGGGAGAGGAAGGCGATATTTACATCCCACTCTGCACAACTCAGTACCGCCTATTCATTTTCTTGAACTTCTCATAATGATAGTCATCAGTTGCCTTCTCGTTAGCAGGACGCTTGCGGTTAGGAGGGGACCCTGAGAAGGAAAAGAACAGGAAAGGTGGTTTGCCATGCTGGAACCCACTGCTAGACTTTACTCCATGCAGGCAAAGACAACTGCCTGTTTCCTTCCCCACAGGAGCCCCAGCGCCTAACCCAGTGAACACAGTAGGGCCTCAGTAGATACGTATTTGTCTTTTTTTTTTTCTTTTCTTTTCTTTTTTTTGAGATGGAGTCTCACCCTGTTGCCCAGGCTAGAGTGTAATGGCATGATCTCAGCTCACTGCAACCTCCAACTCCCGAGTTCAAGTGATTCTCCTGCCTCAGCCTCCTGAGTAGCTGGGATTACAGGCACCTGCCACCTCACCTGGCTAATTTTTGTATTTTTAGTAGAGACGGGGTTCACCATGTTGGCCAGGCTCGTCTTGAACTCCTGACCTTAGGTGATCTGCCTGCCTCTGCCTCCCAAAGTGCTGGGATTACAGGCATGGGCCACCGAGCATGGCCAATACCTTTTTCTTTTCTTTAAAAAAAAGATGTGGTCTCACTCTGTCACGCAGGCTAGAGTGCAGTGGTCCAATCATAGCTCACTGCAGCCTTGAACTCTTAGTCTCAAGCAATCCTCCTGTCCCAGCTTCCCCAGCAGCTGAGACTACAAGTGTGAGGCACTGCACCCAGCTAACCTTATGAGTAGCTTTTATTTGTCCTTACTGAAATTTTCTAACTTCTTGAGTCTCTACTGTGCGTGAGAATATGAGAGAGTATGAATTCTCAGAGTAATCCTAACAGGTAGGTTCTATTAGGATTCCAATGAGGAAACTGAGGCTTAGAAAGGGGAAGGCACATAGTCATGGTCCAGAGCATGGACTGGAACCCATATGCCCCGGCTCCAATGCCAGGCTCCACCCTGTCCCCCGCTGCATCCTGCCTCCATGGGTTCCCACATTGCTGAGCACTCCAGGCAGCCCCGAGGCCTTTGTTGCACTCACGCTCAGGCTCTGGCTTCTCCGTGTCACCTACTCTCAAGGGCCGGGCCTTGGGCTCTTCTTTGTTTCTCCGTATGGGCGCGTTGAGCTCCTCATGATAAACTGGACCCAAAGAGACCAGGGGACACGTTAGAACATGAGGTTCCTAGGGATCTCAGCCCAAATAGGGGAATGGGGGCAAGACTGCTCTCCGAGGGGCTTACATCTGTTGTGCTGCACATAATTCACAGCCATGTTGGTAGGCACGAAGGAGGTCTCGCTGTCTTTCTTCTTGTTCTGCTGCTCTGCCAGCAGACGGGCCTTGGCATCCTCCGTGGAAATGATATTTTTTATTTTAGCACTATGGAGAGAAAGAAACCACACCACTTAGAAGATGATAGCACCTTACTACTCAGACATGAGTGGTGAGGCTGGCAGCCCAGCAGTACATAAGAAAATCATGTGTCCTGGGGCACAGCTCTCCACTTTATCAAGCACACTTGTAGTCACATTCTCACGGGACTCTCACGGCTGTCGGAGAACCACAGTTACTCTGCTCTTCTGATCAAGAGCAAATTGAGCTTCAGAGAAGTAAAATGCTTAAGGCTCAAAGTTTGTAAAGGCCAGAAAAGAGCCCAGAAGCCTCCCAGCTTTCTACTGTACCAGAAGATTATTCTAACAATTGTACCTCTTCCATAACAATTCCCTTTTAAAGTGGATATTTTAAGAAGGATCATGGGGAGAAGGGGTGAGTGAGCCTTTAACATGGCTCCTGCTAGAAGAAAACAGAAGAATAAAGGGCCTGATACAGCTGAACAGCTGTAACACGCTAAAGAACCACTTTTGCTTCCAGCAGTCAGGGGCCCTTACTACTCTGATCAAGCCTTCAGCGAAACTTCTAGCAACAACCTGCCAGGGACAATCTCATTTGTATTTGTAGGATTCTAAGGACACAGATAAGAACATGGGGTCTCATTACATTGCCCAGGCTGGTCTTGAACTCCTGGGCTCAAGTGATCCTCCCACCTTGGCCTCCCAAAGAGCTAGGATAACAGGCACAAGTCACCATGTCTGGCCTTTTTTTTTTTTTTTTAAAGGGTCTTACTCTGTCACCCAGACTGGTGTGCAGTGGTGCAATCATGGCTCACTGTAGCCTCAACTCCTGAGCTCAAGTGACAGCCCAGCTAATTTTTTAAATTTTTTTGAGAGACAGGAGTCTGACTATATTTCTCAGGCTGATCTCCTGGCCTCACGTGATCCTCCTGCCTTGGCCTCCCAAGTACTGGGATTATAGGCTTATAGGCATCAGCCACCATACCTGTCCCCCATAAATTTTTTTTTCCTTTTTTTTTGAGATGGAGTCTTGCTCTGTCGCCAGACTGGAGTGCAGTGGCATGATCTCGCCTCACTGCAACCTCCACCTTCAGGGTTCAAGCAATTTCCTGCCTCAGCCTCCCAAGTAGCTGGACTACAGGTGCCTGCCACCATGCCCAGCTAATTTTTGTATTTTTAGTAGAGACGGGGTTCGACCATCTTGGCCGGGCTGGTCTTGAACTCCTGACCTCGTGATCCACCCGCCTCAGCCTCCCAAAGTGCTAGGATTACAGGCATGAGCCACCGTGCCTGGCCTGTCCCCCATAACTTTTAACTGGAAAGCACTGTGTCTTCTGCCTAGGGGTCTCAAACATACTCGATGCCCAGGTCCACCTCAGGAATGCCACTCAGCATCTGGTTGGAAAGCATCTCCTCGGTCTTCTTTGCTGAGGAAACACGGATGTTTTCTGGAAGTTCATAAAGACAGTCCTCTGCATTCTTTGGCTTAACTTTCTGTTCCTCATGTTCCACGATCCCTTTCCTCTTCTTTAGCTCTGTCTCAATGTACTTCATCCTGAAGTGAGAAACCCAGAGGCCTCAGGGAGGGGTGGGAAACACACACCAGGTGTCCTCTAAATCAGTGGTCCCCAACACTGGCCCGCAGACCAGTGACAGTCCATGGAGAAACGAGAAAAAAAATAACTTGAGTTTTTTCATCAAGTTAGAAATTTTCTAAAGAAGCACCAACCTATGAGGTTATGTCCCACTAATCTATTGGTGTTATGATGTACAAGGTTCTTTGAAGACAGAAAGATGATAGTTTGCCAATAGCTTTGTTGGCAAAATAAAAAGTGGGCAAGCCCATGTTTTATCCCTGCAATGTTTTGGGGAAATATTACTAGTCATGAAACCACCTTTGAAAACAAGTTTTTATTTTTTATATTTTGGAGACGGAGTTTCACTCTTGTTGCCCAGGCTGGAGTGCAATGGCGAGATCTTGGCTCGCCGCAAGCTCTGCCTCCCAGGTTCAAGCAATTCTCCTGCCTCAGCCTCCCGAGTAGCTGGGATTACAGGTGCCCACTACCACACCCAGCTAATTTTGTATTTTCAGTAGGGACGGGGTTTCTCCATGTTGGTCAGTCTGGTCTCGAACTCCCCACCTCAGATGATCCACCTGCCTCGGCCTCCCAAAGTGCTGGGACTACAGGTGAGAGCTACCGTGCCCGGCCTGAAAAGACCTTTTAAGAGGTTTTCAAAGTTCTTAAGCTGGGAAGTAGAAAGAGAGGGGCCAACTTTGACATCTTCTAGAAAATTCTAGAAATGTCATCTGTTGACTAAATATCTTGGACTCTGACTGGAGTCCAGCCCCAACTGCTCACAGCCAAACAGACTGACACTTACATGTCTGCATCCTCATCCCTTCGGTTGGTTTCTGCAGAAAACGATGTCCCCAGGTGCAGGTCCTCCTCCTCACTGATCCTGGAGGGAGAGAACAATGAGGCAGAGCTTTCAAGTCACAACTCAATGAGGCTGAGTTTTATGTTCTAAGAAGAAAACAAAGACATAAGCATTTATAATATCCTATTTACAGTTGGCAAAAAAAAAAAAATGCCGTAGTATATGTAAAGAAAAGAAACTCTAGAAATATATGCAAGCAAACTGTTGGCTGCTAGTGATACCTCCAAGGATTGAGTGGATACACTTATCCTTAGGTATCCATGGGGGATTGGTTCTAGTGTCCCTCAAGGATACCAAAATCTGCAGATAGTGAAGTCCCTTACATAAAATAGTATAATATCTGCATCTAACCTACACACACACTACCATCTGCTTTAAATCATCTCTAGATTACTTATAATACCAAATACAATGTAAATGCTATATAGTTGTCACAAAAGTACACAGTAAACTTTTATTTTTTTAATTTTTGAATTATTTGAATGTTTGATTTATTAATTTATTGAGACGGAGTCTCACTCTGTCACCCAGGCTGAAGTGCAGTGGCGCAATCTCAGCTCACTGCAACCTCTGCCTCCCGAGTTCAAGCAATTCTCCTGCCTCACCCTCCTGAGTAGCTGGGATTACGGGTGCCCACCACAATGCCCGGCTAACTTTTGTATTTTTAATAGCGACAGTGTTTCACCATGTTGGTCAGGCTGGTCTCGAACTCCTGACCTCAGGTAATCCGCCTGCCTCAGCCTCCTGAAGTGCTGGCATTACAGGCATGAGCCACCGCAGCTGGCCTGAATTTATTATTTTTGTTAATTGTTTTTATATGAAACTTCCCCATAGGTTCACTTATTTTATTTTTTTGAGACAGGGTCTTTCTCTGTCACCCAGGCTGGAGTGCAGTGGTGTGATCGCGGCTCACTCTAGCCTCAACCTCCCTGACTCAAGTGATTCTCCCACTTTAATTTCCTGAATAGCTGGGACTACAGGCACATGCCACCACACCCAGATATATACACACACATATATATATGCGTGTGTGTATATATATATATGTGTGTGTGTGTGTGTGTATATGTGTATATACATGTGTGTATATACATATGTGTATATGTGTGTACATATGTGTGTGTGTGTGTGTGTGTGTATACATACACACTTTTTTTTTTTTTTGTAGAGACAGGGGTCTCACTATGTTGCCCAGGCTGGTCTTAAACTCCTGGACTCAAGCTAACCTCAGCCTCCCAAAGTGTTGGGATTATAGGCATGAGTCATCACGCCTACAATACACTCTTACAAAAGGAGTCTACCAACTTGGCTCTAAGTTAACTTTTAAAGACTTTTTGCTTTCTTTGTTTTTAAATAACACACCCTTTGCAAAGCACAAAACCTGCTTCAAGATGTCCTACTAATGCTGCTGCTACAGGCCCCAGCTCTCTGAGGGAACCTAGACCCAGGCAGCCGCTAAAGGTGAATTTGCATCTAAGCTTGTCCTGAACTTACTTATCTTTGCCCCTTTCCTTCAGTTTCTTCATATCCACCATACCACCTGTCTTCATCTGAAAGGGATCATCCTGCAGAAAGCAAACACAGTTAAGAGGAAGCATCTAAATACATGGTAGTGGAATTTTTTTTTTTGTGAAGCACGCTCACTCACTGAAGAGCACTGCAGGGAGGGCTGCCATAACTACTCAGGGAAGACCCCATAACTTACCACTAGAGTGGTCTCCTCTTGTACCTTCTCTCCCACCAGCAAGGCCACAGCACTGAGCAAAACCAAAAAAAAAAGAGAGGGGGAGAGAGAGAAATGGCATAATTCAGAGATAAGGAGGAACCCTCTCAGGTATGCGGATTGCAACATTAGTGCAAGGGTGGGATTTGAGGGGTGGGTAGGCAAGCCGGCTGGAAAAGCCTATAAGCATAAGACAGGGCTCAACGAGCACCGCAGATGCTGGAAGAAGGGTGCGCTGGTGGTGAAGTGGTACACTTTGCCACTTTCCTGTAAAGCCATTTGGCATTATCTTGGCCTGGAAATCTCATTTCTAAGATATTCTCATCATGGAAAGTGCAGCTAAAGATAAATTTAAGAGAATATCCACTGCAGCCTTATTTGATAGTAAAAATTTACAAAATCACCTACATGTCCCAAAATAGGGGATTTGTTAACAAATTACAATACACACATCTGGTGGAATATTATGCAGCCATTAAGGCTTTCTGAAAAATATTCCACAATATGGGTGAATGCCCACAATGTCATAATGAGTTGAAAAGAACAGGGAATAAAAGTACATAGAAAGTTGTTCACAATCTGAGAGAGAGAGACGAAAAAAAACAGATTGGAAAGAGTATTCAATATTAATACCAGTGCATTCTTGGGTGGCTCTGCAAGGAAAAAAAATGTTAACACTGATCATTTCCGGATGGGAGAATTATGGGTGCTTTTTATCGTCTTGACTATACTTTTCTAAATTATACAAACTCTTAACGATCGATATGCATTTCACAATTAATTGGTTTTAATAAAAAACGCGAGTTAGTGATCTGTTTCTGTATCTCTGGAGCACACCCCGAGACGACACAGCTCAGGGCATGTCCTGGTTAAACATTTGCAAAGAACGCTGTTCTCCAAGTTGGGCAGTGGAAGGTGTACAGTGTGTCAAGAGAAAAATCTACGTCTGAGGAGATATTTGTGACAGCGACCCGGACGCGGATGTGTCTGTCGTCCCCGCCGCCTCCTCCTCCTCCCCGCGTGGTACCCACCTCACCCCGTTGGGCCTCTTCCTCAAGTTCTGTACCTCTCTGGTCTCTTCCAGTTTTAATCTTTAAAAAGAAGAAGAAGCAGCAATGCATAAGCTGAGTGATTCCCCGCGGAATCCAAAGCTAACAGAGCCAATAAGGCACCTTCGAGGGCATCCCAGCCCAGCTACTGAGCCACCAGCACAGTGGTCCAGAGGACGACCTTGTGCCTAGACCCACCGGGAGTCAGAGCCACTGCGCATCCCGGAGGCATCTCTCTCAACCGTTCGAGCTTGGGGCGGTGGCCTCACCCCTTGAGCCTCAATTTCTGCGTCCGCAGAAGGAACCACCACCCGAGCTCACAGTTAACAATGTCAGCGAAGCGCCGAGCCGGTGGTGAGTCCCCCAAACAAGTCTATCTTTACCAAGCCTATGGGAGCCCCGCCCCAAACGCACCGAACCTCCTCTGAGTCCTGCTCATCTTCCTCTGACTCCGAGTCGCCCCGGCGGCGACGGAAAATCTTCCGGACGACCGGCATGGTGACAACGGCCGAGTTGTACAGCCGCCGCGCCTCTGCGCAGCGGCCCAGGCTGCTTCCGGCGCGCGGCAGAGCGGTCAGAGCGCCTGCCCCGTCTGGCCCCGCCCCCGGCACGCACAGTCCGCGTGGCCACGCCCCCTCTCCTGGCGTCAGCCTCTTCCGATTGGACGGCAGAGGGAAGGAGGTGGGGCGTCGCCAGACGGCCCCACAACCCTGCGCGTCGCCTCAGAGGGGGCGCGCTTGACTGACAGGCGGCGGCGGCGCAGTTGCGAGTGCAGGTGAGTTCCGGGCCGCCACCGGCTGCTTCTGTGGGCCGGGCCTCTGAGCATTGGCGACCCCAGCCCGGCTCCGGGCTGACAGGGCCTGGCTTCGCCAGGTACGCCAGACGCAGCGGCCCGGTGAGCGGAGCCCGGGACCCCCCCGGCCGCCGCCGCCCCTCTCCCCTCCTCCGGTCGGCGCCCAGGGGGGCCTCTGGGCCCCAGCACCACCCCACTCTGAGCTCCCTGGGGGCTCGTGGCTTCTCCAGAACCGGGGCCGCCCCCCTCTCATTTCTGCCGGGGCCTGACCTAGCGTTGAAAGCATCCGCGTGGCGTCTCGCGTCTCGGGCGCTGACTTTTCTTTCCTCGGGCTCTGAGCCCTGACGTGCGTTTTTTTCTTTCGGAACAAAAGATGACCACTTCTCTGCGGTGCTGACTTAGAGTCCCAGCGCCGACTGCCTCACAAATAATGGCCCCCAGCTTCTCCGCGAGGAGAGGCGCGTCTGATGTTTTGAAGCCACGCAAGAGGGTTTGAGCCGGGGGACTCCTCCTCGGTGCTTGCCGGCCACCCCCCTGGACCTTCACGGGTCTGGTTTTCCTCCTTCGGCAGGTCTGTCGCTCTACCCTCTGCCCCTTCCACCCCGAAGATGCTGTGAGGATAAAGTTTATTTGAAAAACTGGTATCAGCAAACGCTTAGGAAATACCTAAATGCATAAATAATGGCTTCTAGGACTTTTAAGAACCCCTTAAGTAACAGTAGTTTTCCTTTTCTCAGTGTCATCCCTTACTTTGAGAACTACCTCTTATTAAGCAGTTACTATGTGGCAGGCCCTGGGCAAAGCATCATCTCATTGAATTCTCCCAGCAATCCTTTGAGGTAGATTGTTTTTCGTTTTACAAATGAGAATGCGGAGTCTCCGAGGGGCAGTGCACGCCTCAAGTTACCCAGCTAGGAGGTGGAACAGGAATTGGTTGCAGGTCAGTCTCTGCCGCACGGTTTGCACAGGGCCTGGCACGGTAGGAGTGCAGTAGATGTTTGCTGCTGCTGCAGCTGCTGTTACATCTCATTGGCTAGGGGGAGGGGCCGATGGGGGCTGTCTGGGGTTCCCCTTTCTGGAAGACCATTCCGAAGCAGGGCAGCATTTCTAGAATGCCTTACGTTTTCTCTGGAACAGTCTCCACTGAGATTGTTCTTCTCTTCCTTGGGCTGGAAAAAATAGTAGACTCGGGACTTCTTGCACCAGCGTTTTATCTTTGGTCAAAAGCCATATATTAAAGTCTCAAAGTCTTGCCCTCTGCAGACTGGTTCAGCCAAACCCAGATGCACGTGCACTCACTGGATACGGAGTCCCTGTCAGATGATGGAGAGGCTCCTTGGGAATTGCTGCAGGAGTCCAGGGGGTCAACGTCTGCAGCTCTCACGCTCTCAGAGGTGGCTCTGAATCTGCCCATCAAGCAGCCCATCCACCAGGGGGTACTGGACACTACTAAGGAAAGGGCAAGAAGGCCAGGGGCATTTCTGGACCCTCCTCCTCAGCTGAAGTCCCAGGGTACAGATGAGCTGCTCCCACCCTTGCTCCATGAGGCCAGAGGACCCAGTGATAACCACCACCTGTGCTGTGGCAGATCTAATTGAGTGCTCTTTAGCAAAAGGAATGCTGAAAAAGTGGCAGCTATGAATCTGGCAGTAAGTGGCTTTGCCAAGAGACTGCAGCCCAAGTCTCACTGGGCCCTTTTAAGCGTAGGATGAGACTGTCTCTCAAAAGGACCCTCCGAGAAATACAGGTTCTATGCAGTTCAAAGATGAATCCAAGGTCTTAGTCTTGTTTGGGAGTTCAGTTGTTTTAAGAAAATGTACAGATTCAACCTAGGTTTTGGTTGGTTTCCTAGCTCCTTTCTGGAGCCAGATGAAATGTTGGCTTGTTTCAGGGTTCAGGGAGCATTCATGTCCGATTGGATTTGGGATCCAGCAACGTGATACAGTTCACAGCCCAGCTATAGTCGGCATCCAATAAATGTATTTATTGGATCAATGTATTCAACAGATTCTTAGCATTTACTATATGAGCAGGCACTGTTCTAAGTGCTTGAAATAAGTCAGCAAAAGAGACAAAAGATCCCTGATTAGTTGAGTGTATGTTCTCACAGTAAAGTATGTAAAGTGTGTTAGAAGATGGTAAGTGCTGTGGAAAAGAAACAAATAGAGCAAAACAAGGGAATCACCTCCGGGAGGGTGGCAAGGTTGAGTTGCAAATTAAAATTAGCGCATTCTGGTTTGGGATTTGGTTGGAAACATGACAGATAAAGCAGTGGATTGAATGATAGGCCTTGGGTTCCAGTCACTGCCTGGTGGTTTTAGGGGTCTGTAAGCTTGAACTTTATTTTACAAAAGCTTTTATTTAGAGTGTACACCCTGAACTCAAGTCCTGATTGTGGGGTATTTAACAGTGATGAAAGAGCCAGGCTGTTCTTAGCCTTTTACCTTAGCAAGACAAACAGTATCCAACTGGTTCTCATTAGCATGAAGGAGGAAACTTGGAGAAGCCATGCACGTTGACAACAATTTTTTTTTTTTTTTTTGAGACGGAGTCTCACTCAGTTGCCTAGGCTGGAGTGCAGTGGTGCGATCTTGGCTCACTCCAACCTCCGCCTCCCAGGTTCAAGTGATTCTCCTGCCTCAGACTCCTGAGTAGCTGGGATTACAGGCGCCCACCACCACACCTGGCTAATTTATGTATTTTTAGTAGAGACGGGGTTTCACCATGTTGGCCAGGCTGGTCTCAAATTCCTAACCTTGAGTGATCCGCCCGCCTCAGCCTCCCAAAGTGCTGGGATTACAGGTGTGAGCCACTGTGCCCGGCTAACAACAAATATTTAAAGGCAGGAAAGTGGCAGTGCTCTTTGGCTCCAGTGAGCAGTCATGGCTCAATAAATAGAAATTTCAGGAGAGCCAATTTCCATTGATTATAAAGACTTAGGTTTGTAGCAACTAGAGCTGCCCTCTGGGAAAAGGGTGATTTTATCATCAACGACTGCTCAAACTGGGTTTGGAGAACAACCCAGTATGGCTTTTACAGAGCAGAGTTGTGCCTTAAGGGGAAGATGCATGGTTTCTAAACCCCTTTAAACTCTGAGATTGCATGGGGGAAGGCAGCTGCAGATCATGCTGCCTGAAAAGAGAGGATCTGATTTCAGGCCCCAGAAATCATGATTTTCCTAGTTCTTAGTTTCCGCATCTCTAATGTGAGTTTTTTCTAAGGTTTCTAGTCTGAGCTTCGAGACTGAGTTTCTGCTCATGCTTACTCACCACTGAGTGTGAGGCTTTTAATGACCTGGGCCAGTGACTGGCTGCAGCCTAGGGTAGCCCCAAACCCACGCCTTCTCCAATTAAGGGACTCTTCCGGACAGAGCTCAGAGCAAAGGGTAGTAGCAGGCTTTGAGCTGCAGGGAGATACTGTCATATCCTAGACTGAAGGAAGTTAAGCTGAGCAGAAAAATGCTCTGAAGAATGACTCAGAAGAGGCTCTTGTGAGGAAGCTTCCTTGGAGTACGCGTGTTTGGATTTGGGGAGGTGAAGGTCGTCCCCATGCCAGGCTGGCCGGGGCTGTTTGTGACATCGTGGAGCTGAGTGTTCAGAGCATGGGCTTCAGGGCAGGTAGTCGTGGGTTCGAATTTTGGTTCTGCAGCTCAGTAGCTGTGTGACCTTAGCCAGTTATTCCACTTCTCTGAGCCTCGGTGTCTCCATTGTTAGTGATGGAGATGGATTTAGTTTGGAACCTTGCCACCTCCCAGGGTGGTTGTGAGGGTCCAGTGAGGTCACATGTGAGAACACCAGACTAAGATGTTAGTGTCAGTTCCAATATTCAGGGCCGTGGGGCAGGGGGAAGGGCGATGAGGAGACACAGAAGTGTGTGGGCAGCAGAGACTGTGGAAGTGTGGAGGCATGGGGAGGCCTGAGGGCTCTGCTTCGAGAGTCAGAGGATGGTGGCCTCCGAGTGAGGACTGGGTTAAGGGAAGGGGTGGGTGTGTCTGGGACTTAGGGAGAATGCTGTTGTGTGGAGGTAGAGTAAAGACAGCAGGAGGGAGAGAAAGGGTGTGCGAGGGCCAGAGGGGACTGTGGAGGGGGTGGGCACACACCCTGTGCGGGGCTGGGGGTGTGAGATGGCTAATGTGGTTGGGGTCAGCGTGGGCAGGGCTGTGGGCATCGTTGTGTGGGTGGGAGGCCCAGAAGTGTCGCCCTCCCCATCCTGAGGGACTGGTTCCTCGCTGGGAGGAGGAGGATGTAGCCAGAACCTCTGGGAAAACAATGAGTAACAGGCACCAGAGGCAGCCAGGTCCAGATGTGCTGCCTACCTAGGACCACAGGCTGTGCTGGCTGGTCCCTCCCCTGCCCTTCCTCAGGCCTTGCCCCTCCACTTTGCCCCTGTGGGTGGAGTGGCACTTTCCCCCACCCTGGAGGCCCAGGGAAGGAAAGCTGCCTTTATGAGCCTGAAGCATCTTGGAGGTCTCCTGGGGCCAGCAATGGTGGGCTCTTTGCCAAAAGTCTCAGGCCTTCCTCCCCCCATCCTGTGCTCTCCTGCCCCAAGAGAGGAGGCTCTGGTGGGCCGGGAGGGCGGGGCACACGCTGCACCTTGCTGACTTGTTGTACAGTAGGTCCTACTCTGCGTGGCTGCACCTGGAAGCACGTTCTTTCAGCTGCACAGGTGTCTTTCCCTTTTGGCCTTTATGAAATGCCTGCTGTGCACACTCCATATATTTGCACAGAGGCACAGGTGGGACGGAAAGAGTGGGGAAAGCAGACACAACCTGCTCGCTTCCTGCTGTGTTGCTTCCTGTCTGGGACCTTCCATTCCTCCTCTGTGAGATGAGAAACAGCCGCCCTTGCCCTAGAGAGTGGGTGAACAAAGCCCTGGGTACCAGGTCTGGAGGCTCAGTGGGTGCTGGGTCCTGGATCCTGCGATGGGGCTGCCTGTTCCAGAAAACCCGCTCCCTGCTCCCACCTCAAAGGTGAGAAAGGGAATCTATTTTTTTAAAAAGTCAAACTTAAGAAAAATTACAAGAATACAATGAACTCCCACATACCCCTCACCTAGATTCACGAATTAGTAACATTTGCCTTATTTACTCTAACTCTAATCTCTATAGTTATTGTCATAATTATTGCTGATTCAGGTAGGAGTAAGCTGCAGACATCACAGTCCTTTTCCCCTAAATATCCCAGCGGGAATTAACTAAGAATAAGGATATTATCATACATAACCAAAGCGTGAGTTCCACCTTTAGAAACTTTTTTTTTTTTTTTTTTTTTGAGATAGGGTCTTGCTCTTGTCACCCAGGCTGGAGTGCAGTGGCGCCATCTCAGCTCACTGCAACCTCCGCCTCCCAGGTTCAAGTGATTCTTCTACCTCAGCCTCCCGAGTAGCTGGGACTACAGGTGCCCACAACCATGCCCGGCTAATTTTTGTATTTTTAGTAGAGACGGGGTTTCACCACGTTGGCCAGGTTTGTCTCAAACTGCTGACCTCTGGTGATCCGCCAGCCTCAACCTCCCAAAGTGCTGGGATTACAGGCGTGAGCCATCACTCCCGGCCTAGAAACTTTCACATTGATGGAATCATGTATTTGTTTCCCAGACCTGCCATAACAAAGTACCACAGACTGGGTGGCTTAAACGACAGAGATTTATTTTCTCACAGTTCTGGAGGCTAGACGTCTCAGATCAAGGTGCCGACAGGTTTGGTTCTTCTGAAGGCCCTTTCCTTGGCCTGCAGATGGCCATCTTCTCACTGTGTCCTGGCTTGGTCTTTCCTCTGTGTGAGTCCGGATTTTCTCATCTCATAAAGATACCAGTAAGATTAGATTAGGGCCTGCCCTAAAGATCTTATTTTAACTTAATTACCTCTTTAAAGACATTATCTTCAAATATGATTACATTCTCAGGTCCTGGTGGTTAGAACTTCAGCATATGAATGGGGGAGAGAGAACAATTCAGTCCATAACAAATACTATGATCTAACAGGCAGTCCACACTCAGGCATGCTGGTTGTCCTGGGGATGTTCTTTGTGGCATCCCCCCACATTGACCCACAATCCAGCTTTGTTATGTCTCCTCAGTGTCTTGCCTGGAACAGTTTCTCAGCCTTGGTGGAGAAAGGGAACCTTCACGTTGCAGGGAAGCAAAGGTGCTCAGCAGGAATGGGGGTTCAGAAGCGCAGGCTGCCCCAGGACAGGGAAGCTGTTGAAGGGTTTGCTCTAGTCCATGAAGTTGCCTTTCCTGGCTTTTTCTTTGATGTCAAAAGCACCAGGAGGTGAGCTTAGATCTCAGGAAGCGCACCAAGAATCCGTGCATGAGTCCCCTGCGGTGTGTCTGACTCCATCACCATGGCGCCTGTTCGTTGCTGGGCTGGTTGGCCTGCAGAGCCCTGAGTGGTCTCATGGAGGGTGCCCTTCTGAGTGACCTTGAGCATGTGACTTCTATTCCTACCAATTTCAGTGTCCTAATGTATAGAACAGCCAGTGACACAAATTATAGTAGTAAACATTTTTTGAGCATTCTTGTCATGCAAATCAATAAAAAATCTGAGCCACCCAGAAAGTCCATGAGGCCCTAAGTCATTCAACTTAGCGTTTACTGTGCATTGGCTCACTTCATCTTCTCAGTAACCCTAGGTGCTGTCATTGTCCCCATTTTATGAATGTGGAGACTGAGCGATTTATCTAAAGTCACAGACTTGCAAGGGGCAGAGTGAGGTACTGAACCCAGGGCTACTTGTCCCTGTAATTTCCTTCCATAGTGACCGTTACCTCCCGGGATAATGTATGTGCAGCAGCTAACCCTCAGTGAGTGTAGGAAACAGAGGTGCTGGTGGTGATTATCACCTCCCTAGTGTCTGCTTGCAAGTACCCTGAGGTTGAAGTATGGGACTCTGTACACTACAAGAGCAGGGCCTATGCCTGGCTGTTTCCCAGCACCCCAAGTCACTGTTCCTAAGGAGGTACATGGTCAGTGTTGGTTGGGTACCAAAAGGAAGCAAAATGATAACTTTCAGACAGCTGAGATATGCACCCTCTTGTCGACCCCCATGCTTCCGATATTTTAGGTCCTGTGTGTGGAAGTTTTTTTTTTTTTTTTTAGACGGAGTCTTACTCTGTTGCCCAGGCTGGAGTGCAATGGCGTGATCTCGGCTCACTGCAACCTCTGCCTCCTGGGTTCAAGCGATTCTCCTGCCTCAGCCTCCTGAGTAGCTGGGCTTACAGGCATGTGCCACCACACCTGGCTAATTTTTTGTATTTTTAGTAGAGATGGGATTTCACCATGTTGGTCAGGCTGGTTTCGAACTCCTGACCTTGTGATCCACCCTCCTTAGCCTCCCAAAGTGCTGGGATTACAGCTGTGAGCCACCGCACCTGGCCCTTTGTGTGGAATATTAAGCACCCAGTGTTTTCTGTACTACCGCCCTTTTTCCTTCATAGAAATGATTTTTAACCATTAATTTTTAAAATGTTAGTAAACCTTAAACTTTTTATGTTGCACATACTCATATACTGCTGATAGGCAGATAAATGTATATACTGTTTCTAAAGGGAAGCTTATCAATATCTATGTAGAGCCTTCAAAGCACACATTTTGACCAATAATTTTTTTTTTTTTTTTTGGTCAAAGATGTAGGCCGGGCATGGTGGCGTACACCTGTACTCCCAGCACTTTGGGAGGCCGCAGTGGACAGATCACTTGAGGTCAGGAGTTCGAGACCACCCTGGCCAACGTGGTGAAACCTCGTCTCTACTAAAAATACAAAAATTATGTGGGTGTGATGGTGGATTCCTGTAATCCCAGCTACTCTAGAGGCTGAGGCAAGAGAAACGCTTGAACCCAGGAGGCGGAGGTTGCAGTGAGCAGAGATCACGCCACTGCAGTCCAGCCTAGGCAACAGACTAAGACTCTGTCTCAACCACGACAACAACAAAAAGACAGTCTGGTCGCAGTGACTCACGCCTGTAATCCCAGCACTTGAGAAGCTGAGGCAGGCGGATCACCTGAGATCAGGAGTTCAAGACCAGCCTGACCAATGTGGTGAAACCTCATCTCTACTAAAAATCCAAAAAGATTAGCTGGGCGTGGTGGTGTGTGCTTGTAATCCCAGCTACTTGGGAGGCTGAGGCAGCAGAATTGCTTGAACCCAGGAGGTGGAGGTTGCAGTGAGCCGAGATCACACCACTGCACTCCAGCCTGGGTAACAAGAGTGAAAACTCCATCTCAAAAAAACAAAACAAAACAAAACAAAAAGATTTAGTCAAAGTTTCACATTCCTGGTGGCTCACACCTGTAGTTCCAGTACTTTGGGAGTCCAAGGCAGGCAGATTGCTTGAACCCAGGAGTTCCAGACCAATCTGGGCATCATGGCAAAACTCTGTCTCTATAAAAGAAAAATTAAAAAGTAGCCAGGCTTGGTAGTGCATGCCTGTAGTCCTAGCTACTTGGGGGGCTGAGGTAGGAGGATCACCTGAGCCCAGGGAGGTAGAGGCTGCAGTGAACCATGATCACACCATTGCACTCCAGCCTGGGTGACAGATTGAGACTTGTCTTTAAGCAAAACAAAAGATTCATATTCCAAAATGTTTCTCAGTGCCTTCTTTATAATGGCAAAACACACATACACAAAATACAAAAATACCACGTCCTATGATGGATAAATAATTCAGTAAGGGGTTGTATAGCTTAAATTATATGTGGTATAATATTATTCACCTATTAGAAATGAAGCTGAAAAGAAATTTAGTGACATTAGAAATATATAAACCAAAAAAAGCTGTATACAAATTTATTGGTTATATTGCAGTTTATTTTTAAAATTTATATATCTGGTTGGGCATGGTGGCTCACGCCTGTAATCCCAGCACTTTGGGAGGCCCAGGCAGATGGATTGGTTGAGCTCTGGAGTTTGAGACCAGCTTGGGCAACATGACGAAACCCCATATCTACAAAAAATACAAAAATTAGCCAGGCGTGGGAGTGTGTGCCTGTAATCCCAGCTACTCGGGAGGCTGAGGTGGTAGGATGGCTTGAACCTGAAGTGGAGAGTGTGTTCAGTCGAGATCGCACCACTGCACTCCAGCCTGGGTGACAGAGCGCGACTCTGTCTCAAAAAAAAAAAAAAAAAAAAAAAAATTATATATTCGTACATGTAAATAAGACTTACCAAAACCAAAAAGGTAACCATATTTTTTTTCCTGTACAGCAGGATTACAGGTGATTTTTATTTCATTTTATGTCTGTGTCTGTTTCCAGCTTCTATGAAGGTATATATCAAATTTATGAAAACCAGACAAAAATGCCTTTAAAATTTTCAGGACAAGTAGGAGAAGATGAAAAATTTGAATACAACATGGAGGTAAATGAGGCAAAAATGAATATTGAGAGGGCCGGTCATGGTGGCTCATGTGTGTAATCCCAGCACTTTGGGAGGTGGAGGTGGGCAGATCACTTAAGCCCAGGAGTTCAAGACCAGCTTGGGCAACACGGCAAAACCCTGTCTCTACCAAAAATACAAAAATTAGCCAGTCTCATAACCTGGTCTCTAAATAAATAAATAGATAAAAATACAAAAAACACATGTTGAGGGCACTTCTTGGCCCCTGTGAGTCACCTGGAGAAGTGTGCTTAGGAGCCATCCAGGTAGCAGCTTTGGGGACTTCTGGGACCACTCAGATGCTCCCACCCCTTCTCTGAAAACCACCCTGTGTAGGCTCAGGGCAGTGCCTGGCACAGGGGCCTGGAGAGCTCCAGGGAACAGAGGCTCTGTCCCCTATGGTGCCCTCAGGAGTTTGGGGAAGAGCAACATACCTAGGAAGCCAGATGCACACTCTTCTTATTTTCTTATTTTGGAAACTTGAAAAACCATTAACAGTAACCGATTTAGGTATTTTTTTTGGTTTGTTTTTGTTTTTAGGAGCAGAGGTTTAACAGGCAAAAGAAAAAGAAAGAAAGGAAAACAGCTCTCTCTCTAGTGAGAGAGGGGACTTCTGAGAGGAAAAGCATTTTTTGTTGTTTTTTGATTTTGGTTTTGTTTTAGAGATGGGTTCTTGCTCTGTTGCCCAGGCTGTAGTGCAGTGGCACAATCCTAGTTCACTGCAGCCTTGAGCTTAAGGGATCCTCCCTCCTCAGCTTCCCAAAAGCACTAGGATTACAGGCGTGAGCCACTGTGACTGACCTTATTAGATTATTAGATTAGAATGATTATAACACAGTCATTCAGGAAGCAAGTATAGGAAGAAAAAAAAGGCAACACAAGTTCATTGTAGAAAATGCAGAAAAGCAAAAAGGAAATAAAAATCACTTGACTCTATCCTCCAGAAAAGATGATAGCATCCTTTCTCTAGGCCTAAAACACATTATTTCACCAAAATAAGAGTTTACTGTAATAATAGGTTTTTTTTGTTTTGTTTTGTGTTTTGTTTTTTTTGAGACAGAGTCTCGCTCTGTCGCCCAGGCTGGAGCGCAGTGGTGCGATCTCGGCTCACTGCAAGCTCAGCCTCCTGGGTTCATGCCTTTCTCCTGCCTCAGCCTCCCGAGTAGCTGGGACTACAGGCGTCCGCCACCACACCCAGCCAATTTTTTTGTATTTTCTTTTAGTAGAGACGGGGTCTCACCATGTTAGCCAGGATGATCTTGATCTCCTGACCTCATGGTCCTCCCGCCTCGGCCTCCCAAAGTGCTGGGGTTACAGTCGTGAGCCACTGCGCCCAGCCATATATATATATATATATATTTTTTTTTTTTTTTTTTTTTTTTTTGAGATAGGGTCTTACCCTGTTGTCTAGGCTGGAATGCAGTGGTGCCATCATAGCTCACTGCAGCCTCATACTTCTGGGCTCCAGCCATCCTCCCATCACAGCTTCCCGAGTAGCTGGGACTACAGGTGCGTGCACCACCATGCCCACCTAATTTTTAAATTTTTTGTAGAGATGGGGTTTCACCATGTTGCCCAGGCTGATCTCAAACTCCTGGGCTCAAGCAGTCCTCCTGCCTCGGCCTCCAAGAGTGCTGGAATTACAGGCATGAGCCGCCCAACATGGCCTAATAGTGTTTTATAACTTTGTATTTTGGGGCCATTCAGCAAATATTTTCTGAGAAGTTACTGTCTTTTTTTTTTTTTTTTTTAAGATGGAGTTTTGCTCTTGTCACCCAGGCCGGAGTGCAGTGGCACGATCTTCTTGGCTCATTGCAACCTCTGCCTCCCAGGTTCAAGCGATTCTCCTGCCTCAGCCTCCCTACTAGCTGGGAATACAGGCTCCCGCCACCACGCCCGGCTAATTTTTGTATTTTTAGTAGAAACGAGGTTTCACCATGTTGCCCAGGCTGGTCTCAAACTCCTGACCTCAAGTGATCCGCCTGCCTCAGCCTCCCAAAGTGTTGGGATTACAGGCATGAACCACCATACCCAGCCTGACTTGTTTTACTGAGTAGGTGTCTTTAGGGTTCATGTTGTAGCGTGTGTCAAAATTTCCCTTTTTAGGCTGAATCATATTTCATTGTATGGGTATATCATGTTTTGTCTATTGATGGGCACTTGGTTTGCATTGTCTTTTGGCTGTTGCACATAATGCAGCTATGAACATAGGTGCACAAATATTTCTTTGAGTTGCCGTTTTTAGTGCATTTGGGTGTATACCCAGATGTGGATTGCTCAATAGTGTGGTACTATTTTACAGTTCTTGAGGAACTGCCATACTGCATTCTGCAGCAGCTGCACCATTTCACATTCCCACCAACAGTGCACAGGGCTCCAATTTATCCACACCCTCGCCAACAGCCAACACTTTTTTTTTTTTTTTTTTTTTTAGATGGAGTCTTGCTCTGTCGCCCAGGCTGGAGTGCAGTGGTGCGATCTCAGCTCACTGCAGCCTCCGCCTCCCAGGTTCAAGTGATTCTTCCACCTCAACCTCCTGAGTAGCTGGAATTACAGGCGCTTCCCACCACACTCAGCTAAATTTTGTATTTTTAGTTGAGACAGGGTTTCACCATGTTGGCCAGGCTGGTCTCCAACTCCTGATCTCATGATCCGCCCGCCTCAGCCTCCCAAAGTGCTGGGATTACAGGTGTGAGCCACTGTGCCTGGCCTCATTCTGATTTAAAATGCTTTTAATCAACTTTATTGAGGTATAATTTACATATAATAAAATGCACGCACTTTAAAGATACAGTGCACACGATTTGACAGGTGTATACACTTGATTAAACCCCACACCAGACAAGATCTAGAACATTCCAACACCACAGAAAGTTCCTTCTTGTCTGCAACATAACTCTCCCCTTTGCCCCAGGCAATCACTGATCCAGTTTCTATCATCATCAGTTTTGTCTGTCTTGGAATTTTATATAAATAGAATCATATGGTATATATGTTTTTGTATCTGATTTTTTTTTTTTTTTTTGCTCAGTTTAATGTTTCTCTAAATCCGACTCATGATTTAGAGCAAGACTCTGCACCACACAGATCTGATCAGGGCCACACCTGTTACAAACTAGCCAGGTGGGCCGAGCACGGTGGCTCACGCCTGTAATCCCAGCACTTGGGAGGCTGAGGCAGGCGGATCACCTGAGGTCAGGAGTTTGAGACCAGCCTGACCAACATGGAGAAACTCCATCTCTACTAAAAATATAAAATTAGCTGGGCATGGTGGCGCATGCCTGGAATCCCAGCTACTCAAGGGGCTGAGGCAAGAGAATTGCTTGAACCCGGGAGGCGGAGGTTGCGGTGAGCTGAGATCGCACCATTGCACTCCAGCCTAGGCAACAAGAGCGAAACTCCATCTCAAGCAAAACAAAACAAAAAAAACTAGCCAGGTGATTGACCTCTGCCAAGTTCCTGAGTTACTTAAGTTCCAATTCTGTGTCTTCATCTGTAAAATGGGAGTAGTGAGAATACATTGAGGGCTGTTAGCCACAGGGCTGATTTTTCTCTCTGAAGTTGCAAGAATGTAAGTCCAATTGCACTTGCAAATCAAGAGTGAGTCTGTTAAATTAGCCGGGCATGGTGGCACACAGCTGTAATCCCAGCAACTCAGGAGGCTGAGGCAGGAGAATTTCATGAACCCGGGAGGCAGAAGTTGCAGTGAGCCAAGATCATGCCACTGTACTCCAGCCTGAGCGGCAGAGTGAGACTATCTCAAAAAAAAAAAAAAGAATGGGCCAAGTTATAACCTGCCCACTCCCTCCCCAGCCACCCGACTGGAGAGATGATCACTTACCAAAGATGCTAGCAAAACCCACACCACTGCAGCTTAAAATAGTGTAAGACTAGTGCCGACTCAGGGCACATGGCCTCAGCAGAAACAATGAAGAAAACTAAAAAACCTGGCTTCAAGTGAGGAGGTTTGGAATTTGGAATCTTGAAGCTGTCATTGTCATGTGACTATTTTAAATGGTAGCTTCTAACTGCCTCTCCCTCTTTGAGCTGTCCACATCTGGGAAACTGTGACCTGCCAGTGAAGTGTGGGTAGTGGCAATGTGTGGATGAGCCCGGTTGTGCCTGCAGCCTGGGCCTGCTGAACACTTGAGGGTCGGGGGTTCTCAGGAAATCCCTGAGAGCTCAAAGGATGGCCTGAGGGGCCTGGTGGCATGTGTGGAAGGGGCCAGGCCTTCCTGTCCAGAGGGTTGATGGACTGTGGTAGCCTGATGGGACAATAGGAGAGGCCCTGTAGACCCCTCCAGCAGACCTGTGCAGGTTTCCTCCTGGGGAGCACCAAGGTAATGCCTCAGCAGTGACTAGTGAAGGCCAGCACTCCCTAGGAGGGGCTGCCCCTGCGTGCCAGCTCTGCCTGAGCCTTGGCCAGCTGGCCCAGGAGTGATGTGGTGGTATTGCTCTCTGGCTGCACAGGGAGTAGTCTAGCCTGTGGACATCCCCAATATCCTGAAATTAGTTCCTCCCAGGAGGAATGCTGGGCCCTTTTTAGCTTCTAGTTGGTGCTAAGAGTGATTTTAAAATAACGGAACTGTCTGGGCACAGTGGCTCACGCCTATAATCTCAGCACTTTGGAAGGCCTGAGGTGGGAGGACTACTTGAGCCCAGGAGTTCAAGACCAGCCTGGACAACAAAACAAGACCCTGTCTCTACAAGAAATTTTAAATAAATTAGGTGGGTGTGGTGGTGCACACCTATAGTCCCAGCTACTTGGGAAGTTGAGGTGGGAGGATTGCTTGAGCCTAGAAGGTCAAGGCTGCAGTGAGCTGTGATCATGCCACTGCAACTCCAGCCTGGGCAAGCGAGCAAGAGGCTGTCTTAAAAGTAATAATAACAGAACTGTGTGAAATGCTCTGGTTCATCCCCCAGGCTCCTTGCCAGAGGCCTCCACTCACTCCAGACCCCTATAGCCCGTCGCTGTCAGCTGTCAACAAAGGATGCGAATGCTGGCCGCTTCCTGTGGGCTTCGTGTCACCCAGAGGTAAGCCCATGGCCTCCTCTCGGGTCCCTTCAACACGGACTGAGGAGGACACATGGATTTTTCTCTTTAGATGAAAGAATGGAATTGTGATTATGGGGTTTTTTTTTTTAAGTCTTTATCTCTTAGAAAAATACAGATGGAATGTGATCGCCTGTGTGTCTGGGACTTGCTACAAAAGCAAGAGGAAGCAGGAGGTTGAGATGAAGCAAGATTGGCCATGAGTTGTTAATTGATGAGTCTAGGTACATGGAAACATGGAAGTGCGTTATATAGTTTGGTCTACTTTGTTTTTTCCTTTTTTTTCTTTATGCTCATCTTTAATGTGACGGTAAGTTCTGCCTGCTTTTCACATTTACATTTTCTATAAGTTAGAAAGCAACTGAGCGGGCCCTTAGGATCTGACCCACTTGAGGTTCAGCTCTAGCGCCAACATTCCTATGAGACCTTAGACAAGAAGGAGCCTCTGTTCCTTAGTCTGTGAAATGGGGCTGATCACAGCTGCCTCAACGATTGCTGGAAGAGTTTTTCATAAACGAATGCACAAAAAGCACTTGGTTTGGTATCTGACACCTCATGAGTTTTAGTAACTCACGTTCTGAATGAGAATCTGGCCAGTTGACCCTGGCTGACCATTTGGGACAGGGAGGGGCACGTAAGGAGGAGTCTGGGGGTCCACCTCTCAGATCAGGTGGGCACACATGCAGCTTCTGCCTTTGTTTTTTGTTTTTTGTGTGTGTGTGTGTGTTTTGGGATGGAGTTGCGCTCTTGTTGCCTAGGCTGCGGTTCAATGGCACGATGTTGGCTTGCCACAACTTCCGCCTCCTGGGTTCAAGCGATTCTCCTGCCTCAGCCTCCTGAGTAGCTGGGATTATAGGCTTGTGCATCATGCCCGGCTAATTTTGTATTTTTAGTAGAGACGGGATTTCTCCATGTTGGTCAGGCTGGTCTTGATCTCCTGACCTCAGGTGATCTGCCCGCCTCGGCCTCCCAAAGTGCTAGGATTACAGGCATGAGCCACCGCACCCAGTCTTTTGTTTTGTTTTTAAGACTCATGCAGTCACAGAGGCTTCTGCCTTTGGTTAAAGCAGTCTTGGCTCCAGTTACATCTTTGGTTGGTTTGGACCTTATTTGGCAACAGTTTGAAGCTATAATCAGCAGTCAGATTCCTGGATTTGATTCTGCTAAAATACCGTAGGTGAAGCATTTATTTAGTTACTCATTTTTAAATGTTTTCTTTTGAAATAATTATAGATTCACAGGCAGTTGCAAAAAATGTACCCTAAGGTCCTTTGTACCTTCACCCAGTTTCCCCTAATGGTAAGAATAACACATACTTTTTTTTTTTTTTTTTTTGAGATGAGGTCTTGCTCTGTCACCCAGGCTGGAGTGCAGTGGCATGGTCACGGCTCACTGCAGCCTTGAACTCCTGGGCTCACATGATCTCCTACCTCAGCCTCTTGAGTAGCTGGGACTACAGGCATGCACCAGCATCCCAGCTAATAATACATCTTAGTATGTCTGTAGTACAATCAGTAAACTGACATTGGCATAATCCATGGAGCTTATTCAGATTTCACTAGTTCTGTAGGCACTCATGTGTGTTCAGTTATTTGCACTTTTAACACACGTGTAGATCCATGTAACCACCCCACACTCAAGATACAGAGCTGTTCATCTTCACCAAGGTGCTCCCTTGAGGGAAGCATTTATTTTCTAAGACAGATATCTTTTTATACCCCTGATTTAAAAGGGAAAGAAACGCAGGAGAATGTTGGGAAAGATGTTTGCTACTTGTTATCAGTGATTTATTTTACTTTGTGCTTTCTTGTTTGAGTTTTGTTTTTATAATGAACGTGTATCAGTTAGACAGAAGCAACAGAGCTTTTTTTTTTTCCATCTCTTGAAACCCATCACCCAGCTGCACCACTGCTGATGTTTTGGCAAACACAGACTGCTTTCTAGGTTGTTCTCCTGCCTTTCTCTCTGACTTTCTCCCTGCTCTCAGAAGACGTTCTCTGGAGGCAGTGCTGCATGGCCTGCTCCCATGGTGGTCTGGTGTTCAAACCTCACTCCGCAGGGGGCTCCCACAAGACGTGGGATAAGTGGTCTGCCAGCACTTGGCCTCCAGAGGCTCTTGAGAAGACCTATGTCAACATCTGCTGCTTGCCTTTTTGAAACCCAGCCTTTCTACACTGCCGCCTTCTCTGCCTGTATCCTTGGACGGACATGGATTTGGCCTCCTCTAACAAAACATCTGTGGTTTTAGATTGTCTGGTGTGCAGCTCCCTGCATGCATGCAGGACTCCCATGTCTTCCCTACCAATAATTCTGATCACTACACCTGTCACCTGCCATGGGCTTTCCCTACATCAGGGACTACACCAGGCATTTGACAGACATTGTCTCCGTGACCTAGGAGCGACCCACTGGGGCAACTGTTATCTTCTTAGACAAGGAAAGTGATGCTCAGAGAGGTTAAGCAACTTCCCTGCGTTACCAGCTGGTTTGTGGCAGACCAGGACTCAAGGCCAAAGTCATGTACTTAACCACTCACCTCCCCACCTCCTGCCAACACTGGCTGCCATTAACCCGGGATTGCTTGTGTCTTCTCATAGGTGAGCCCAGGCCAGGATGGGGGACTCCAGGGACCTTTGCCCTCACCTTGACTCCATAGGAGAGGTGACCAAAGAGGACTTGCTGCTCAAATCTAAGGTAAAGGGTCAGACCTTACGGGGCCAGGGCCCACACCCAGGGCTGCCTCTTTCCTGGGGTGTGGACATTTCTGAAGCAGTGGAAAAACTGGTTCCCTGACAGTCTCTGCTCAGCTTTCTGTGTAAATGGAAATGCTGGCATCTGCTTGGGAGGCCGCCTTCCGGAGGCTCTGTCCTAATAGCCATTAATTATAGTTTAGACAAGGCCATTTGGGAACCACTAATGCTCTCTGTCCATTAGCTGTTGGGGCGGTGCACAGAGCCTCTCCAAGGCAGGGAATGAATGCTGCTTTCCAAGTTCAGGAGCGTTTTTACACAGGTGGCTCCAGGAGGGCTCAGGGAAGCCTGAGCAGGAAGCTGGGCCTCTTCTCAGAGTAGGAGGATGTGTTGCCATCCTTTTGGTGTTGTGAAATGAAAATTTTTGAAAAGGTAATACTTGAACAGGGTTACAAATGAAACAGGACAAAAAGATAAATGTCAAGAAGTCCTTCTCTCACCCCTGTGCCCACCCTCCCCAGCCCACCCCCGGGTAAGCACTTATTCTCTTTTGTATCTTTTCAGTTTCTTTATGTGAATACAAGCAGATAAACTCATTTTAAGTTTTGCCCTTTCTTACATAAAAGATGGTATACGATCCTCTCTGTTTTGTAACTTGCTTTATTCACATGACAGTGTATCTTGGAGCTCTTTGGACATCAGTGCATAGAGACAGCTTTCACATTTGTTACCTTGAAGCTGCATCATATTTCATCATGTGGCCACAGTGACTGATGCTCTCTGGGTGGACACCTGGACCCTTTGCAGCCTCTTGCCGATACACATGATGCTGCGATGAATGGCCTTGTAGAAAAGTCATTGCATCCATGGGCAGAGCTGCATGCAGGCATGTTCCCAGGAGTGGGATTCCTGGGCATATTGGCACCTAATGCTGGTCGCCTGGCCTCGCTGCACCAGCAGGTCCTTGGTGGCCTTTGGCCTGAGCTGGTTTTGTCATGGGGCCTGGCATGGGAGCAGTTCTTCATAGTGCCTATAGCTGCTTTTGAAGTGACTTTGCCTCTTGCAGCATGAAGTGGGGCAGAGTGAGGCCCGGATGTGTTTGCACTGTCTGGTGCTGGGTTTCTCTCCACTTCTTAGGGAATCTGAGAGCAGGGGGGGGATGAAGCAGGTGGCAGAAGAGAGGTGGAGCACAGGAAGGTTTGCACTGGGCCTGGCAGCCGTTCAGAAGCCTGTTAGTGCCTCTAGATCAGAGACTGGGCTTGTCTGGGGTGCTCTGGGGCTGTGTGTCAGAGATCACAACTTCAGCTCCTCTTTGGGTATCCAGAAAGTTACAAAATAAAACCAACACCGTTCTAAAATACTCAGAAAGAGCAAGGATATGAGCAGGTCCTTCCCAGTAAAAGAGGTAGAAATGACAAGAAACTTTCTGAAAAAGATGGCTGACTTCACTCTCATTCTTATGGATATTGCTAATGAAATAGGATGATACCATTTTGCAGATGGGCGGAAAGAGACTGATCCCATTCATAGCTGACAGTTATGGAGAAAATGGGCCACTCACGTTGTGGTAGGGCTAGGAATTACCGTAACTTTTAGGGAAACAATTCTGCTTCTGGGAATTTATCCAGTAGAAATGTAATCACCAGTTATAAACATATGATACAGCAGTATTTATTGAGCGTTATTTATAAAAGGGAAAAACTGGTGGCACCTGAATATTCCTCAAGAAAGGAATGGGGGAATCAATTATGGTGTGTCCAGAGTGTGCAGTTATCACAGAGGAATGAAGTCTTCATGTACAGACTTGGGTGACCCTCAAAGGCACATTACAGAGAAATATGTATTGCATGATCTTATTTTTACTAAAAATCACCCCCTCAAGATCCAGGCATACGTGTTTTATGTAAGAAGAATGTACGGAGGGAAATATTTCATATCATACACAGCATATAGATGTCATCTGAATTGTTATAGCAAGCATTCGATACTTTTATAAATCAAATAACTGAAATGGAAAAAAAACTGGGAAGAGGAGGGTGAATTGTGAAGTCAAAAAATCATGAGAGAGATGACAAATTCAGGAAGGTTTGGGGCTGCGGTTTTGAGTCTGCTAAGCAGACTGATCTCCTGGCACCCACAGCATCCTCCGTGAGAGACCCTAAACCACAGAGTGCAGATCTCAGCTTCATCGTATGGGACAAGCTGCTTCACTTCAACCCCATGTTCAGGCTTTTTACAAACACAGCTGGAATCTGGGTGTAGTGACAATGAGAAGGAGGCCATGGAGGCCTGGGAGCCAACATGGCCACCCTGGGGGAAGCCAGGCTTTCTTGGTGAGAGGTTTGTGACCTTGCTGCACTGGGGTCCAGGCTCACTGGCTTCACCTGCTGACCTTGCTCTGTGACAAGGGTGTGACCTCTCTGAGTCCCAGTTTCTCATCAGTGAAAGGGGGATGTTGCTGGGCCCTGCTACAGAGACTGGAGGGGATTATGTGAGCAGTGTGTAAAGAACTCAGTGGGCTGGGCACGGTGGCTCACGCCTGTAATCCCAGCACTTTGGGAGGCCAAGGCGGGTGGATCATGAGGTCAGGAGATCGAGGCCATCCTGGCTAACATGGTGAAATCCCATCTCTACTAATAATACAAAAAATTAGCCGGGCGAGGTGGTGGGTGCCTGTAGTCCCAGCTACTTGGGAGGCTAAGGCAGGAGAATGGCGTGAACCCCGGAGGCGGAGTTTGCAGTGAGCCGAGATTGCACCACTGCACTCCAGCCTGGGTGACAGAGCGAGACTCCATCTCAAAACAAAAAAAAAAAAGAAGTTTCTTTTCTCTCACAGAACAGACCACAGGTAGGTAGGACTGGTAGGGTAGCTCTGCCATTCTCAACATGTGGCTTTCATCCTGAGTCCAAGGTGGTTGCTTCAGCTCCTGCCATCACATCCACATTCCAGCCAATGGTAGGAGGAGAAAGAGCAAGGGTAGCACACAGCACAGAAGTGGCACACATCGTTTTTGCTAGTTTGACTAGAACTGAGCCACATGATCATGGTGGAAGCTGGAAAACGTCATCTGCAGCAGGCTAGCTGTGTGTTCAGCTAAAATCCATGCATCCCATTGTTAAAGCAAGGAGGAGAGAAAGGATTCCAGTAGACACGGAGCAGGCTTTGACGCCCAGACCGCCAGAAACCTGGGCGTTTCCTGGGGTTTGCCAGGTCTAGTGAACTCTTCATTTATACCAGGCCCTGTGAACTCACAGGGGTAGGCAGAACAGACCATCCCTCTTTCATGGCGCCCTTGTCTAATGGGGAGAAAGGCTGAAATAATTCAGTGCAAGAAAGGAAGAGTAAGGGGTGGGAAGAGAGCGTGTTAACGAGTCTCTTACATGATTTTATTTTCCAAGATTAGGTTATAGACACTAAAATCATAAAATGTTGATTTGAAAATGTTTTTACAGGCACAGGATAGAATTCAAACAGTAAAGTATAAAGTGCTCCCCTGGGAGCCTAATTTGGACAGGAAGTCTGGCGAAGGCCTTTCTGGGGCCAGGGCTTGAAGCTGAGACCTTCTGAGTGCATGTCAGCCAGGTGGGGCCCTCCAGGCAGGAGCAGTCTCAGTGCTCAGCCCCGCAACGGGCTCCTCATGCCTGCTCTTTTTCTCTCCTCTCAACTCACACAGGGAACCTGTCAGTCGTGTGGGGTCACCGGACCAAACCTATGGGCCTGTCTGCAGGTAAAAGACCCTTGTGGCCATCAGGGGTGTAGAGCTGCTTCCACCTGTTATCAGCACTGCACAGGCTGGTGCAGTGGGCTAGACTCTGGGCTGGGAACTTCCATCCCTAGTGGGCACTGCCAGAAACCTTGGGCTGGGGCACAGGGGCACAGGACTCCAAAGTCAGCGAATCCTGGGCTGGCCATTCTGGCAGCAATTAAAAATGACAGGAGAAAAAAATAGGTCGGAGAAGGCTCTAGACTGAAGGCTCCCTTCTTCATAGGACAGTATTCTAGCTTGGCATGAATATGTGTGAGTCAACGTGGGTGTCTTGGCTTTGAGGCCTGGCACTGCTGCTCAGCAGCGTCTCTACCTGGGCCAGTCTCATTTTTTCCCTGAACCTTCATTACCCATCTATAAGAAAGGGGCTGCAACACTGACAGCTGACAACCGTCCCCGCCTCATGGGGTTAGGGTAGAACTGGACAAGACGGATGCCTGTGACTGGCCAGGAGACAGTGTCCGGGAGAAGCTGGAAGGGTTTGGGTGATTACTGGTTACTAAAAAGAGTAAAAGTAGATGTATGAAAACATGACAGTTTCCTCTGAGTGGTAGAATTATGGGTAATTTTCTTTTTTTCTCTGTAGTATTTAAAAAATGTTTCCAAGTATGTATTTTTATAGTCATACTAAAAATGACTGTTACTTAAAATTTCTTTAAAAAAAAAAACCCACGAGTAAAAACAACAAAGACAGCAGCAGCGAGTGAAGACAGCCAGTCAGTCTTTGCAGAAGTGCAGGGGCCTCCAGTGGGATTCTGGCCTCTTCTGCTCAGCCCTGTCACTCAGCACAAAGTAGATGGCAAGACACTGCGTATCCAGGGGGCAGCAAGAAGGGCTAGATGTTATCTCCTGGGCTGTTACAAGTGCAGGACGTGGTCCTACCTCATAGGAGCCACAGTCCCCTCAGACAGATGTAGGAGCCTGATGCAGAAAATGGCACGTGCTTTCTGAGTCAGCCACATGATATGATTCCATTGTTTTCCCAGAAGGCCCTGCTGATCACAGGTGGCAGTGACAGCAGGCGCTCCTGTAGGAGTATGGCATTGGCTACTGGCTGGCGTGGAGGCTCACAGTGGAAGCACTGAGCGGGCCTTGGAGGATGGGTAGATTTGGGATAGGAGAGTGCGAGGGCAAAGGCAGTGTCATCAGGGGCATGTGGGCCCTGCTCTGGGGCACTGGGTCAGTACTGGGTTCCCACTACCTGTGACCCTTGTTTCAAACACCTGGTCCCCATTCATCATCCCCCATTAGAAAATGGCTGTGAGGCCTAGGATCCCCACCAAAAACACAGGTCCCAATAACTGACCCCACTTCACATGGGGTTTTTGTGGAGGGAGAGGGTCTTGGTCCCGAGCAGCCAGGCCCCAGCTGGGACCCCGCCTGGGCTTCTTGCTGGAGAGCAGCAGCCCAGGGCATACTGCTCGTCTCACTCAGAGGGCAGGGACGCTGTTTACTGTCCATCACTGCCCAGCAGAACTTCAGGTGTACAGACCTACAGACCCGTGTTCCTTTGAGATGGCAGAGCCTCAGTCCCTTGTGGCCCCTATTCAGGAGAGGTAGGGGCACTGACTTTGGGATGGAACCAGAGACACTGTGTTGACACCATCCTTTTGGCAAGCTCCAGTCCACTCTCCTTCCCTCTCTTCCCAGGTTGCCTGCCCCTATGTTGGCTGCGGAGAATCCTTTGCTGACCACAGCACCATTCATGCACAGGTGAGTGTGGTGGCTGAGAGTATGGGCCCTGCAGTTAGATGGCCTGGGGTTCAAACCCCAGCTCCACCTTCCCACTCTGGGCCTAAATGGCTGGGGCAATAAATGGTGTCATCCTAGCATAGCTTCTGCAAAGAAGCAAGAGAGAATGCAGGTAAAAACATTTTGCATCTGCACCATTTGATAAGCAGCAGCCCTCAGGGTCCTGACTGGGGGTGGGTAAGCAAAATTTGAGCTTCCGGCCTCTGTCCTGACAGGGCCTCTTACTGAGAGGCTGGGGAGCGGAGCAGCCATTACAGGTTGGGGCACTTGTTAGGCTAGAGTGCCCTGGACCTTGTTTTGGATATCACCCTCTAGGCAAAAAAGCACAACTTGACCGTGAACCTGACCACGTTCCGACTGTGGTGTTACGCCTGTGAGAAGGAGGTATTCCTGGAGCAGCGGCTGGCAGCCCCTCTGCTGGGCTCCTCTTCCAAGTTCTCTGAACAGGTAACCTGTGTGGTGGGCTCTGTTTGGTTGTTGGTGACACTGTGTTGAGGATGAGGCAGTGTGACCTGAGCATCCGTGGAGCATGGGGCAGTAGGTCCCAGAGGTGTCTGTTTCTGGGTCAGTATGTTTTCAGGTGACTTTGAGGAGCTCACATCAGCACATGCTCACTGAGCCCAACTCTGTGCCGAGGCATGTGTGAGACCATGAGGGTGCAGAGGTGACTGAGAGTAGGGCCTCCCTTGAGGAGCTCGGAGACCATGGGGTGGCCGTGTGGAGTGCAGGGGTTGGGGTGGGCCCAGGGCCATGAGGTGAGTGTAGACCCTTCCAGGCCTTATGGAGAGGGTTGACAAGGTCACAGATGGCCCTCTGGCCATCCCAGATCTGAAACCATTCCTAAGGGAATTCCAGGTAGTTGCTACAGCACACTTCTCTATGGGAAATGCCCAGAAACCACCTGGGTAACGTCAACCAGAGAATGGTCCTTTGATCAACAGTGTGCTGTGCAACCTTAGAGATGGCAGGTCAGCAAGCCTGTGACCTGGAGGGCCCGGCCCCAGGTGTGTCCTCAGGGAATGGTCAGTAATCCTGGATGGCAGAGCTGCCTGCTAGAGGAGAAGCCAGGACATGTGTGCAGCATCTGCATGGCTCTCTCCTCCATTTATTTTATTTTATTTTATTTTATTTTAATTTTTTGAGACCGAGTCTCGCTCTGTTGCTCAGGCTGGAATGCAGTGGTGCAATCTCATCTCACTACAACCTCTGCCTCCTGGGTTCAACTGATTGTCCTGCCTCAACCTCCTGAGTAGCTGGGATTACAGGCGCCCACGACCATGCCTGGCTAATTTTCATATTTTTAGTAGAGTCAGGGTTTTGCCATGTTGACTAGGCTGGTCTTGAACTCCTGACCTCAAGTGATCCGCCTGCCTTGGCCTCCCAAAGTGCTGGGATTACAGGCAGGAGCCACCGCACCTGGCCTCTCCTTCTGTTTAGACAGTCACATGATAGGGCTCAATATTGCTCAAAATGCTTATTGAATGCATTTGTGAACTTGGTAGATATTTATGAATTTTTATAGAAAAGGCTATAAAACAGTATATGCAATATCTTGTTTTTGTTGTGCATGTGTATTAACAGTTAAAAGTCTGTATAATACAGGCTGGGCGCCATGGCTAATGCCTGTAATCCCAGCCCTTTGCTGGGCCAAGGCAGGAGGATCGCTTGAGCCCAGGAGTTTGAGACCAGCCTGGGCAACAGCGTGAGACCCTGTCTCTACAAAAAATAAAATTAGCTAGGCATGGTGGCGCATGCTTGTAATCCCAGCTACTTGGGAGGCTGAGGTGGGAGGATCACTTGAGCCCGGGAGTTCAAGGTTGCAGTGAGCTATAGTTGTGCTACTGCACTCCAGCCTGGGCGACGAGCAAGACTCTATCTCTTAAAAAAAGTCCACATAGCCCAGGCGCGGTGGCTCATTCCTGTAATCCCAGCACTTTGGGAGGCCGAGGCGGGCAGATCACGAGGTCAGGAGATCGAGACCATCCTGGCTAACACGGTGAAACCCCGTCTCTACTAAAAATACAAAAAATTAGTCAGGCATAGTAGCGGGCACCTGTAGTCCCAGCTAGTCAGGAGGCTGAGGCAGGAGAATGGCATGAACCTGGGAGGCGGAGCTTGCAGTGAGCCAAGATTGCACCATTGCACTCCAGCCTGGGCAACAGAGCGAGACTCTGTCTCAAAAAGAAAAAAAAAAACGTCTACATAAGATACATACAGACTATTAACAGCAGTTCTCTCAGGAAAATGGGGTTGCATGTTTATGTTTCTATTTTTCTCCAAATTTATTATAAATAAAATATTTTTTTTATTGCCAATAAAAAAATGCAAGTCAACATCTGGACACAGTGGCTCATGTTATCCTAACACTTTGGGAGGATCACTGGAGCCCAGTAGTTTGAGACCAGCCTGGGCAATATAAAAAGGTTAGCTGGGTGCTGTGCATGCACCTGTAGTCTCAGCTACTGAGAAGGGCGAGGTGGGAGGATCCCTTGAGCCCAGAAGTTGGAGTCAGCAGTGAGCTCTGATTGTGCCACTGCACTCCAGCCTGGGTGACAAAGCAAGACCCTGTCTCTAAAAAAACACAGACACACACAAATCAAGGAGTTCCCAGGGCAAGGCCACCAATCCTATCTCTTTTCACAGTACCTTCTGCTCAGCTGGACTGGCTCAGCCCAGTAGGGCCTTCCGGGCAGTAGGGCTGGACTTCCAGCCCTTGGGAGACACCTGGGCCTCTGACCCCAGCCCCTCTGTTCACTGTTTTCCTCACTTTGGGTCTTTAACACAGGACTCCCCGCCACCCTCCCACCCTCTGAAAGCTGTTCCTATTGCTGTGGCTGATGAAGGAGAGTCTGAGTCAGAGGACGATGACCTGAAACCTCGAGGTAATGGCCCCCACAGCAGGGGAAGCTGATGGGCTGGGCTGGGGGCCCTCATCTGGAGGCTGGAAACCGCCAGAGTCTTGGTCTCTATTTGCACCTGCTATATGGGCAAGGAAGGATGGGGTGACGGATAAGCTGTTTAGCATGGTGGCTTCACCCCAGAAGTTGGCTGGCCTAGCTAAGGTTCTGGAGAGCTGGCTATCTTGTCCCCTCTCCCAGCTGGGTGACCCTGGGCAGGCCGACCCCTCTGCTGTATGGTCTGGACAGTGGGCCTGGCTGGGCGGAGGGGCAAAGGAGTTCATCTGTTTAAAACACTCAGGTAACCGCAGCTGTTGTGAGCAGGAACCACGTTAGTTTACTGGGAAGATTCCTGGGGTGGAACGCTTCCACCATGTCCTCTTCTTGGGTCTTGGGCAGTTGAGAGCCACACCTTTGTGCCAAATGTGACTTGCAAGGTTTCCTCGGTGGGGCAGGGTGCTCACCTGCTCCTCCCCGTTGTGTTTATTTCCCAGGCCTCACGGGCATGAAGAACCTCGGGAACTCCTGCTACATGAACGCTGCCCTGCAGGCCCTGTCCAATTGGTAGGTCGACACTTTGTCCGAGGGCCGAGAGCTGTCCCTGGCAAAGCCCCGGAAACAGCAGCAGTAGCAGCCCCCAGCCGGTTGCCCACAAACACATGTATAGGATGCACAGCAAAATGCCTGAAAGCATGTATACCCTTTGACCCAGCAATCCTCCCAGTCAGAATGTATCCTGAGGAGATAACCGGAGATGCTGGGGAAGTTGTACGTGCAAGGAGGCTCAGTGCTCTGTTGTTTACTGGAAATGATTTAAAGGCCCATCTGCAAGAGAGTATAAATTCTCATAGCCCTTGCAGCAAGTGCAGGAAAAATGGCACAAGACAACATGCATTGAAACAAGAAGGGGTTCAGAATCTGGTGAGTGGGGGAAAAAGGAGGTTATAAAGCATTGCATGGTACAATCCCGTTTTATGGGAGAAATGCGATTTTCCATTAAGGATAAGGCTGTGAGCTCCATGAGGCCAAGGATGTCTCCTGTGTCTGACGTGCTTCTCCTACCCAGTGGAGGTTAGAGATGCAGTATATGTATGCGGGAAGCAGAGAGGGAATGGGTACAAATGCGTAGAAAAGTCTGGAAGGCTATGTCCCAAAATGTTCCTAGTAACTATCCTCAGGTGGCAGGATGCAGGTCAATTATTGTTAATAATTGACCACACCCAGGCTGGGCGCAGTAGCCCACGCCTGTAATCCCAGCACTTTGGTAGGCCGAGGCAGATGGATCACCAGGTCAGGAGATAGAGACCATTCTGGCTAACATGGTGAAACCCTGTCTCTACTAAAAATACAAAAAACTAGCTGGACGTGGTGGCACGCACCTGTAGTCCCAGCTACTGGGGAGGCTGAGGCAGGAGAATCGCTTGAACCCGGGAGGCGGAGGTTGCAGTGAGCTGAGATCATGCCATTGCATTCCAGCCTGGGTGACAGAGCGAGACTCCGTCTCAAAAAAAAAAAGAAAAATTGACCGCACCCAATCCGTTTTAACTTTAATAACCTCTTTAAAGGCCCTGTCTTGGCTGGGCACCGTGGCTTACGCCTGTAATCCCAGCACTTTGGGAGGTCAAGGCAAGTGGATCGCCTGAGGTCAGGAGTTCAAGACCAGCCTGGCCAACTAGTAGAGCCTGTCTCTACTAAAAATACAAAAAAATTAGCCAGGCATTGTGGCATGTGCCTGTAATCCCAGCTACTCGGGAGGCTAAGGCAGGAGAAGCACTTGAACCCGGGAGGCAGAGGTTGCAATGAACCAAGATTGCACCACTGGACTCCAGCCTGGGCAACAGAGGGAGACTCTGTTTCAAAATAATAATAATAATAATAAAAAAATAAGGTAAGATAGATAAGATGAGATAAAATAAAAATGCCCTGTCTCTGGGAGTTAGGGCTTCGCAGATGAATTTTGGAGGATACAATTTTCTCATAACTGGTAGGAGCCTTCTAGTCACCTTCAGGAGTTTCTGGGTCCAGGGCCACTGTGCTCCCTGTGCGAGCACTCAGGGCTCCCCGCTATGCAGCCCTTTCTAAACTGCCGCATGCCTCATTTGCTCTCCTGACCTGGCTCTCTCTCCCCTGCACCCAGCCCGCCGCTGACTCAGTTCTTCTTGGAGTGTGGCGGCCTGGTGCGCACAGATAAGAAGCCAGCCCTGTGCAAGAGCTACCAGAAGCTGGTCTCTGAGGTCTGGCATAAGAAACGGTGAGCAGCTGCATCCCTAGCCTTGGGCGGTGTGTGGGGACTGGGGTTTCCTGTCAGCACCCATGATTGAGTACTTCCTGTGGATTCAGCCCCCAGCGAGGACTTGCCTCACTTTGTCCCGGGTAATGCTTGCAGCAAGCCTGCGGGGTGGAAATTGCATCCAGTCCTGTTTTACAAATAGGGAAACTGAGGTGCAGAGCACTTTAAGTATCTTGCTCAAGGTCATAGAACCTGCAAAAAGTGAGCTAGAATTTGACCTACTGTTGACCCTACCGAGCAGCCACTGGTAGATGTCTTTGCCAAGAGACATGGTGACCCGGCCTCAGCCAGGACTGTGTGTGTAGAAGGAGGTGTGGGGCAGGGGAGCACAGACTGGATGGAGCTTCTGGCACAGTATGAAATTAATTTAAAGATCAGAGTCTGTGATTAGATCTGTTTCTCCAGGAAAAGTCAAAGTTGGGAATAATTTTAAATGAGCACATAGAAATATGTATTATGTGTAGAAGCGGATGAAAAACCAGCGTAGGGCCAGGCGCAGTGGCTCACGCCTGTAATCCCTGCACTTTGAGAGGCTGAGGCAGGTGGATCACGAGGTCAAGAGATCGAGACCGTTCTGGCCAACATGGTGAAACCCCGTGTCTAATAAAAATACAAAAATTAGCTGGGTGTGGTGGCGTGTGCCTGTAGTCCCAGCTACTCGGGAGGCTGAGGCAGGAGAATCACTTGAACCTGGGAGGCGGAGGTGGCAGTGAGCCGAGATCGCACCACTGCACTCCAGCCTGTTGACAAAGCGAGACTCTGTCTCAAAAAAAAAAAAACAAAAACAAAACAAACCAGCATGGGAGAAATATGTATTAAATGTAGAAGCAGATTAAAAACCAGCGTGGGGCCAGATGCAGTCACTGACACCTGTAAATCCAGCACTTTGGGAGGCCGAGGCAGGAGAATCATTTGAGCCTAGGAGTTTGAGACCGGCCTGGACAACACAGCAAGACCCCGCCTCTACAAAAACTACAAAATTAGCTGAGTGTGGTGTGAGCACTTGTGGTCCCAGCTACTCAGGAGGCTGAGGTGGGAGGATCGCTTGAGTCCAGGAAGTTGAGGCAGGCTGCAGTGAGCTTGATCATGCCATTGCACTTCAGCCTGGGCGACAGAGTGAGACCCTGTCTCAAAAAAAAAAAAAAAAAAAAAAAAGTCTGTGTGCAGTGGCTCACTCCTGTAATCCCAGTACTTTGGGAGGCCGAGGCGGGTGGATCGCAAGGTCAGGAGTTCGAGACCAGCCTGGCCAATGTGGTGAAACCCCGTCTCTACTAAAAATACAAAAATTAGCTGGGCATGGTGGCGCGCACCTGTATTCCCAGCACTTTGGGAGGCTGAGACAGGAGAATCACTTGAACTCGGGAGGCGGAGGTTGCAGCAAGCCAAGATCATGCCACTGCACTCTAGCCTGGGAAACAGAGCAAGACTCTGTCCCAAAAAAAAAAAAAAAAAAACCCAGCATGGTACAATATAATTCCGCTTGTGTAAGAAGCCAAGTTTAAATGTGTATCTGTATGTATTTTTGTATATGCATCTGTAGTTTCACAGAACCAGAAATCTAATGGTAAGTATCTGGTGCCATTGGTGGTGGTGTTTTTCTCTTGTACTTTTCTGAAATTTTAGATTTGTCAATAATGAACATGTCTTACTTTTGAAATGAGAAAACCACAGTAAGTGTTTCAGAATGAAAACAAATCATGTTTAGGCGAGTTTGTTGTGCACCAGAAGGAAATGATGCTATTTTATTTGAGCTCTTTGCTTAATTGAGGCAGCTATGACTTGACATTTTCTTCTTGTCTGTAGAGATGTGTGAGCCTCTTGGGGCTCCTGGCTGAGTAGGCCCCTCCCCAAATGTCAGGAAACGCCACACTCTGATCCAGCCTGACGGGCTGGCTGCCTGCTTCTCTCGGGAATGAGCAGCTCAAGGCAGGCTACCTGGACTAATGGGTTTGGGCTTCCTACAGGCCAAGCTACGTGGTCCCCACCAGTCTGTCTCATGGGATCAAGTTGGTCAACCCAATGTTCCGAGGCTATGCCCAGCAGGTAAGCCATCTGAGCTGCCCAGGGGACACCCAAGGCCATGACCCACCAGGCCTGACTTTGACGCCAAAACCAGAGTGGAAAATCGCAATGGCAGCTGAGCACTGGTTGGCAGGTCTCACGGACCAGGCTCTCACTCCTAAGCCCTTCACACGTGTGAGGACAGTGGAGCCTCCCAGCAACCTGCTGACATTTAACCCCACTTCACAGATGGACAGACTGAGGTTCAGGGGCCGAGCCACTTGCACAGGCCACACAGCTAGTAAATGGTGGAGGGGAATTCTTTTTTTTGTGGGGGAGGGTGGGTACAGGGTCTCACTCTGTCACCCAGGCTGGAGTGCAGTGGTGCAGTCATGGCTTACTGCACCCTCGACCTCCCGGGCTCAAGCAGTCGTCCCACCTCAGGCTCCGAAAGTGCTGTGATTATAGGCATGAGCCACTGCACCCGGCGGAGGGGAGATTTGAACCCAGGCAACCTTGCTGCAGGGCCTCCGCGTTGCACCCAAAATGACACAGGGTTTCATTTCCCCAAACCACAGGCAAAATTTCACTTTTATTAAAGTAAAAAGTTTGATTAAAAATTTTTTTTAAATCTAGAGAACCCTTTTGAAACCAATCACATTTTTCTATTTTATAAAATAATGAGACCAAGACAGAGTGCAGCCACGCGTACACCTCAGCCCCGGGCTGATGGCTCCTGCCCTCCAGCCTCCTGCCCCAGATGGCCCACAGCCTGGGCTTTCATGCCAGGCCTGCAGGCAGAGCTGGACCTGGCTGGGTCACCTCTTGTGCTGCCTGAAATGAGCACCATGGACGGAGTGGCAGTCATGTGGGGACAACTTCCGCCCTCTACCCCCTGCCTGCTGTCCCGTCCCAGGATGAAGTCTGCTGGGCCTTTGGCTCCTGCTTGAGAAGCTCAGCACTGCCTGGACACCTCTCTTTTTGGGGAGTGATAACATGCACAATGACTAAAATTCACTGAGCACCATTTAAGTGGTCACAACTTAGTCCTCATAGAAGTCTCACAAAGTGGGCACTGTTGTCACCCACACGTTACAGGTAAAGAGCTGAGGCTCAGAGAGGTTCTACCCCTCACCCAGGTCACACAGCACATCCTGGCAGAGATGGCATTCAGGCCTACCTGAGCCCATCCCTCAGCACAGCACCACCCTGACTGTGTGCAAGGCGCCCTGCCGGCTTTCAGCTCTGGGTCAGGATGCCGTTACGGAGGGCCATGCGCTGCGGCAGGACTCCATCTGGGCTCCGGCAGAAGCATCCCTTTCTGTGGTTTTAGGATATCGTGTGGGGACACTTCTGAGGCTGAACTGTAGACGCAGCTGCGGGCGCCTCTTAAGGGCCAAAAGACTCTTTTGTGCTTCTGCATGGATTGAGATTTTGGCAAGGAACACATAGTACTTTTGTTGAAAGGAAGAACCAGAAAGAGAAGTAGATGGCAGATTGAAAGCCTCTTCTTGAAAGGGCCTTTGATCGTGCCTGCCACAGGACACGTGTCCCCTCCCTGATGCAATGTAACCTCGTGGTTCATTCCTCTGATCTTGGAGCCTGACACTTTGCCTTGGGGAGTCCCTCCTGAGCCCTCCCTTCCCTGCACATGAGTGGAGAGAGCCGGGATCCTCTTCCCAGATGTGTGACATGAGGCTGGCTCTGGCTGCTACGTGACCCCTGCCTCCTGGGGATCAGAGCCTGGGCTGAGGGCTGCTTCTAACAACCAGGTCAGGGACTGCTGGGGCTGATTTGGGCTCGGAACCCAAGTCCTTCTCCAATGCCCAGCACCACCCGAGCACCCGCTAGCTGCTGGGGTCTGCTGCCACCACCACGTTCTGACCTCCCAGTGCACCCCCTGTGTGAGCACACAGATCTCAGTGGGGCTCACTGGGCGCCTCTGCCCGAGCCCCTGCTGCCTTGGCTTCCTGCTGTGCTGGTGGCCCAGTCACAGAGTGGTCAGGATAAAATGGTCATTGCTGGGATTTGAGACCCAGGCAGCCTGCAGGGGCAGCTTAGACTGAGTCATGACCAGGTCTGTGGGAAGGTGAGAGCAGGCAGTGAGGGTATGTGGGGGCTGGCACAGGGACTGAGGGAGCAGGGGGAGCCAGAGGAAGGGTAGAGCATGCAGGCAGTCTGGCCTGTGGGTAGCGTGGCTTGGGGCAGGACTCGGGTGAGTCCTCTTTTGGCATCACACTCCCTCATCCTTCCGCCACCCCCCTGCCCACCTCCACTGGTCTCATCTGTAGGGAGAAAGGTGGCTCGGGCTTAATGTGGTACTGCCTCTCTGTCCCTCCCGTGCTGAGCTTGCAGCAGAGGCAGGAGATTCAGAGCCGGAGCCGGGGAGTTGCATGGACCCAGGTGCATACCTGGCTCTGACACTTTCTAGCTGTGTGTCCTGGTAGGTGTCCTTTAGCCTCTCCAGTCCTCACTGTTATCCTCAGAAGAATGGGGTTAGGACAGACTGCCATGGGAGGCCGCTGTGGGGGTGAGCAACTCTTCTGCAGGGGGCGCCCATGAGGTCCTCCTAGATGGAGGCTGGCGCTCTCATCAGCCACAGGGCGCTGGAGACTGGTTCCTCCTGCCTCCAGGGGAGCCCTGTTGATGCAGCCCCTGGTTCTAGGACACCCAAGAGTTCCTTCGCTGCCTGATGGACCAGCTGCACGAGGAGCTCAAGGAGCCGGTGGTGGCCACGGTGGCGCTGACGGAGGCTCGGGACTCAGATTCGAGTGACACGGATGAGAAACGGGAGGGTGACCGGAGCCCATCAGAAGATGAGTTCTTGTCCTGTGACTCGAGCAGTGACCGGGGTGAGGGTGACGGGCAGGGGCGTGGCGGGGGCAGCTCGCAGGCCGAGACGGAGCTGCTGATCCCAGATGAGGCGGGCCGAGCCATCTCTGAGAAGGAGCGGATGAAGGACCGCAAGTTCTCCTGGGGCCAGCAGCGTACAAACTCGGAGCAAGTGGACGAGGACGCTGATGTGGACACTGCCATGGCTGCCCTTGACGACCAGCCCGCGGAGGCCCAGCCCCCGTCACCACGGTCCTCCAGCCCCTGCCGGACGCCAGGTATCAGCTGGCCGGGGACTGCGGGAGGAACCTCAGCCTATGGCCCAGTACCTACCGGGTGCTGAGCGCCGACCTGCAGTAGCCCCCGGGGGACGGGTTCTTCACTAGACCCGAATGACAGTGGGGAAGTCAGCCTCCGGGGGGGCTCAGTGATGTGCCCAGGGTCCCCTAGCTCATAATGCTGGAGCCCAATTCAGAGCCCTCTCCCAGAGCCCTGAGCCTTCCAGCCGGACATGGATTGGACAGGTCTGCTCCGGCCTGTGTGCTGGGGCCAGGAGTGGGCACATGACAGAGGAGACACATTAGGGTCAGGCTTTCGTCCCTTTAGGAGGGGCTGGCAGGTCATCTTCCTGCCCACTCGTGGAGCTGGCCTGGCTGCCCTGGCCCAGCATGGTACCCTCTCTGCCCCCAGAGCCGGACAATGATGCTCACCTACGCAGCTCCTCTCGCCCCTGCAGCCCCGTCCACCACCACGAGGGCCATGCCAAGCTGTCTAGCAGCCCCCCTCGTGCAAGCCCCGTGAGGATGGCACCGTCGTACGTGCTCAAGAAAGGTTCGGGGGGCACGGGAGGGTGGGTCAGCTTGAGGCTGGGAGTACAGATTACGCCCGTAGCTGCCTTTCTCATGGCCCCCTGTGGCGGAGGGCCGGGCTATGGGCTCCTCTCAGGTACACCCCTGAGACACCAGTGTGGGAGCCACGTTTTGCAGAGGATGACACAGAGGCATGAGATGGTGAATTGCTTACCCAGTCATGTGACTCACGGATGTCACTCCACATCCTGTCAAAGGAAGCCGCAGGGCCCGCACCTCGCCCCGGCCAGGCAGGTGGAGGCTGGGCTAGTCCTGTGCTGTGTCCCCAGCCCAGGTATTGAGTGCTGGCAGCCGGAGGCGGAAGGAGCAGCGCTACCGCAGCGTCATCTCAGACATCTTTGACGGCTCCATTCTCAGCCTTGTGCAGTGTCTCACCTGTGACCGGGTGGGTGCCCCAGGGATGGGGGGAGCTGGGCCAGGCTGCCAGTGGCCTCAGCAGCTCTTGCCCTGACTGGGTGCAGGGTGGGCTCTCCACGGGTGCTCCCTGCTTTTATCCAGGGGAGGGCCCTGCCTGCGTGGATCCCGTGTCTATGGCCTGGGGAGTAGTCCCTCTGCCCCTCACCTGCTGCTTGGGGTTTGGGGTGCAGACATTGCCAGAGGATGGGCAGCAGACTGACCTTCAACCCCACAGGTATCCACCACAGTGGAAACGTTCCAGGACTTATCACTGCCCATTCCTGGAAAGGAGGACCTGGCCAAGCTCCATTCAGCCATCTACCAGAATGTGCCGGCCAAGCCAGGCGCCTGTGGGGACAGCTATGCCGCCCAGGGCTGGCTGGCCTTCATTGTGGAGTACATCCGACGGTGCGCCCACCTTGCCACTACTGGGCGACATGGGCTGGGCCTGTCCTGGTTTTCCTGGGCGGGAGACAGTACACAGTGAAGTCCATGCATTTGGGGAACCAGGGAGGTCCTGGGAGGAGCTGGGGGCCGAAGCCTGCAGAGGAGTTGGCTTAATATGCAGGGGATTTCTTGGCTACTTTGAAGTGGCCAGGATTGGATAGTCCCTTGGAGCTGGAGGGCGATGGACAGCAGGGAGGTGACCACATGGCAGGTTGAAGGGAGGGCAGCAGCAGGACACAGGCCTGGTTGGCGGGAAGGGCAGCAGCTTTCCCAGGGCTGCCTCTCCTGCCTGAGGCCAGAGACCCGCATGACCCCAGGGAGGGGGTAGCATGATCATGGCCGCAACACAGATGAAGGAGGCCAGGCTTGCGGAGAGATGATGTCACTCGGCCCAGGACACGGACGTGTCTGGCTCCAGGCCTCTGCCCCGACCCGCCGTGCCCGGCTGCTTCTCTGGGCCTTCAGGGTCCTTCTGCGGCTCAGGCCTGACAGACCTCAGCCAGAGTCCCTTCAGCTCCTGTTCTTGCCCAGGCCCTGGCAGCACCCCTGCACTCCTTTTCTGTCTGTAGGTTTGTGGTATCCTGTACCCCCAGCTGGTTTTGGGGGCCTGTCGTCACCCTGGAAGACTGCCTTGCTGCCTTCTTTGCCGCTGATGAGTTAAAGGGTGAGGGGCCTGGCTGGCAAGGGTCGGGGAGGTGGAGGGTTGTGGGGACGGGGATGTGCAGACCCCAGCAGGCCAGCATGCAGCCCAGGGCTTGTGGGATGCACAGCCAGGCTAGACTTGGCTTCCAAGGTTGATCCCATCAGATACCCACGCCCACTGCCAGCCACGCTGGACCAGGGCCATGTGCTATCCCAACCCCATCATCTTGCAGCTCTTGAGTGTTCACTTATTTTTATTTTTACCAATTTGGTGGGCAAAAATGATGTATGTTAATTTTTCATTTCCTTGATTACTGATGAGTTTCTACATTTTTTGTTAAATATACTGGCTCTATGTATTTATTTAAACATTGCCCATTCCTGTTCTTGTTCTTTTTCTCCGTTGGCTATTTGGCATCTAAACCTTTGGGAAAACTCTCTCTTTTTTTTTTATTTCCAATTTTCAATTGCGATAAAATACACAAAATGTAAAATTTACCACCATAACCATTGTAAATGCTGTTTTTAACAGAAAGTGCACAGTCGAGTAGTGTTAAATACATGCACATGGTCACGCAGCCATCCTCCCCATTCATCTCCAGAACTTTTACATCTTGCAAACCTGAAACTCAGTATCCGTGAAACAGCTCCCTACTCCCACCTCCCAGCCCCTGGCAACCTCCACATTCAAGTCTGTGAATGTGACTACTCTAAAGGCCTCATAGAAGTGGAATTATACAGTACTTGCCATTTTGTGACTGACGGCTTTTACTGAGCATAACGTCCTTAGGGTTCATCCACGTTGCAGCGTGTGTGTCGGAATGCCCTGCCTTTTGTATGCTGGTTATTTATTGTTCCATTGTGTGGATGGCTGGGGCCTTTCTGCTTATTCGTTCATCCGTCAGTGGACACTCAGGCCGCTTCCCTGTTAGCTATTGTGAGGAATGCTGCTCTGACCATGGGTGTGCACACCTCTCTTCTTTCATCCCTTTGGGTCTATGCCTATTTTTAATTTCTCGAGGAGCCACCGTACTGGGTTCCACAGTGGCCACCCCATTTCACATTCCCACCAGTGACGCACAAGAGTTCCAGTTTCTCCACATCGTCGTCCACACTCATTTTGTTTACTTTTTTGATGGGAGTCAACCTCATGGGTATGAGGTGGTATCTCATTGTGCGTTTTTTTTGTTTTGTTTTGTTTTGTTTTTGAGACGGAGTCTCTCTCTTGACGCCCAGGCTGGAGTGCAATGGCATGATCTCGGCTTATTGCAACCTCCACCTCCTGGGTTTAAGCGATTCTCCTGCCTCAGCCTCCCGAGTAGCTGGGATTACAGGCACATGCCACCACGGCTGGCTAATTTTTGTATTTTTAGTAGAATGGGGTTTCACCATGTTGGCCAGGCTGGTCTTGAACTCCTGACCTCAGGTGATCCGCCTGCCTTGGTCTCCCAAAGTGCTGGGATTACCGGCGTGAGCCACCGCACCCAGCCTCGTTGTGGTTTTGATTTGCATTTCCTAATGATAGTGATGTTAAGTGTCTTTTCATATGCTTGTTGGCCATTTGTAAGTGTTTGGAAAAACATCTATGTGAGTCTTTTGCCTATTTTGTTTTTTGTTGCTTGTTATAGGGATTCTTTTTTTTCTTGAGACAGAGTCTCACTCTGTCACCCAGGCTGGAGTGCAATGGCATGATCTTGGCTCACTGCAGCCTCCGCCTCCTGGGTGCAAGCAGTCCTCCCATCTCAGCCTCCCGAGTAGCTGGGATTATAGGCACGTGCCACCACACCTGGCTAATTTTTGTATTGTTAGTAGAGATGGGGTTTTGCCATGTTGGCCAGGTTGGTCTCGAACTCCTGACCTCAAATGGATTTGCTGCCTTGGCCTCCCAAAGTGCTGGGATTACAGGTGTGAGCCACGGTGCCGGCCTCGTTAGTTAGAGGAGTTCTTTATGTGTCCAGATACGTGACTTATAACCCTGTCCTCCCATCCTGTAGGGTGCGTTTCATTCTGTGGTTTGTGTCTTTTGCTTTGGTTGCCTGCACCTTTGGTGTTGTGTTTCAGAGATCATCGCCAGATCCAATGTCATGAAACTTTTTTCCTACTTTTCTCCTAAAAGTTTTATAGTTTTAGGTCTTATATTGAGATCTTTGATCCCATTTTGACTTAATTTTCACAGTGTGCATGGAGGGGGAAACTATACATTAAGATTTTAAGCTGGTCATGGTGGCATGTACCTGTGACCCCAGCTACTCCGGAGGCTGAGGGTCCTCTGAGCCTAGGACTTTGGGACCAGCCTGGGCAACATAGCAAGACCCTATCTCAAAAAAATTGTTTCAAATACATTTTCTGTAATTAATGTTGCACTTCCCACCCCACCTCCATTTTGCCTTTTGCCTTTTAATTTTGCTTTTGGTGGTATCTTACAGATGTTGAAGTATTTCTGGGGTCAAATATAACCATTTCTCCCTTGTATGGATTCTGGCTGTGGGGCCCAGCCAGGGCCTTCCCTCCCTCCAGTACCTCTCAGGTTTTATTTCTTTTTCTTTTTCTTCTTCTTTTTTTTTTTTTTTTTTTGAGATGGAGTTTTACTCTGTCACCCAGGCTGGAGTGCAGTGGCATCAGCTCACTGCAGCCTCTGCCCCGAGCCCCCCAGGTTCGAGCGATTCTCCCACCTCAGCCTCCTGAGTAGCTGGGATTACAGGCACGCACCACCACGTCCAGCTAATTTTTGTATTTTTAGTAGAGATGGGGTTTCGCCATGTTGGCCAGGCTGGCCTCGAACTCCTGACCTCAGGGGATCCGCCCGCCTCGGCCTCCCAAAGTGCTAGGATTACACGCATGAGCCACCATGCCCAGCCAGGTTTTATTTCTTAAGCAGAAATCATTATAGTCACTTTTTTTTGCTCCCTCATTTTGCATCCTTGCTAACCTCTGACCCTTTGTTTTACTGCCCTAGGTGACAACATGTACAGCTGTGAGCGGTGTAAGAAGTAAGTGAGCCTTCCCCCGCCTTCTCCCTAACTGCCGTTTCTGTGCCCTACATATTCCCCTTGGGTTCCTGCAGAGAGCCCCCTATAATCCTGCCTTCCCAGAAGGGAGCCGGGTGGAGGGCTGCTTCCCTGGCCCCTGGCCCTGATGCCGGACACTGATGCTGGCTCGTGCTTCCTCCCCAGGCTGCGGAACGGAGTGAAGTACTGCAAAGTCCTGCGGTTGCCCGAGGTGAGCCAGTGGCCTCGGCAGCCTCCTCCTCAGCTATCTCGGGATGCACACCAGCACACACCAGGCAGGGGCTGAGCCTGCTCCACTGCTCGGGCACTTCTGTGCTGCAGGGGCCGTGGAGACTCCATAGCTTTGGCTGAGAAACCTCTGGGAAGGGTTGGCAGGGGGCACATTTTTCCAACTGTGACTTGGTGCCCTCTCTCGGTAGCCTCAGCACATGTTGTCTAACATGTTGTATGAGGGCCCAATGGGAGGCAGGTGTGTGGGACACTGGGTTACCACCCCCAGTGAGACAGCTATGGCTCCTGCCAGCTGCAGAGTGGCGGGAGGAGAGCTGGTCCAGCTGGGGCTGTTGCCAGGGGTCTTTCTGAGGAGTAACGTCTGAGTGGGGCCTGGAGGGTGTAGGCTGGTGTCAGCGTCGTGGATGGAAGGCACAGAAGGAACAGACAAAACCCCAGTGCAGGAGCAGGCTTGTCCGCACCAAGGAAGGCACGTGTGGCTGGAGCAAAGAGGAGAGGGCCCTGGCAGAGGGGGCCCAGGTTGGGGCTGTGGTGGCTCGGGGAGGCTTTGTGGCTTCTCAAAGGTAGTGCCGACAGAACTGGTAAACTTGATGGCTCATTGCAGCTCTTGGGGTCCAGTTCTCAGCAGTGGAGCTGGGAGTGATCTGTGTGACTTAGAGCGAGCCCAGTCTGGCCCCCACGTGGAACTCTTGGATTTGTTCCAATGGAGTCAGCTTGCATGATCCCATCAGCTGTCCTGGGCCCGTGGGCAAGGCTGCGAGGGCCCGCATCATTTCTTCCTAGATGACCGGCGCTCTCTCTGTCCCCGCAGATCCTGTGCATTCACCTAAAGCGCTTTCGGCACGAGGTGATGTACTCATTCAAGATCAACAGCCACGTCTCCTTCCCCCTCGAGGGGCTCGACCTGCGCCCCTTCCTTGCCAAGGAGTGCACATCCCAGATCACCACCTACGACCTCCTCTCGGTCATCTGCCACCACGGCACGGCAGGCAGTGAGTCATGTCCCCTCCCCTGCCGTCCCCATCCGCTAGGATCCCTGTGACCCGTCTGCTCTGCCGCCGCAGGTGGGCACTACATCGCCTACTGCCAGAACGTGATCAATGGGCAGTGGTACGAGTTTGATGACCAGTACGTCACAGAAGTCCACGAGACGGTGGTGCAGAACGCCGAGGGCTACGTACTCTTCTACAGGTGGGCGCTGGGCCAGGCCTGGTGGAGGAACCTCACCATCCCCGTCCCCTGGGACCCATGGGCCTTCTGGGTGTGTGTAGGGGACAGCGCCTGGATTAAGCCAGGGAAGTAAGGACTTGGATTGTTAAGAAACAGCCCTCTGGCTGCTGTGGGGAACCCAGGAAGGCAGCTTGGAGCCTTCTCCAGGGCCCTGGCTGGCGGCACAGGGGGCTGCTCACATGTCCAGGACCCGTGAAGGACCCAGGAGGTGGTGGACAGGGCCGGTAGCCCGAGGTGCACTGGGATGGGGGCTCTGCATGTGTCTGAAGGTGGCAGCCGTCAGGCACAGCTTCTCGCCCCCTCCTCACCCCACAGGAAGAGCAGCGAGGAGGCCATGCGGGAGCGACAGCAGGTGGTGTCCCTGGCCGCCATGCGGGAGCCCAGCCTGCTGCGGTTCTACGTGTCCCGCGAGTGGCTCAACAAGTTCAACACCTTCGCGGAGCCAGGCCCCATCACCAACCAGACCTTCCTCTGCTCCCACGGAGGTGAGGCGCCCCCTGTGGTGGGAGAGCAGGGTGGGCAGCTGGGCCGAGCCACAGCTTCGCTCCCTGTACCTTCTTCCCAGGCATCCCGCCCCACAAATACCACTACATCGACGACCTGGTGGTCATCCTGCCCCAGAACGTCTGGGAGCACCTGTACAACAGGTGAGAGCCTGGGAGGCCAACTTGTCTCCGTCCTGTCCAGGGCCCAGCTGGGCAGGAAAAGAGGGGAGGGCAGGGAAGGAATGCCACCAGGACCCCACACCACACTCTGGCCTCCACGTGGGCAGCACAGAGCCGCCTTCACTTGTCTCATGGAGAATGACACATGTCGTTTGTGGGAATCCGCTTGGATCCTTCCAGCGGCAAGGGACAGGAAACTGGCTGAAGCACAGCTGAGTGTGTTGGCCATCTGCTGAAGCACAGCTGAGTGTGTTGGCCATCTGCTCTTCAGCCTTGAAGCAGGACCTCCCTTGGGCTGTGGGCGCGCTGCTCCGTTGCAGGCTCTGTGGTGCTCACACAGAGGTGCATGCAGGCCTGCGACAGCGCTGAGGGGGCACTGATGGCTTGAGGGGGAAGTGGAAGGCAGTGATCACTCTCCCCTCCCTGGTACCCCGCTCAGGCCGTGTCTCTCTCTCCCACCCTGGGCACAGATTCGGGGGTGGCCCCGCCGTGAACCACCTGTACGTGTGCTCCATCTGCCAGGTGGAGATCGAGGCACTGGCCAAGCGCAGGAGGATCGAGATCGACACCTTCATCAAGGTGCGTGCGGCGAGGCGGCGCGGGGGCGGCTCTGCCAGCCTCTGCCTGGGGCAGCTGGGGACTTGGGGACAGAAGAATCCTGTGCAGTCCCTGAGCAAGTTTGAAAGCAGTCTTTTGAGGCTGGGCATGGTGGCTCACACCTGTAATCCCAGCACTTTGGGAGGCTGAGACGAACAGATCACTTGAGGTCAGGAGTTTGAAACCAGCCTGGCCAACATGGCAAAACCCCGTCTCTACTAAAAATACAAAAATTAGCTGGGCTTGGTGGCAGGTGCCTGTAATCCCAGCTACTTGGGAGGCTGAGGCAGGATAATCGCTTGAACCTGGGAGGCGGAGGTTTCAGTGAGCTGAGATTGTGCCACTGCGCTCCAGCCTGGGCAACCGAGTAAGACTCCATCTCAAAAAAAAAAAAAAAAGAAAAAGAAAAGAAAGGAGTCTTCTGCGGGGAACTAGATGGCCAGGTGTCTAGGAGGGCTTTTCCTGGTGGGAGGGTTGGCTTGAGTAAGTGAAGCCTCATCGCCCGGGTGCTGTTGAGCTTAAAGAACCAGTAGATGGATCCCATTCTCAGCCTTGGCTGTGTTATTTTGGGCTGAATTATTCTTTATTGTGGGGCCGTCCTGTGCATTGTAGGATGTTTAGCAGCATTCTTGGCCTCTACCCACTAGTGCTAGTGACAACCAAAATGACCTCCAGAGATTGCCCAGGGTCCCCTGGGGTGCAGAGTACCCTCCCTGCCCTGGGTGAGAACCACTGGGCTCTACAGACTGCCCAAGATAAAGCAGGAAGTGAAAACCAAGGTGCAAACCAGGACTCAAGTGTGACTGTGTTTAGAAGAGGGACTTCTGTGAGGGAGCTGAGTGCAGGCGAGGCTCCTGGCGCACTCCCTCCCTGCCACGCTACTTCTAACAGGGTTAGGACGTGTTCCACTCACAGGGAGGGCCTGGTGAGAGACACTGAGGGACGCCCGTGCTTTGTGGCCATTAGGAAATGATTCTGCTGCCTGGGCATGGTGGCTCACGCCTGTGATCCCAGCACTTTGGGAGGCCGAGGCAGGTGGATCACTTGAGCCCAGGAGTTCAAGACCAACTTGGCCAACATGGCGAAACCCCATCTCTACAAACAATACAAAAATTAGCCAGGCATGGTGATGTGTACCTGTAGTCCCCGCTACCTGGAGGGCTGAGTGAGTTGGGAGGATCACCTAAGCCTGGGAGGTTGAGGCTGCAGTGAGCCGTGATCATGCCACTGCACCGCAGCCTGGGCAATAGAGTGAGACCCTGTCTCAGAACACAAACGAAAAAGAGACTGTCAGGGCTGGGCCTAGTGGTATGCACCTGTGGTCCAACCTACTCAGGAGGCTGAGGTGGGAGGATCACTTGAGCCCAGGAGGTCAAGGCTGCAGTGAGCCATGATTGCGCCGCTGCACTCCCGCCTGGGCACAGAGTGAGACCACCCCCCATCTCGAAAAAGAAAATGCTCCTGTCAGAAGGAGAGCTGCCTCTCTGAGCAGATAGGCACATTCTATTCAACCGGAGAAAATTAGCATCTCCCAGGCCGGGCGCAGTGGTTCATGCCTGTTATCCCAGCACTTTTGAGAGGTCGAGGTGGGCGGATCACCTGAGGTCAGGAGTTCAAGACCAGCCTGGCCAACATGGCGAAACCCCGTCTCTACTAAAAACACAAAAAGTAGCCAGGTGGTGGCACACACCTGTAATCCCAGCTACTCAAGAGGCTGAGGTGGGAGAATCGCTTGAACCTGGGAGGCAGAGGTTGCAGTAAGCCGAGATCGCGCCACTGCACTCCAGCCTGGGTGACAGAGTGAGATTCCTTCTCAAAAAGTAGAATCTCCCTTGTGGTCTCAGTTGGGTCAAACAGTTATTGAAGAGACCCACAAAATGTTACCACCGTCCTCTCTGAGTGATGGGTGTGTTCATTTTGTTTGAGCTTGTCTGGGGGTTTGATTTTTCACCTTGAGTATCTGGTGTTTTTGTAAGACTCTTGGGTGAGGGACTGGGGCGGGGGCATTTGGGAAATCCTTGCTGAAGGTAAATAGAGACTGACCTGCCCTCTGTCTCCTCCCGTCCCTGCCCGCCTGCCAGTTGAACAAGGCCTTCCAGGCCGAGGAGTCGCCGGGCGTCATCTACTGCATCAGCATGCAGTGGTTCCGGGAGTGGGAGGCGTTCGTCAAGGGGAAGGACAACGGTGAGCTGAGGGGGGACCTGGCACTTACCTGCCCTGGGGGCCTCCTGGGAGATGGGATGCTGGCAGGGGAGGGCTGGCACACAGGGGCTCCTGCAGGCCCCATGCCTGCCCCCAGGTGCCACCCATCCAGGGTGAACAGAGAGCATGGGGCTTTGCCAGTCCCCAGTGGGGATCACTGTCCCCACCCAGAGGCAGGAAGCTGCTCCTGCTCTGCGCCCCCTGCCCTTCTCCACTCCCTGCCATGCCCAGCAAGCTGCTCTGCCCTCCTGCAAGGCCCTTTCCTCAGGGGAGTGTGTCGCCCGAAATGACAGATTTGTCATCTGACTCCTTGGATTTACAGAGGTGGAGACAGGCCCCATCACAAGCTCCCAGGGTCCCCCAAGTCCCCAGTGAAGAACAGCAGAACCAAGCCATGGAAGCCCACAGGCTCTAAACTATTAAACCTGCATTAAAAATTTCGGCTGGGGCGCCCTCGGGGCATAATCTAACCTGTGGCTCCGGGGCCCGGCAGGGTGGGTAGAGCCCACGGTTCTGCTCACGGGACCCTTGGTGTGGAGCATGAGCACCCACCTGTGCTTGGGAAGGGAGGCCTCATTGCCATCCCGCTAGTCGGGGAAGGTGCCAGGGCCACCGTGAGGCCTCTCTGGTGGTGGCTGAGGCCTTCAGCATGGCTGTGGTTGAGAATGTAGCTCCGGAGCCCTCGCCCTGGCCTGGACGCTGGCCTTGCCTTCTACCAGCTATGACCTGAGTGGTTACTTCACCTTCCCAGGCCTCGGCTCTGTCTCTGTAAACCTCTGTCTTGTCCTGTGGTTGCCGAGGCTAAATGAGATAGCTGGGCAGAGGGGAAGGGGCGTGGTGAGCGGCAGCTGCCAGCAGAGATAAGGGCATGGGCCATCCACCGCAGCTCCTGCGGCCAGCACAGAGTCTGAGACCATCTCGTGTGTCCTGGAAATTCCCTCTGCTGGGTCCTCAGACTGCCACAGAGGAGCATTGGGTGGCTCAGGCGCCTCATCCATTAGAGACTTCACGCTGACCCCCAGGCCTGGGGCGGCCCCACTTGGGATGGCTCTGCTGCTGTGGAGGGTGGAGGGCATGGCAGGGGCTGAACCCGAGCCCGCTGTGTCTGTTGCAGAGCCCCCCGGGCCCATTGACAACAGCAGGATTGCACAGGTCAAAGGAAGCGGCCATGTCCAGCTGAAGCAGGGTGAGTTCCCCCTGGGGTCAGCCAGGCTCCTCTCTGCCCTTCCTGGCTGCCAGGCTGCTGCCCAGTCCCGTCCTTCCAGGAGCCCCCTTACCACCTGTCTTAGAGTCAGGCTGAGACGTCCACCTGAGTCCAGACCCAGGCGGCTGAGAGATGGCCCAAGGGGCTTGGTCTCTGCTTGTGTCCTCCAGGTCCCACCCCTCTGCCTGCTGCTGGCCTTGCCCACCCTGCTGTTTATGTCAGCCCCACCCCCAGGAACAAGGGACACAGCCAGAGATGTGTTATCCGGGGCCCTTAGCGGGATGGACATTCCTCTGGGAAATCCTGATTTCCATCTGACAGCTTTGCATAGAAGCCCTGGTTGCCGTCTTCCCGCTTCGGGGCCTGGCCCTGCGGAGCCCCCACTGCCCAGGCCGGTGGCTTCCTTGAGGAGGCAAAGGTGAGCCTAGGGGTGCCTCTCGTGCCCTGCAGGAGCTGACTACGGGCAGATTTCGGAGGAGACCTGGACCTACCTGAACAGCCTGTATGGAGGTGGCCCCGAGATTGCCATCCGCCAGAGTGTGGCGCAGCCGCTGGGCCCAGAGAACCTGCACGGGGAGCAGAAGATCGAAGCCGAGACGCGGGCCGTGTGATCTGCTGGGCTAGTCTGTAAGTCGCCCCGGCTGGTCCCTCCATGGCACTCTGGGTCCTCTCCTCACTCTCCAGAGACCCTCACATGTCCTTTTGAACATCCAAAGAGCAGGTCCCTGAAAGCACCTTCCTGGAGGATGTGGGAGGGCCCTGGACATGGCCCGGCCCCACTGCTGAGTGCCCGTGTCCCCACAGCCCCATGTGCCCCACCCCGCGGAAGGCGTGTTTGTGCCCAGAAGAGAGGCCGGGCTGCTGCAGAACCCCGCCGTGTAAAGAGGCAGAAAAGTTGGTTTGGTTTGCAGTAACGCTGCAACTAGAAAATATATGCACTTCAGGCTTGTTGAAACGACCAAGACTCTGTGACGTTAATTTGGGTCTTTGTCCTGGCAGTGCCTCTGCCAGTCACTGTCATCGTTGTGTCCCCCACAACTGTCCTCTTGCTAGCTCGGCCCAGCTTTGTCCCTGGAGCCCGATGCTACCCCTGTCAGACAGAGGCTGCGGCCTGGGCCAGAGTCAGGGAGTAGCTGCTGCTTCACGGCGTCTCCACTGTGCGATTGGCCCGGAGCCCCGAAGACTCGGAGGGAGCTGCTCAGGGCCGGTGAGCGCAGCCAGAAGCCCTGGCCAGTGAGGAGCTCACAGGTCCTCCCTGGTGGTCCCGCCGCACCTCTGCATCTCCTGGGCGTCACCAGGAAGGCTCTGAAGTCCCGGGCTGCTCTCAGCACTTCTCCTGCAGACTGAAGACTCTGGACTCATTGCTGATTGGAACACCAGGAGGAGGTTGGATTTCTGCCAGTGGGGGATGTTTCTGGAGGCAGCTGGTCCCCCACACCGCGTCCTGCTGAGCCTGCCCCCTGGATTGGCTGTAATTTGCCTCGAAGTTCAGCAGTTCATCTTCATGGGAAATTTGCTGAGCCCCCACCAGGGAACCGGATGATGAAACAGGGATACCTCACAGCTTGGCCATTTGAGGCAAAGGCAGCTTCCCGAGCTGATGCTAAAGAAGACAGACTTTCCCTTCCTCCCAGCAGCAGCAGTGCAGAGCCCACCTGGAGGGATGTGGGGGCTGTGCAGGGTGCAGCGCTCAGGTGGATCCTGGGAAGCAGCCTCTGGATGCTGAGTGGAGGGAGCCACTGAGCACAGCAAGGCACCAAAGCCCCTGGAGAAACCGCCAGGGCGAGGTGCGACCATCATCAGGATCAAAGCAGACGGGGCGTGGGTGGGGAAGGGGCTCTGGGACCAGACCCCCCACACTACTGCGTCTTTGTTTCTATCAGTCTTTGTAGAAGCAGGTGGTGGTGGAAATTCCAGCAGGTGGGTCCCGCAGAGGCCCTGAGGCCTCACTTTTCGGATCTTCTGTCCCAGATCCTGCTCCCTCCCTGCTGAGCCTGGGGTTCCCCTGGCATTGGCCCCAGCCTTCTGAAAGCCGGCGCTGCAGCCAGAGGCCGCACGCTGCACTGTCGCGACGCAGAGAGGCTTCTGTGCAGGCTGGGATCGGGCCCCATGTCTGTGCTGTCTAGTTTGTGTTCAAAATGTCAGAATAAACACAGAATAAATGTTCCCACGGCCACACAGTCGTCTCTCCTTCACTGCAGTTCTGTTACTGGAGGGAAGGTGAGGCTCTCCGCCACGCGGACAGCCCGCCAAGCCCTGGGGCTCACATTGCACATCACCAGGCCCAGGAGGGGGCTTTCCATGTGGCTTTCTGAAACCAGAGACCACCTGGAGGCTGTGGAGGTGAGCAGAAGAGGGGACCCAGCTGCTATAAAGGCCTATTGGCATCTCCTTTCCTGGAATCAGCCCCAGCCTCAGAGAAGTAGGGCCAGATGTGGCCAGTGATTGAGGCCAGCACATCCCACAGGCTAGTCTCCCTCCAGCCACCCAGACAGGCGGCTCCAGAGTGGCCGTGAGCAGGGGGTTACCTCCCCTTTGCACACTGGCCCTGGGCGTTCAGCAATACTGGTGTTCAGTAGTCTGAGTTTTTTGTTGGGTCTCATTTTGGGGGAGAGAAGAACTTGAGATTTTTATATATAACTTATCAACATTTATTTGTGAAATCCCATTGTTGCAGGAAAAAGGGGTTCCGATCCAGACCCCTAGAGAAGGTTCTTGGATCTCATGCAGGAAGAAACTCAAGGTGAGTCGCAGAGTTCACTGAGAAGAGTTTACTGAAAGCTGCTCAGGTACAGAGTAGAGCGTCCTCAGAAAGCAAGTGGAGGGATGCCCGTCGCTGTTTTCAACTCCTCTTATGTAGGGGTCTTAGCTATAGAAAAGCTACGCTGTGTCTGTCAGGTGGGCTGACAGCCTGACACAGTGGATTGCTCTGTTGATTTAAAGAAAGCCATCCTTGGCATCTTAGTGCATAAGCACATCGAAGCCTCACTGTGGTCATCTTCAAGCATACACTGTTGTGTGGCATCTGAACCTTCTCCATCGTAGGAGTTTGTCCTCGCAGGCGTTACGTAGCTGCTTCCTCAGACGTAAACATCTTAGGTTGTGACTGGCCTGGACTGTGCCTAATTTTTTGTTTTTTGAGATGGAGTCTCGCTATGTTGCTCAGGCTGGGGTGCAGTGGCACGATCTCGGCTCACAGCAACCTCTGCCTCCCAGGTTCAAGCGATTCTCCTGCCTCAGCCTCCCAAGTAGCTGGGATTACAAGCATGTGTCACCACATCTGGATAAGTTTTGTATTTTTAGGAGAGACAAGGTTTCACCATGTTAGCCAGGCTGGTCTCGAACTCCTGACCTCAAGCGATCTGCCTACCTCGGCCTCTCAAAGTGCTGGGATTACAGGTGTGAGCCACCGGGCCCAGCCTCCCTTGCTAGTTTTAGGTGGAGCCGAACTCAAAATGATGTCACCCTGGCTCCCCTAGGCTTCTGCTTCCCTGCCGCTATCAGATACGAGCGTACAGAAACATTTCAGCGTATGCAAGGATAACACGGTGACAAGGAACCAAGATGACACATTGCCAGTTCCATGGAAAGCCTGGGGCCCCTCCGGAGTCGGCCACCTTGCCTGACCCCAGAGGTGGCTCTTTGCATGTGGTTCCCTCATCCCGCCTTTTTTTTTTTTTTTTTTCCTGAAAAAAGCTTCATTTTATTATTATTTTTTGAGACAGAGTCTCACTCTGTTGCCCAGGCTGGAGTGCAGTGGTATAATCTCAACTCACTGCAACCTCTGCCTCCTGGGGTTCAAGCAATTCTCCTGCCTCAGCCTCTGGAGTAGCTGGGTCTACAGGCATGTGCCACGACGCCTGGCTAATTTTATTTTTTATTTTATTTATTTTTAGTAGAGACGGGGTTTCACGGTGTTAGCTAGGATGGTCTCGATCTCATGACCTTGTGATCTGCCTGCCTCAGCCTCCCAAAGTGCTGGGATTACAGGCATGAGCCACCACACCCGGCCAAAACATCATTTTAAAATTGAGCTTTCTGACTGTGCTCCTGCCCTTAACACCTTCCCAGCAACTTTCTGCTCCTTGATGAGGAAGGCACACTTGATCCTGTCGGGAACACGTTCACACAGAAGCACCAGATGCACTGCTGATGGGTTTTTTGTTTGTAGACAGGGTCTCACTGTGTTGCCCAGGCTGGCCTCGAACTCCTAGGCTCAAGTGATCCTTCTGCCTCAGCCTCCCAAAGTGCTGGGATTACAGGCGTGAGCCACCACGCCTGGCCGCTTGCTGACATGTTTTTGCTTTGGGGCAGTCTCATAGGAGCTTTAGGTCTCACAGCACAAACCCCTCGGAGTCAGCCCAGGCCCATGCCATGTGCAGACTTTGGCAGTTTCCCAATCTTGGTATAAAGGTAAACGATTCTCTTCCCAGGGGTTCGGGCCGGCCTAGTGCTGTTAGAGGCTGTATTCTAGGAAAGCCTATGACGGTTTGGGAAACTGGGCCATGCTGAGTGCCTGTAGACAGCGTTCCCGGAAGAGGAAAAAGCAACCTTTGTCTTTATGTGGGAATCTCTAAGCAATATTTTTGGCTTTGTTTACATTTGAAGGTTAGATATGTGTCAATCCACGTGATTGACATTGAACATGGAAAATGAGAATGAAAGTTTTGTCTGGAAGATTTATTTAGGAGGTTTGGAGACAGTTCTTGCACTACAGAAAGGTGGGCTGGAAATAGGTACCAATTTGCCTTAAAACGTTTCTTTTAAAATACCTGGCTTTTAAGGAGTTCAGACTGAGATGCCAAGATCTGAAGTCTGTGCTTGATTACTGAGCAGGGACAGGAAGTGCTCGGTGACTGGGGAGGCGGGGCTCAGGCCTCGCTCCCCACGGTGCCCCACGGTGGCTCCTCCTCCGCGCTAAGCCAGGGCGTGGCTTCAGCAGCGCTTCTTAGAGGAGCCGGAAAGGCGCCCCTGCACCGTGGGGGAGGCTGCAGGAGACCTGCCGCCTGCCTGTGGTTCTGTCGGCCATGGCGCTGCTCACAAACCTGCATCCGAATACATTTGCAAGGCGCAGCCACCCAAAAAGTGTAGTTCCTACCTTTGTTCTGTTTTAAATTCAGTGCAAACATAAATTATCCTGAGGGTCTTAATGCTACCTAATTTTGAGCCCCAGAGAGCCTTGGGGGAAGTGAGCAGAGGTTTCGGAATCACAGCCCCCTCTGGCTCGTCCCTTCTGCAACTTCACCTACACAGAGAGACACCTGCTACCTGGACGGAGCAAGGGTGAGCTGGGCGCAGAAGAAACACACGCCTTTGGGGAAAGCTAGGAGCAGTAGACAGCCTAGGCAATGTATGTTCTGGAAGGGTGTCCCAGGGTTTCTCAGGGTGCAGCCTCCATTCCTTCCTTCGATTTGACCCGGGACCAGCCTAGATGAGGGGGCCTGTGGAGAGCTGGAACTGGAAACAGGTTCTCAAGGGCAGGGCTCGGCACAGCGTGGCAGCCAGGGGCTGTGCGGACTGAAGGGATGCGGCCCTGTCCTAGGCTGAGACGTCCGTCCAGCAGGTGCCGCAGGGAGGAAGGGAGCCTTCCCCATCCCCGACGGGGACAGTGGGTCCGTGTTTCCTCCCACAGCTTTCGGCCCCTTAGCTCTGAGGACAAGGATAGGGTCCTTCCTCTGCTTCTTCTGTACCTTTTGTGGTCCGGAGATGTCCCCGGCGGAGGTCACTATACCATCTGGAGGTCTAACGGGAGGCAGGAGTGCTCAAGTCAAGGCCGAATGGGCACTCAGTGGGACCCTGGAGAAGCAGCTGACACACCAAGGGGCTGCCACGTGCCTGCTGGCAGCCTTCACACGCTCATCCCGGGTCTCAGAGGGCGCTGGCAACACAGATCCCTGCCTCCCCTATCGGGAAAGCGTTTTAGGACCAGGGAAAAGGAGGCCTCCCCCAGGCGAGTGCGCAGAGCCAGGGAACCCGTCTGGATGGTGGCTCTTTCCCACCATCCTTCTCTGGCAGCAGCAGTTCAAAGTGGAGCTTCCAGGCTGTCCCATACATTTCACGATTTCTGAGTCTTTCGCTTCAATTTAAAAAAAGCTGGGGGCACGACCGAATCCTGCCTCTGTCCACCGCCATCTCGTTCCTCATCGCAGGGGGCCCTTCTTGCTCCCTCCACTGCTGCGCTCTGCCGTCTGCTCCCGCCAGGGGTCCCCACCACCTCTGCGGACGGAGGAGCCGCCTCCCAGGCCCGGGCGTGCCCAGGGCGGGTGGAGGGCGTGGGGCGGGCCGGTATTTCCTGACCCGCTGGAGGAGCCGGCCCCACAGGCTTGTGGCCTCCCCGGAGCCGGTGAGTCAGGAACTTCCTACTTCAAGAGGCTTCCCCAGTGCAGCAGAAAACAAACTAGTCGCCCCCAATGCTCCCGACCTCTGTGATGTCCACACCCGCGGAAATGGGGGCCCCAAACCAGCAGGCTCTGTTCTAGGCTTCTCAGCGCTGGTGCGGCTCTTGGAGAAGGCTCGGCAGGGGCGGGTGGGGCATGGGGGGGTTCACAGGTGGAGACAGCCCGTCTCCGCCCCACAGACGGCTGGGCGCAGTCCCGAAATATTCTTCCCAAGTGGACTTTTTTGCTGACAACCTAGAGGAGAGGGTTTCGGGTAGGATAACAGTAGATCCACCTTGTTCCCTTGTGCCACACTGTGTCACACTGGGAACCAGCAATTCTCAATGGTGCCTTGAAGCCAACTGCACGCACTTGTGGTTAGAGGTTACCAATGGCCCCATATTGGTGCCCTCACCTCCTGCCCTCCGCAAGTGAGGATGCTTGGCATCAGCAGAGCTGCCAGGTCTGCACTTGGTGTAGCTGCGAATATGTCATTTCCTGGACAACTGTTTTCCTAAAACAGTGCTAAAAAAAAAAAAAAAAAAACCCTTGGGACACAGAGAAGTGTGGGCACAAACCAATCCTATCTTCCCCCAAAAGGCCAGGGTGAAATTTTCAAAGCTGGCTGTGGAAACGGGGCCTCCCACTGCACATGTCCAGCCAGTGCCAGGCACAAGGCTGCTGCCCTTTCGAGTTGTCCACGTGAAACAGCTCCGCACTGCCTGCAGCTTCACAGAAACTAGTGATTCCAGCCACGCCACCAGGAGTACCGGCTTGAGCACTGGTGATACCAGATAAATAATGAAACTCAGGTGTGCCCTCATTTCACCACCTCCTCCTGCCCCAGCCCCAAGCAATGAGGTCCCCAAAGAGCTAGAGCAGCAACCAGTTGAATGTGCATGCAAAAAATACTCCTGGCCATAAGCAGCCTCTCGCAATCCTCGCACTACATCAGCCCGAATTCCACGTCACCACGGTCTGAGAGCCTCCCCCTCCACCGTGGATGGGGGTGGAACTGAGAGCTATCTAGGTCTCCAGCTCCTCCCAGGGGCCAGCTCCCCAGCCCAGGGGGCTTCCAATGACACCAGGCTGCTTCCACAACTAGGGTCATATCTTCATGCAACAAAACAGTCCCGTGACACGGAGCCACAAGTTATATTTTATTTTAACACGAGATTAACATATAGTTACAAGGTCAATACAAGCCTCCAGTGGAAGCTCTTTATTTGGTTTAATTCCATCTCCAGAGACAAACAGGCAACTCTAGGACCTTTACAGTGGCGATCGGCCTCACACAGCAAAATGCCTCCAAAGTTTAGAATTAGTGCAACACACATACGAACATTTTAAAGGTGCTCAACATCAGGTTAAAATAGAATTCTGGACCTTTTTAAAAAGTTTTTGGATGATATAAGCACAGGAGGCAGAGCCAATAAGAAACATGAAACCAATATTTCTGGAAAAACACTTAGCATGAACGTCACTTTTTGACGTCGTGTAAACTTTCTTCTGCAATGACGGATGTTACCAAAAGGCATCGAGACCTTTGCGCTGCGCTGGTTAGACAAGCCGCAGGCTTATCTCCACGGTGAGCAGGATAAAAACCCCCAAGGAACAGCCCATGACAACCTTCTGTGCCTTTTTATACTTTCCCATCCTACAAAGGAAAAACTGGGTAAAGGACAAGTTCCTCCCTTTCACTGCGTTTCTAAGAACTTTTCAGGGCAGGTTCTTTTAAAATTAGTCATCTTACAACACAACAGTATTCTAGCACGGTGGCGAAGTGACAGGCGGCAGATACGGGGGAGGAAGGAGACGTTCACGGGAAATTCCACATTCTACTCTATGTGAACTGCTCCAGAAAAATACAGACATGATTTCACAGTAGGATTCCCAGAGTAAATGATGATACATAGGACAACTGACCTCCTCTAAGAAGCCCGGCTGGGGCAGCAGTGAGCTTTTCATGGAGCCACGCAGACTGGCCCGGAAGCAACACCCAGGTTCAACATTTAAGAGCACTCGCTATAACATTCTTTTTGGACGCAGGTGGTGGAAAAGTTTAAAAAACAGGCGGAGGAGTGACGGGGGGATACAAGCATATCCTATACTGGGGGTGACGGTCATTCAAAGAGCAAATTACTGCAGCTTATATCTTTTCCACTATGTTGCAAGAAATGAATCTATCCTGACCCATAATATGAAAGATGTGACGCACATGCATTCCCGAGGCTCTAAAATCCCATTTTAAAGAACCGTTTCACATCCTCGTGGAGTGGAGAGTGGTCCACTTGACTTGGTGAGGTCAGAAGTTCCTGAAGATCCCTGTCGTCCCCGTTGGCGGGGGAGCCCATTGTGGAGCTGTGGGGACTGCCACACTCACCATGCACCTGTTGGTTTGCAGGGACAGAGGTGCGGCCCTGACTCTTCTCACCCTGTGTCATCCGGGCTTGTCTTTCGTCTGTCAAGTCAGTCCTCCTGCGTGACTGATGGGTGCACCACGCTTAGGTCACCCGTTGCAGGGACCGGAAGTCCATGGCTCTGCCGCAACCCTGAGCGGTTTGCAGTCCCCCCCGGGGAAGAAGCAGTCAGAGAGGCTCACGCTCACCTACTTTAAAAACCCAAAGCCACTTCCTCTTCACCTGCCTGGGCCTCAGCGTCTCTGCGCTTGTGGTTTCTCGTCCCCGAGGGCTGACTGAGCTGCTCCGGAAGGGTGGTGTGTGGTCAACCTTGGTTGGCTGAGAGGAGCAATTTCCTGGTTTCCACAAGTAAAGACAGCCCCATCCCTTGGGACCTGTCCTTTCCGTCCCTGTCCCTTTGGCTTCTATAGGACTTCCTTGTCTTAGATTCATAAACAGCAAGAGGAACTGAGGATGCTTGAGGGGACCACCTAGTTACCAAAGCCAAGCAAAGAATAAAGCTGCCCGACGTCATCCCCAGGCTTCCGTGGCGCTCTCGGTCACAGGAGCTCTAGGCCAATGGTTCCTCTTGACTGTTTCTGCACCAAATGAGAGGAGGGGCTGCTCTGCTCTAAGGCGTGGCGGGGGGGGGGGGTGGTGGCCACAGATTAGGGGACCTCAGGTTTTCCTCAAAAACCCACACAGGGAAAGAAACTTGGCTCTAAAAGCAAACTCAACGAATTCCACATGCCCTGAAGAGCACGTGATAAAATACAAGGGTGGTGGCGGCGGGATCCCTCAAAGGACCACGAGAGGCACGGGGTCTTTGGTGATGAAAGTGCTAACCTCGGCGGGGTGCGGTAGCTCACACCTGTAATCTCAGCACTTTGGGAGGCTGAGGCGGGCGGATCACCTGAGGTCAGGAGTTTGAGACCAGCCTGACCAACACGGTGAAACCCTGTCTCTACTAAAAATACAAACATTAGCCGGGCGTGGTGGTGCACGCCTGTAATCACAGCTATTTGGGAGGCTGAGGCAGGAGAATCGCTGGAACCCAGGAGGTGGAGGTTGTAGTGAGCCGAGATCATGCCACTGCACTCCAGTCTGAACAATAGAGCGAGACTCCCGTCTCAAAAAAAAAAAAAAAACAACAACAAAAAAGGAAGTGCTACCCTTTTCAGATGCTAATCCTGGGGCTCCTGGAAAGGAGAGGATGTTCGCTTTGCAATGAGCTGGTGCAGAGGGGAGGGCCTCGCTCACAAGCGCATGATCTACAGTTCTCAGGGACAGGAAAGTGATGGGGAGGACAGGCGTGGGCTCCTCATGGCCGGTGGACACAGGCGAGTCAACAAGGCGAGCTGGAATTCGACTTCCAGTGTGGACCTCCCCAGGCCACTGAAAACAGGGCGTCAAACCAAAATGTGTGTATGCGCACGCGTGTGTACTGGTGGGTGTGCCTGTGGGTGTGTGTGTACCTGCCCCCCTGCCTGCCAGATGCTCCCAGGTTGAGGGCATAGTGAAAGGGTCAATGTTTAGTATGAGGTGCAAGCCTAGAATCCAAAAAGGACCACTGAGGACTTCACAGACTCAGGAGAGGAGGAAGTGTTTTCTACAGCAGACAGTCTGGGACACACGGATGACATCGACACGGATGACATCGAGTGCTCAGTCCGCCTGATGTGCGCTGGACCTGCCTTGTCTCCTCAGGGGACCCGTGATGACACTTTCACAAAAGGCACTGTGTGAAGCGCGGAAGGGCTGCCAGGACGAGCCCGGGTGGACTGAGGGCCCAGGAAGGAGCAGGTAGGGGCGTGTGTCCCACCGTCTCAGTGGCCTGCGCGGGGTGGGGAGGGGGAGCGATGAGGACTGACCCGAGCCATGGGGGTGGGCGCTGGCGAGACTTGTCCCCCACGAGGTGGCCCGGGCTGGGCGGGAGGGCAGGGCCGCAGGGAGCATGCTGGAGAGAGAGAGAGACCGCCCCGCAGGGATGGGGCTGCGGAGGGGTGGGCTGTCCACAGGGCAGGGCGCTGGAGGCCTGTGGGAACAAGCAGACGGAGGCTCCTCCAGGAAGGCTCACCCGAGGCTCGCAGGCACTCCCCTCTAGGAATCTACAACACAAAGAGAAACAGAAAGAGAAACTCTCTGTTAGAGAGGAAGGCGCGGGTTCCAGGCGGGCATTTTGCTCTTGGCTACAAACTGCACCGCCCTGGGAGGGGAGGGTAGTGGGAGGGGAGGGATGGGAGGGGGCGTCTTAGAGCAATCGGTTACCACAGGGCGGGTCTGAGATGAGGAACTTTCACGGTTTTCTCTCTAGCCTTTAGCTGGTCTTTCCTTCAGAGTTAAGAGAAGCCCAAACAGGAGACTGATGAGGCCATCCGCCCCAACTCGTCTTTCTCATAAGTTTAGTTTTGAGAGAAAGTAAGAAACGGAGGCCGGGGCTGGGCGCCGTGGCTCATGCCTGTAATCCCAGCACTTTGGGAGCCTGAGGCAGGCAGATCACGAGGTCAGGAGTTCAAGACCAGCCTGGCTAACATGGTGAAAACCCATCTCTATTAAAAATACAACAATTAGCCTGGCGTGGTGGCAGGTGCCTGTAATCCCAGCTACTTGGGAGGCTGAGGCAGAAGAATCGCTTCAACCCAGGAGGCGGAGGTTGCAGTGAGCTGAGATCGGGCCACTGCACTCCAGCCTGGACAACAGAGCAAGACTCCGTCTTAAAAAAAAAAAAAAGGAAACGGAGGTTGGGTGCAGTGGCTCATACCTGTAATCCCAGCACTTTGAGAGGCTGAAGAGGGAGGATGCATGAGCTCAGGAGTTCAAGACCAGCCTGGGCCACAACATAGCCAGACCTCATCTCTACAAAAAATTAAAAAAAAATTAACCAGCATGTTGGCATGCGCCTGTAGTCCCGGCTATTCGGGAAGATGAGTTGGAAGGATGGCTTGAGCCCAGGGAGGTCGAGGCTGCAGCGAGCCAGGATCACACCACTGCACTTCAGCTTGGGCAACAGAGTGAGAATTCAACTCCAGAAAAAAAAGAAAAGAAAAGAAATGCATCAATTTCCTAGAATGGTACAAGGAACATGAAGGTCCAATTCTCTCAGAAGGAAACTCTTGGCTCTTCAGCAGTACAATGTAAAATCTTTGGTGAAAAGGAAAACCTGTTGTTCTGTATTCATTCCGCAATAAACCGTGAAAAGCTCTTCATCTCAAGGAGAGAGAAAAGAAACAAAAGAAACACAGACTTCTCAGGCCCTGAGTGCACGCAAGATCAGAAACAGGGGAGGTGCCATCATTTAAAGGAGGAGGTAGGGGTGGGAGGCAGAATTTTTAAAAAAGCATTGGGCTAGAAAATCCCCTATTACTGGAGATGAAAGAGTTAAATATTCATATTACACAGAATAATTTTCTTGGAAACATGAAAAGTCACTTAAAATACACAATACTGAGAAAAAATATAACATTTATTAGAGAAGCAGATACGAGGGTACAACTAAAAGATGCCAGACAGAGTCTTTTAGGATAAGAATAGAAAGAGACAATCATGTTGCTGTATTCAAACAAAACTTACTCAGAACCCCAGAGTTTATAATAAACTCAAGTGCGGAGCCGCAGCGGGGACCTAGCTCCCCATGCGAGAGGCTTCGCGGCTTTCCGGCAGTTATAAAAACAGAAAGGTCATTAGGCAGCAGGAGAACCCATAAAACAAACAGATAAAAGTACAACATTAAAACAACTCATTCGAGTACTGCTTTTAGTTTTTAAGTTGCAGTATATACACACGTATTCTGTGGGGGGAATTATGAAAATATTTAACAGAGAGCAATCGAAGAACCAAAAAACCACAAAAGAAAGTCACAATCCAATTGACCCACCGGAAGTTACTCTAGTCTAAATATTTTGGCAATTATTAAATAAGCACATCGTAGACACACACACACACACACACACACACACACACACACACACACACACACACAAAAAGGTTGACCGGCATTATAAAAATAAAACAGCTGCACTGAGTTATGGGCCTAAGAAAACAGTGGCTTTGCCCACATCAGATGGGTTGAAGGAGGGCAGTGTTTGTGGGCAAGTTGGACAGAGTTATAAACAGAGTAGGCAGGAAAAGCTTCTCTGTACATATTATTAATCTCTAAGTGTAACTTTCAAATAAAAGGAGAAAATTATATAAGTAGCTGAGATTTTGCTGCTTTTATATTAACAGACAACTGCTAGAAGATAATAAAGTATACTTTGGGTGGAAATGGAAATTCCTGATTCTTTGGAATTTGGTTTTCTAATATTTCATGCATTGATGCGATGGACCTGAAATTTACAAAATATCTTTTAACTGTTTAGTCAATATTACAGAGATTCACCTGTTATAGTACTGAGGCATACAACTTAATGATCGTACATTTAAAATTATCATCATAAATTTATGTGCCCAAACCCCTCCCACCCCATTCCCCCTGAAACCAACTGAGCTATTTTCTGAATTAAATTTGAATAACGAAATAAATTTGAATAATCAAGAAAAAAATACACAGCTTGACAGAATGCCTTTTTTCAAAGCAGACTTTCACAAGGTTAATGTCGTCTTGCCCTATTTTCGAGTTTTTCAGTGGTTAGTTTGCTTTGTCCAGGAGTTCACAGACTGGAAATGAGTTTGTCATCGGATAGAAAGGTCAGATTTTAATACCTTAGGTTTCCCATTCACTTGTTTACTGGGTAAAGCTGGAAACTTCCTACTGCTCATTTAAACAGATCCTTGTGGTTGAAGGGTCAGCTGATTTTCTTGCTGCAATATCTACAAAGAGGCCTGGGGTCGGGATGGGTGGCTTTATTGATACTATGCCAGCAAAAGTATCCAAAAGAAATTTGGGCCTGGCACGGTGGCTCACCCTGTAATCCCAGCACTTTGGGAGGCTGAGGCGGGCGGATCACTTGAGCCCAAGAGTTTGAGACAAGCCTGGCCAACATGGTGAAAACCTGTCTTTACTAAAAAAAAAAAAAAATACAAAGATTAGCCGGGTGTGGTGGCAGGCACCTGTAATCCCAGCTACTGGGGAGGCTGAGGCACAAGAATTACTTGAACTCGGGAGGCAGAGGTTGTAGTGAGCCAGGATTGTATCATTGCCCTTGAGTCTAGGTGACAGAGTGAGACTCTGTCTCAAAAAAAAAAAAAAAAAAAAAAAAAGCCAGGCACGGGCTCATGCCTGTAATCCCAACACTTTGGGAGGCTGAGGTGGACAGATCATGAGGTCAGGAGATCAAGACCATTCTGGCTAACACGGTGAAACCCTGTCTCTACTAAAAATACAAAAAATTAGCTGGGCATGGTGGCACACGCCTGTAGTCCCAGCTACTTGGGAGGCTGAAGCAGGAGAATCGCTTGAACTCAGGAGGCAGAGGTTGCAGTGAGCCAAGATTGTGCCACCGCACTCCATCCTGGCGACAGAGCGAGACTCCATCTCAAAAAAAAAAAAAAAAAAAGTTTTTTAAAAAATCAGGCTGTCACTAAATAAAGGTTAACTGGCTGTGAGAATCTTGAAACACGGCCCCTAGCATCCAGAACCCCTACTAGGTTCTAGAGCCCGAATGTGCAGCTACTGCTTGGAAAATCAGCTTTAAATGGACTTGAGCTGATCAAATGAACCCACAATGTAGAGGCAGGCAGGGGCTAATTTCCTACTTGAAAGTAGGAAGGACACAAGGAAATAATTTTCAAAATCAAATAAAAAGAGAATCTGACCCAACACCTTCATTCTGACCCATTTGTAGTGGGTTGTCTATGATCTCGGGGTGGATTCTGGAAATGGGCACAGTGAAATGCCTGGCAACCATCTACGCATGTGACCAACTTCACTATCTCCCCTCCCACATCAATGCCAATTTAAAAATGCAAATTCTCATGTGGCCTAGATTCCTTTCGATGTGGTGAGACATTTTACTTCATTCTGGCTACAGTTAATTGTATAAAATGAGCCAGAAATTCTAAAATAATTTCCAGTAAATCCAAACCTTGCCAATGATTAAAAGCAGAAACAAAACAAAACAAAAACAACAACAACAAAAAAACAAAAGCAAACCCCCAAAGTCTTTGAACAGCAATGTGCTGAGATCTGTGTCTGTGGGGAGAAGCATTTGCTGCCACACCACGTTCTCTTTATAGCCCCACCTGGGCAAGCGTGAGTGCAGCTCTACTTGGAAAACCAACAGAAACCGAACCAAGTGTGAGAGGAAATCACAGCCAAAAGGAGCTGATGCAGGGACACGCTCTGCCTTTTAAGTAACTCCATCTAAACAGCACTAGCACATCTGATCAACTGTCAATTTGGGCCAGGTGCGGTGGCTCACGCCTATAATCCCAGCACTTTGGGAGGCAGAAGCAGGCAGATCACTTGAGGTCAGGAGTTTGAGACCAGCCTGGCCAACAGAGCGAACCCGTCTCTACTAAAAATACAAAAATTAGCCAGGCGTGGTGGTGCACACCTGTAATCCCAGCTACTCGGGAGGCTGAGGCAGGAGAATCGCTTGAACCTGGGGGAGGCGGAGGTTGCAGTGAGCCACTGTACTCCAGCCTGGGCAACAGAGCCAGACTCTGTCTCAAAACAACAACAACAACAAAAACACAAACACAACAACAAAAACCTGTCAATTTGATGACACTTGGAAAATCAGCAATGCAATGTAAAAATCAAGTGGTCAATTCACCAAACTTTTCCAGATTTCAGCTGGTTGTCTGGGATCATGTAGATGGAACAGGGTACTCGTGATGCCCTACCAAGGATGCTGACCAGGTTTAAGTAAAAACACACACTTTTGGTGCCAATATAAGAATCTTATTTACTGCTTTAGTCAAGAAGGAGATGTTATTTCACTTGTGACTTCCTCCCAAGTGAATGAGTATACAATTTAACAAACTAACACAGTTCAGTTTATTAAGTTACAATCTGTAACCACCTAATGTAGCTCAGTGTATGGTGGATACTAGATATAAACAAGAGTAGGGAAGTCTTTGGCACCTGCATGATGCGTGCCGGCTTTTAAATTCAGAAAGATGAGAAGCTACAATGCAACTTTTTTTTTAATCTACAGATACCGCCAAAAGAAGAAATGTTTATCAGATTTTGAATGACATAGCTGTAAGTTGGCGGTTGGCAGCTTTCCACATAAAATTTCATCAGCAAGTGAAACTTGATTACAGCCCAAACTAGACAAGGCAATTCAGGTGCCCAGACCCTGAAGTCCACGTGAGACTACAGGAGAACGTGCATTATGGTGCTTGCCAGCCAGTCTCTTGAGGAACTGCCTGTAACAGTCATGGTTGTGGGGAGAAACAACTCCATTTTTTTTAAGTTTTTTTTTTTTATGGTATTAAATATAAGTCTTAGCACCTTTGGCATTTTTGTCCAAACAGACTTCGACATATGAAGTGGGGACATAACCCTCTTCATCTTCATTTCTCCGAATGCGGGTCCAGCCATCGCCTTTGTCTTCCTCTATGACATACAATGTTTCTCCTTCAACTACGGAAATCGTTCCTTCATTCTGACCTGAAAAAGCAATATCAGGATATGTTAGATGTCTTGGCAAATGCAGGGAGGAAGCAAACAGTGGCCTTCGCAATGAAACAAGTGTCGTCGAAGATGAAGTCCACACAAAATTCACCCCACTCGGACCTTCTCAGATGCACGGACCCCTCACCCACTGCCTCAAAACCATCTCCTTCTGCACAGAAATGTCCAGGTTCTTACCTCTGTCTCTCTAGGGACCCTCTCTAAGTCCTCCAGGGCCCTCTTTCTCCTCCCTCCCAGAATGGTAAGTATTTCTCACTGGATAAATCTTTGGTTCTCTTCTCTAGTCTTCTTCTGTCTCACTTGGATCTCTCTCAGGAGAAAGGTACCCTCGTGGCTCCAACTGCTTCTCTTTTGTCTGTTATTTTTTGGGGGGGTTGTGGGGGATGGAGTCTTGCTCTTGTTGCCCAGGCCAGAGTGCTGTGGTGCAATCTCAACTCACTGCAACCTCCACCTCCCCGGTTCAAGCGATTCTCCTGTCTCAGCCTCCCGAGCAGCTGAGACTATAGGTGTGCACCACCACACCCGGCTAACCTTTCTATTTTTAGTAGAGATGGGGTTTCACCATGTTGGTCAGGCTGGTCTGACTCCTGACCTTAGGTGATCCACCAGCCTCAGCCTCCCAATTTTTTTGTTGTTGTTGTTTGTTTGTTTTGAGACAGAGTCTTGCTCTGTTGCCCAGGCTGGAGTGTGATGCCACTTGTCCCGGGTTCAAGTGATTCTCCTGCCTCGGCCTCCCGAGTAGCTGAGATTACAGGCATGTGCCACCACGCCCGGCTAATTTTGTATTTTTAGTAGAGACGAGGTTTCACCATGTTGGTCAGGCTGGTCTTGAACTCCTGACCTCAGGTGATCCACCCGCCTCGGCCTCCCAAAGCGCTGGGATTACAGGCGTGAGCCACCACGCCCGGCCCAACTGCTCCTCTTTAAACACTGTCCTCACATATTGCTTCCATTCTGGTACTTTCTGCAGCCAAGATTCCACTTTTCCCACTGTCTGCAGCACACTGCCACCTAGACATGGCCCCAACACCTGAAACAACATAGATGAACCTGGATTCACTGTTCTTCCTCCTAACTATATCCTCCTGCTTTTCCACTTCCCTAGACCTCTCTGTCCTCCCAGGAATGCAACTCTGGGAGCCGTCTTGGATTTCCTCTCCTTTTTGTTCCTGGCTTTTGATCAGCCCCGAATATATGCAGTTTGTCAATGGCGGCATCTCTGTATCCATTCCTTGAACAAGGCCCCCAAGACCTTCTGCTAGGATCATTTCAAAGGCTGCCCACCACCCCCCAGTTTTCTGCAAGGCAAAGAGTTTAGGGAGCTGTTAACAGGGCAACAGGGTACGGTGGGGGATGGTTGGAATATGAAGTAAAACTGGGAACGTTTAAACTGGTACGTCTTTCTTATTTTGTCACAATGAACATTTAGTCTATTAAAGGCTCTGAAAAGTCCTGTAGTAAAGAAATCTGTAAAATTTATTTATCCCAGGGCTTCCCAAACTTACTTGAGCTCTGATTGCTAGTTTTAAAAATTTATTCATTATATTAAAATGCAACTTTTTCGTAATTTTATTTATTTATTTATTTATTTTTTAGAGAGGGTTTCACACTATCGCCTAGGCTGGAGTGCAGTGGTACGATCATAGCTCACTGTAGCCCTGAACTCTTGGCCTCAGCCTCCCAAAGTGCTGGGATTACAGGTGTGAGCCACTGAGCCTGGCCTGAGAGCTTCTTTCATGGCCTCCTTATTAACGCTCTGCAGGACATCGTTTCAAGGTTCATTGGTTTAGAAACACTAAGCTAGTTTATCTTTTCTTTCTTTTTTTTGAGACAGAGTTGCCCTCTGTTGCCCATACTGGAGTACAATGGCACGATCTTGGCTCACTGCAACCTCTGCCTCCTGGGTTCAAGCAATTCTCATGCTTCAGCCTCCCGAGTAGCTGGGATTACAGGCGCCCGCCACCACGCCTCACTGATTTTTGTATTTTTAGTAGAGACGGGGTTTCATCATGTTGGGCAGGCTGGTCTAGAACTCCTGACCTCAGGTGATCTGCCTGCCTCAGCCTCCCAAAGTTCTAGGATTACAGGCGTGAGCCACCATGCCCGGCCTGGGCTAGTCTTTCTAACCATCCTCCATGTCTTCCAGTGGATCCTACACATCTGACGATGACTTTCCTAAGGTACAGCTCTGACTGCATCGACACCCTGCTAGGGGACCTCCCATAGCTCCTCAATGTTTGCCACATAAAACCCAGATGTTTCCCTACCTCGCCCCCATTGGCACTTCCCACTCTTTAGTGCCACATTTCACTATTAGGACTTAAGACATCTAAGCTCCAGCCACACCACACCCATTTCTGGCCACACCCCCCATGCCATGGCAAGTTCTCCAAACTTCCTTAAGGAAGCGACCTCATTCTCCCCTGTCCTCCCCGTTCCTCTGTATCCCTCTTCTGGCAAACACTGCAAACTGCCTGCTTTTTTTTTTTGAGAGGGAGTCTTGCTCTGTTGCCAGGCTGGAGTAAAGTGGCACGACCTCGGCTCACTGCCACCTCCGACTCCTGGTTTAAGTGAGTCTCCTGCTTCAGCCTCCCAAGTAGCTGGAATTACAGGCATGCGCTACCACGCTTAGCTGATTTTTGTATTTTTAGTAGAGATGGGGTTTCACCATGTTGGCCAGGATGGTCTCGATCTCCTGACCTCACGATCCGCCTGCCTCGGCCTCCCAAAGTGCTGGGATTACAGGCGTGAGCCACTGCACCCAGCCGCTGCTTGCTCCTTAAGTGTGTCTGCCTGATTTCCCTCTGGGCAGGTGCCATATCATACGACCTGCATCCCCCCACTTCATGGGCCTTTACAAGACAGGAGCGCTATAGATACTAGATATTAAATGAATGGATGAAATGATCATCCTCCCTATCGTCTGCTGCAGTGAAGCAAGCTCTCTGGAAGCTGTTAAGTTATACGAACCAAAAGTCAAAATATACAACCAAATAATAATCATACCATGAGTAGGATAAAAGCATAGTAGAGAAGGATCTGGAAGGCTGCTGCTGCAGCTTTTTTTTTTTTTTTGAGACAGAGTCTCGTTCTGTCACCCAGGCTGGAGTACAGTGGCGCTATCTCAGCTCACTGCAACCTCCGCCTCCCGGGTTCAAGTGATTCTCGTGCCTCAGCCTCCCGAGCAGCTGGGATTACAGGCGCCTGCCAGCATGCCCAGCCAGTTTTTGTATTTTTAGTAGAGATGGGATTTCACCATGTTGGCGAGGCTGGTCTTGAACTCCTGGCCTCAAGTGACCTGCCCGCCTCAGCCTCCCAAAGTTCTAGGATTACAGGTGTGAGCCACCATGCCCGGCCAGATCTGGAAGGCTTCTAAAGAAAGTTCTGGTCACAGAAAGAGAAGAGTGTGGCTAGGCACAGTGGCTCACACCTGTGATCACAGCACTTTGGGAGGCTGAGGCAGGAGTACTGCTTGAATCCAGGAGTTCAACACCAGCCTGGGCAACATAGTGAGACCCTGTCTCTACTGAAAAGTACAAAAAGTACAAAAGTACAAAAATGAGCCGGACATGGTGGTGCTTGCCTGTAGTCCCAGCTACTCAGGAGGCTGAGGTTGGAGGATCACTTGAGCCCAGGAGGTCAAGGCTGCAGTGAGCCATGATTGCACCACTGCACTCTAACTTGGGCAAGAGAGCGAGACCCTGTATGAAAAAAAGGAAGGAAGGAAGGAAGGGAAGGAAGGGAAGGAAGGGAAGGGAGGGAAGGGAAGGGAAGGAAGGAAGGGGAAGGGGAAGGGGAAGGGGAAGGGAAGGTAGGAAGGAAGGAAGGAAGGACAAAGGAATAAAAATGATCAGAAGGAAGGAAGGAAGGAAAAGTGAAAGAAGAGTAACTCAGATATTATGGTTTATAAAAGGCAGGGGAATCCAGCAGACATGAAATGTCACCTTCAAATGTGTAGAGAGCTTTGCACGTCCCTATGGCAGGGAGGGGCTCCTCATCATCAAACTCGTCGTCAAAATCCGTGGCCAGCACCTTCATCTCACTCTCCTGACTCTGCTCCTCTGTGTAACTGCCATCTGGGCTGCTCAAGAAAGGAAAACACAAAGCAACTAAAGCGACTGACCCCAGGGAGGACTCAGATTGAGTCCCTGCGACTGGAGAGCACTTGCAACCCCGCCCCTCAGCGAGTGCTGTAACTGAGGCCATGGTAAATCATCGCACGCTCAGATCACCCATCCCATGTGGAATTATAAATCTGCATCATGGAAAAAGTGACAGGTCAATCGCAACAGACATTTTGGCATTGAACAAGTGCCTTATGGTCATTCCAGATTCCAAAATTTAGAAATAAATACAAAGCCAACAGGCTCCCTTGCCAGAGGCAGGCGCTGTGCAGATACTGTACCTCTCACGGTCCTGGGCGCAGTTGTTGACTGTGGGTGGGTTCTGGCTGTCGTACAGTCCGCTCTGCCGGCGCGCCTGCTCGCTGCGTGCTGGGAGCCGGCCTTCAACCTCAGCCAGCCAGGCCTGGAGACAAAAGCAATGAGAGACTCCAACCTAAGGCCATCTGAGGGTCAGCCCAGAGTGTCCTAAGGTCCCAAAGGCCATCTGAGGGCCAGCCCGGAGCATCCTAAGGTCCCAAACTCAGGGGCTACTCTTGGCCATTTAACCCAATGTGAGGAAGTCCACGTGGGGGCAGAATGGCCACGTTTTCTGCCTTCGACTGTTCAAATGTACTGAAGGACGGTTGCTTCCATTTCACCCGAAGTTGGAGACATAGAAACAAACTCATATTTATGTGGTTGCCCACGATGGGGCAGAAAGCACACTGGACTATGCTATCCCCTTGGGCTTTTAAGCAGCAGTGCAGTCTTGGATAAGTCACTTCTAGTTCCTTCTTGACCATGAGGTCGCCCTGTGATACCTGAAGGTACAGCCATGCTTAAAGCAGTGACTCAGTTTGAAAGCCACACTTCCTATTTTTTAGGAGTGTAACTTTTTTTTTTGATAGAAATGAAACTTGTACTTAAAAATTAAAGTAGATAAAATGACCTTCAGCATTTGAAACAGTATAAACAAGTCAAAGGAATAAAAATGACGAGAAGGCCGGGCGCGGTGGCCACACCTGTAATCCCAGCACTTTGGGAGGCCGAGGTGGGTGAATCACTTCAGGTTGGGAGTTTCAGACCAGCCTGGCCAACATGGTGAAACGCTGTCTCTACTAAGAGTACAAAAATTAGCTGGGGGTGGTGGTGAGCGCCTGTAATCCCAGCACTTTGGGAGAGGTGGGCAGATCACCTGAGGTCAGGAGTTCGAGACCAGCCTGGCCAACATGGTGAAACTCCATCTCCATTAAAAATACAAAAATTAGCTGGGCATGGTGGCACATGCCTGTAGTCCCAGCTACTCGGGAGGCTGAGGCACGAGAATCACTGGAACTCAGGAGGTGGAGGTTACAGTGAGTCGAGACTGCACCACTGCACTCCAGCTTGGGTGACAGAGCGAGACTCTGTCTCAAAAAAAAGAATAATAATAAGAAAAGGACCGTTCTAAGTTCTAAATGCTCAAATGAACATTAATGATGGATTCTGAAAAGAATGGAAAAAGCTGGCCAGGTGTGGTGGCTCACGCCTGTAATCCCAGCACTTTGGGAAGCCAAGGTGGGTGGAGCATCTGAGGTCAGGAGTTCGAGACCAGCCTGGCCAACATGGCAAAACCCTGTCTCTACCAAAAATACAAAAAGTAGCCGGGTGTGGTGGTACACACCTGTAGTCCCAGCTACTCAGGAGGCTGAGGCAGGAGAATCACTTGAACCTGGGAAGTGGAGGTCACACTGAGGTGAGATCACGCTACTACACTCCAGCCTGGGCAACAGGGCGAGACTTCATCTCAAAAAAAAGAATGAAAAAAGCCATAGTTGACCCTTCATTGCTGGAAACAATCTATTCTGACTGGTAGAATCGGTTGCTAATGTATTTTTCCATGCTCTGTAGTCTTTAAACGTGGTAGGGAGAGTGGGTTCAGGAGGCTTTTGTTGACAGCTTTTGAGTGCTCCTCTCCCTCCCTCAAGCTTTGATTATTTATGTTTCCTGCTTGTTTCTCCTTTGTGTTTGCTGCTGGTTCTCACACACACCCTTTCCATAATGGGCCTGCTGAGAGAACAATTGTATATTTCAGGGGATTTTTTTCATTGCTTCTTTGATTCACTGGGATAACGGATCGCTCTATACTCCCAATTTTATTACCATGAGATGAAGCAGAATAACTTAAAGTACAAAAAATACTGGCCAGGCACAGTGGCTCACAGTGGCTCACAGCTGTAATCCCAGCACTCTGGGAGGCCAAGGTGGGAGGATGGCTTAAGGCCAGGAGTTCAAGACCAGTCTGTGCAACAGAGCAAGACCTCAACTCTAAAACAAATAAAAAATTGAAAAATAAAAGTTAGCCAGGTATGGTGGCATGTGCCTGTAATCCCAGCTCCTCAAAGGCTGAGCCAAGGAGATCAAGGCTGCAGTGAGCTACAAGCATGCCACTGTACTCCAGCCTGGGCAACAAAGCAAAATCCTGTCTCTAAAATTAAAAAACAACCCCGCCAACCCCGCACCGTATACAGATACAACATTAAACATTGTCAGGTTTTACAGCCACGATTAAGATAGGCTATGATGAGTAGGAGAATGTTCAACGGCGAAGAGTGTATTTTTCCTTTGACCATAACTCCTGAAACAGCCTGCCATTCCCACTGTGTACCTCCCAGTGAGAGGATCGTCAGGGCCCCACACCATTCTACACCGAGGAACACCTGTTCTTCGTTTCCAACAAAGCTTTCCACAACAGAAGTTTCATACCTCAAATTTCTGGGTCTCTACTCGCAGTTTCTCTATATTTTGGCTGACTTCTGCTAATTTGTGATCCAAACTGGCTGGGTCTCCCATCTGAGGATTCTTTAGGTAGACATCTTTCATTTTTGTTATGGCATCTCTGAAAGAAAGAACGAGTAGAATGCTGTAAAGGTTACTCCATTTTTTTTTTAGACAGTTTCACTCTTGTCACCCAGGCTGGAGTGCAATGGTGCGATCTCGGCTCACTGCAACGATCTTGGCTCACTGCAACCTTCACCTCCAGGGTTCAAGCAATTCTGCTGCCTCAGCCTCCAGAATAGCTGGGATTACAGGTGCATGCCACCACACCCACCTAATTTTTGTATTTTTAGTAGAGATGGGGTTTTGCCACGTTGGCCAGGCTGGTCTTGAACTCCTGACCTTAGGTGATCTGCCTGCCTCAGCCTCCTAAAGTGCTGGGATTATAGGCGTGAGCTACCGCACCACCCGGCAAAGGTTACTCTTATCAGCCAATATTCTACCACTTTGAAAGCCATATGAATGGAAACGTGGGAAGATTAGAGTATGGATAAGGGACTATTGGGCCAGCTTCCATTCTGGAAATTCTCTATAGGAATTCTGCTACCAATGGCTATAAATAAAGAAGCTGATTTTTCAATTTCAGTTCTCTTCTCTAATGGTTATCTCCTTATTGTCCCCAATAACTGAGAAGCATAAATTAATCCTGCCCTTCCCTTTGCCACACAGATAAAATAAATAAATAAATAAAAGCCAATACTTTAAAAATTTTTAATTAATTAATTTATTTTTGAGACCAGGTTATGAGACTGGCTAATTTTTGTATTTTTGGTAGAGACTGCGTTTTGCCATGTTGCCCAGGCTGGTCTTGAACTCCTGGCCTCAAGCAATCCACCTGCCTCGGCCTCCCAAAGTGCTGGGATTACAGGCATGAGCCACCGAATCTGGCTTCAAAACCCAAGTATTTCCAACATGGTGAAACCCCGTCTCTACTAAAATTACAAAAATTAGCCAGGCGTGATGGCATGTCCCCTTAATCCCAGCTACTTGGGAGGCTTAGGCAGGAGAATCACTTGAACCCAGGAGGTGGAGGTTGCAGTGAGCCGAGATCACGCCACTGCACTCCAGCCTGGGCGACAGAGCAAGACTCCATCTCAAACAAAACAAAACAAACAAACAAAAACCCCCAAATATTTCCACGTGTGCATTCTTCATGCAAACCAAAGCTACAGCTGGCATCCTGGGTCTCACGGGCTGCATGTGCTCACCTGACGAAGAAGCACAGTCAATTGCTTTGGAAATGTTAACACACACCCATTTCCACTGTTAAGAAACTGAATCCATAGTTGGTATCCACGACAGGTAAGTGACAGAGCCTTAAAGCTACACACTGTGGATCCCACATCCTTCCTGAAATCATGTCTGGAAGCAGCCCATGGTAGCCCGGGCAGGCATCCCTAGAGAAGTTTGGGGCATGTTTGGGTTGAAGACCAAAGAGCTCTACTAATTTTACCCTTGTTGCAGGGCACTTTTGGTAGGCTTCGAGTCATTAAAAATTTAGAGCAAATGACTGCCAGGGTTAAGGGCCAACTTTGATGAGTGTCAGCAAAAGAAAATCCAAAGCAGGCCATACAATACAATAGAAGGCCAAAAGACAAACCAAAAGATACATTCTGAGTCATGAGAAATAGTTTAACTAAAAATATAGAAATAACAGGAAGAGAGCTTCTACAAGTCCTCACCACCCTCCACCTAAGAGGCTGAGACCCACTTGGACTTCCAGCCGCTTTATCTTGTTTCTTTCCTCTCTTCCTTCCTTCCTATCTTCCTTATTTCCTTCCTGCCTTCTTTCCCACAGCATGCATCATTCATTATTATTATGCTTATTGTTCACTGTCTGTCTCCTCCTGTTACAATGGAAGCTCTTGGAGGAAGCTCTATGAGCTCAAGTTACATTGTTAACTTGATGGATCCCAAGTGTCGAAGCCATCCTTGGCACATAGTAGATGCTCAATGAATATTTGTTAAATAAATACATATTTAAATAAACATTTAAAAATCATGTTTATAAATAATTTTTAAACATTTTTAAATAATGTTAAATGTTCTTAAAAATGTTTAAATAAACATTTATTTATTTAACAAATAACAAACATGACAAGCCAAGTGTAATGTTGTCCACCCTTATGATGTCCTTTCCGAAACCCGTCTCGTCTCTTGACTTCATGGCCCACACCTCCCACTACCTCCCTATTTCTCAGCAAAAGCCCTCAACAGAGTTGTCTATATCCATTATCTTTAGCTTCTCTCCTCCCAGTCTTTCCTAATCAATCTTTCCACATGTTTATCAACTTTATTGATCTTTTTAAGGAAGAACTTTTGGATCTGTTGAATTGTGTGTGTGTGTGTGTGTGTATATATATATATATATATTTTGTTAATTATTTTTGAGATAGGGTCTTACTCTGTCGCCTAGGCTGGAATGCAGTGGTATGATCTTGGCTCACTGCACCCTCTGCCTCCCGGGTTCAAGCGACTCTCCTGCCTCAGCCTCCTGAGTAGCTGGGACTACAGGCGCCCCATCATGCCCAGCTAATTTTTGTATTTTTAGTAGAGACAGGGTTTTGCCATGTTGGCCAAGCTGGTCTTGAACTCCTGACCTCAGATGATCCACCCACCTCAGTCTCCAAAGTGCTGGGATTCCAGGCATGAGCCACCATGCCCAGCCGCTTCTATTTCCTTTGGGCTTAATTTGCTGTTCTTTTTCCGACTTCTTGAGATAGATCGTAAGTGAGGATCTAAGTGAGCTAAGGCTCAGTGATTTTTACCTCTGTTTTTAATATGCATTCAGAGCAATAAATCTCTCTATATGCGTGGCTTTAAGGACATCCCACAAACTATATATAGAATGTATGTTAAAGTTCAATTCTATTTCATATACTTTCTAATATCTACTATGATTTTTTGTTTAGTTTGTGGCTTATTTAGAGGCATATTTCTTTTTTTTTTTGTTTTTTTTTGAGACTGAGTTTTGCTCTTGTTGCCTAGGCTGGAATGTAATGGCGCGATCTCAGCTCACTGCAACCTCTGCCTCCTGGGTTCAAGCGACTCTCCTGCCTCATCCTCCCGAGTAGCTGGGATTACAGACATGCGCCACCACGCCTGGCTAATTTTGTATTTTTAGTAGAGATGGGGTTTCTTCATGTTGGTCAGGCTGGTGTTGAACTCCCGACCTCAGGTGATCTGCCTGCCTCAGCCTCCCAAAGTGCTGGGATTACAGGCATGAGCCACCGCGCCTGGCCAATTTCTTAATATTTGTTATTGGTATCCAGCTTAATTGCAGAATATAGATAATATAGCTTGAATGATACATTTCCTTTGATATTTATTGAGATTTGCTTTGTGAAACAAAGATATACTCAATTTTGAAAATGTTCTTATGTGGGCTTGAAAAGAGTGTTGATATGGTTTAGCTGTGCCCTGGCCCAAATCTCATCTTGAATTGTAGCTCCCATATCCCCATGTGTCATGGGAGGGACCCAGTGGGAAGTAATTGAATCATGGGGGCGGTTTTTCCCAGGCTGCTCTCGTAATAGTGAGTCTTATGAGCTCCAATGGTTTTATAAAGGGCAGTTCCCTTGCACAAGCTCTGCCGAATGCCACCATGTAAGACATGCCTTTGCTCCTCCTTTGCCTTCCGCCATGATTGTGAGGCCTCCCTATCCATGTGGAACTATGAGTCCATGAAACCTCTTTTTCTTTATAAATTACTCAGCCTCAAATATGTCTTTATTAGCAGCATGAGAATGGGCTAATACAGTGTGTGCCCTGCAGTTGTTAGATGTTTATGTATTAGGTCAATGTTACTAAATGTATAATTTAAGTCTTCTATACTAACTTTGAGCACTTTTTTTTTTTGAGACAGAGTCTCGCTCTGTTGCCAGGCTGGAGTGCAGCAGCACAGTCTTGGCTCACTGCAACCTCTGACTCCCTGGTTGAAGGGATTCTCCTGCCTCAGCCTCCCTAGTAGCTGGGATTACAGGCACACACCACCACTCCCAGCTAATTTTTGTATTTTTAGTAGAGATGGGGTTTCACCATGTTGGCCAGGATGGTCTCAATCTCCTGACCTCGTGATCCGCCCGCCTCCGCCTCCCAAAGTGCTGGGATTACAGGCGTGAGCCACTGCGCCTGGCCCAAGCACGTTTTTTTTTTTTCTTTCCTTTTATTCAGCCCAAAAGCCAGCCTTGTAACACCAGTTTCCTTTTGATTGGCCCTTGCATGGTATATCTTCTCTCCCATTTTTTTACTTCTACATTTCTAGAGCTTATAAGTTAGATGTGTCTTTTGTAGATAGCATACATTGCTTTGTGTATTGGGTTTTTAATTTTTTGGTCCATTCTGAGAATATCTTTTAATTGAAACACGTAGTTTGTTTACCTTTAACATATTGATTCATTTTATTTCGCAGACACTTATGTGCCAGGCACGGTTCCAAGCATGTTATGCACACTGACACATCAGCAGTAGTAACTGATAGAGCCAGATTTGACCCCAGGGTATCTGGAGTGCTTGGTATTTAACATCTATCATCCTACTTTGTGCTTTTTTCTTGGAGACGGGGTCTTGCTCTGTTGCCCAAGGTGGAATGCAGTGGTATACCTCTTGAGACAGATCCTTAGCTCTTGCTAGGAGTGAGGGTGTGTGTGTGTGTGTGTGTGTGTGTGTGTGTGTGTGTGTGTGTGTTATTTGACTGGCTTTTCCTACAGCTGTTTTAATGAATGCACCTTCCCCTCACAGAGGCCCTCCTCCTCTATGGCATCTCTGCTTTATGGCAAATGGGTTTTGATTTTTTTGTTTTGTTTTGAGACAGAGTCTCGCTCCATCACCCAGGCTGGAGTGCAGTGGCGCAATCTCGGCTCACTGCAAGCTCCGCCTCCCGGGTTCATGCCATTCTCCTGTCTCAGCCTCCCAAGTAGCTGGGACTATAGGCGCCCGCCACCATGCGAGCTAATTTTTTGTAATTTTAGTAGAGACAGGGTTTCACCGTGTTAGCCAGGATGGTCTCGATCTCCTGACCTTGTGATCTGCCCGCCTCGGCCTCCCAAAGTGCTGGGATTACAGGTGTGAGCCACTGTGCCCAGCTGGGTTTTGATTCTTAAGCAAACAGCTCACTGCAGCCTCCACCTCCCAGGCTAAAGCAATTCTCCCCACCTCAGCCTCCCAAGTAGCTGGGACTACAGGTGTGCCATCACACCCAGCTACTTTTGTTTATTTTTGTAGAGATGGGGTCTCACTATGTTGCCAAGGCTGGTCTCTCTCTCTTTTTTTTTTTTTTTTTGAGATAGGGTCTCACTCTGTTGCCCAGGCTGGAGTGCAGTGGCATGATCATAGCTCACTGCAGCCAGGACCTCCTGGGCTCAGGTGATCCTTCCACTTCAGCCTCCCAAATAGCTGGGACTACAGGTGCACACCATCATGCCTGGCTAGTTTTTTTCTTTTTTTTTTTTTTAGGGTTTTTGCTATGTTGCCTGGGCTGGTCTTGAACTCCCGGACTCAAGCGATCTTCCTGCCTCAGCCTCCCAAAGTGCTGGGATTACAGGTGTGAACCACCATGCCCAGCCTGAACTTGAATTTCTTTTCTTTTAATTTTTATTTTATTTTTAATTATTATTATTTTTTATTTTTTTGAGACAGAGGCTTGCTCTGTTGCCCAGGCTGGAGTGAAGTGGCATGATCTTGGCTCACTGCAACCTCTGCCTCCTGAGTTCAAGCAATTCTGCTGCCTCAGCCTCCTGAGTAACTGGGACTACAGACGTGTGCCACTGCACCTGGCTAGTTTTTATATTTTTAGTAGAGACGGGGTTTCACCATGTAGGCCAGGATGGTCTTGATCTCTTGACCTCAGGTGATCCACCCACCGCAGCCTCCCAAAGTGCTGGGATTACAGGTTGTGAGCCACTGCGCCTGGCCTTGAATTTCTTAATAAGTCATATTGATGCACTATACCTTTGATCCATCTCCTTCTGAATTTCTTTATTTAACTCATCGACTTTCTGCTGCAGCTTTTTCCTTCTTTGTTCAGGTGGGAGGTTGCTGAAATCCTCCGGTGTTGCACCCTGCAGACACAAATATAAATGAGAAACCAGAAAGCCCCAGGCTTTCCTTGAAAGAAGGCTGAAAGCAAAGCCTGCAGCCATGGGGGGTGCAGACATCTGCATGTGGCTTCATGAAATAGATTAAGCTCTTTCCCACTACACCCAGCCGAGATGCAAAAATCAATGCATGCAAACTGCATAAGTCCCATAAACCATTCCCAGTTCCATGGATGCTGGCCAGAATGCCCCAGAAAAAGCAGTGAGCAACGCTACAGTAAAGGAGAGTAAGAGATACTTCTGACTCTAGGGAGAATCCATGAAAAACACATTTTGAGACAGTCTTCTTCCTTTTCCTACCAAGTGTTACCATCAATGTCAGTGGCAACACTGAAGTGTTAATGAAATTTATGTTTCCTTAATACAAACCCCATCAACCACTGCACGCCTAGCTGCTGCCTTTTCCCTAGCGTGAGTATTCCTGCCAGTCTCTTCACACAGGCTGAGGCCAAAAGTCTCCACCCCTGTAAAGTGACAGATGGGACATCACATTCCTCAGAGAATGTGGGTGAAAAAGAACATTAAAAAAAAAAAATCTCTTCTCCTTACCCCATGCACACCTCCCTCTGCTGCCTCTAAAAGTCTAGTTACTTTTTTTTTTTCCTTGAGACAGAGTCTCACTCTGTTGCCCAGGCTGGAGTGCAGTGGTGCGATCTCAGCTCACTGCAACCTCTGCCACCCAGGTTCAAGCGATTCTCCTGCCTCAGCCTCCTAAGTAGCTGGGACTACAGGCATGTGCCACCACGCCCGGCTAATTTTCCACAGTCTCTAACTCTTGACTTCAGGTGATCTGCTCACCTTGGCCTCCCAAAGTGCTGGGATTACAGGCATGAGCCGCCGCGCCCAGCCTAGTGACTTCTTTTAGGCCTTTAGGAAGCCTCTCAGAGTTCAGAGAGAATGCCCTCCCTGACCTCAAAATCAGTTTTCCACAGTGTACGAAACTCATCTCCGCGGTTTTTAATCTGTCAGAAGAACTGCATTTTGATATCTTGATTCCCTTTTCAGAAGCAGCTGCTCTCTTTACACTGTGCATGAGCTTTAAGGAGAAAGTATCAACAGTTTCAGGCTTTGACATATGCTTACTTGTTAGAAAGCTCTGGCTAAATTGTGATGTCAAGTGCTTTTACTTAAGTGAGGCTATGTTCATAAAGAGAGAGAAATTTCGTGCTGGGCACGGTGGCTCATGCCTGTAATTCCAGCACTTTGGGAGGCCGAGGTGGGTGGATCATAAGGTCAGGAGTTTGAGACCAGCCTGGCCAACAATGTGAAACACCGTCTCTGCTAAAAATATAAAAAACTAGCTGGGCGTGGTGGCGAGCGCCTATAATCCCAGCTACTTGGGAGGCTGAGGCAGGAGAATTGCTTGAACCCGGGAAGCGGAGGTTGTAGTGAGCCGAGATCGTGCCGCTGTACTCCAGCCTGGGCGACAATGCGAGACTCCATCTCAAAAAAACAAAAAAAAAAAAAAAAGAGAGAGAGAAATTTCTTCAAATAACCAGGGATAAGCCAGGGCATTTAGAAAAGAGATTTTACTTTAAACCCTCAATTCTTTTGAAACAAGGGCAAGGCAGGCTTGGGGCAGGGTAGAAAGAGGAGACCCAGTTAATGTAATTCCAGAAGCAAGTTGCATTTGCCAAGCAGCTTACATGTGGGCTTATGACTGGGTTCCTAGGCTGATTATGATAAAATGCCAGGGTGATGTGCTGGGAAGTGTGTGATTCAGCAAATAGTTGACCACAAAAGGCCACGCAAAGACCTTTCAGCTAATGTTCTCAAAGACACACCCATCAGACACACTGACTGACTCTCTAATGTGTGTGTGTGTGTGTGTATGTGTGTGAGATAAGAGTTGAGTGAAACCAGAATGGAAGTGACTATTCCTAATAGCAAACCAAAGAAGTTTGACTCTAAATCTAAGATGAAGCAAAACTAACCTTTAATATAAAAATAAAGACTTGTTTTCCGTATACTATGGTGCTACAATATTTATTTGAAAACTGGATTATTCTGGATTATGGATTTCACCACGTTGGTCAGGCTGGTCTCGAACTCCCGACCTCAGGCGATCTGCCCACCTCGGCCTCCCAACGTCCTGGGATTACAGGAATGAGCCACCATGCGCGGCCTCTTGCTACAGTCTTTTGTTAAAATATCAGAGCACTTTCGACCTCAGAAAACAGAATCTCTCTATCTGACCTCCACGTGCCCTTCTTTCACCTGCCCAAGGCAGGATTCTGATTGTGGCCATATGATCCTCATTCAAGAGGCTTCATGAGGATCGTGCCCCATACCCTGAAGGAAGGAAGGCTGCACAGGGAGGCCAAGAAGAATCTGCACAGACAGGCCCTGCTGGGTGTCACTACCTGATCTATTAGGATGCGATCAGGCAGTTTCTGACCAATCTCATTTCCACATGGTTGTCCATGCTTCAATCATGTCTATCTGATGAAGTCTCATAAAAGGCCCAAGAGGACAGGGTTTTTGGGGAGATTCTTAGAGAGTGGCTGCCCGGGGAGGGCATGGATGCTCTGTGCCCCCTCCCCCACACCTTGCCCTAAGCATCTCTTCATCTGTATTTTTAATAATATCCTTTGTAATAAACCAGTAAATGTGGTGGCCAGGCGCAGTGGCTCACGCCTGTAATCCCAGCACTTTGGGAGGCTGAGGCAGGCAGATCAAAAGGTCAGGAGCTCGAAACCAGCCTGACCAACATAGAGAAACTCTGTCTCGACTAAAGACACAAAAAATTAGCCGAGTGTGGTAGCACCCGCCTGTAGTTCCAGCTACTTGAGAGGCTGAGGCAGGAGAATTGCTTGAACCTGGGAGGCGGAGGTTGTGGTGAGCCAAGATCACGCCATTACACTCCAGCCTGGGCGACGGGCGAGATTCTGTCTCAAAAAAAAAAAAAAAAACCCAAAAACAAACCAGTAAATATAAGTGTTTCCCTGAGTTCTGTGAGCTGCTCCTGCAAATTAATTGAACCCAAAGAGAGGGTCAGGGGAACCCCAACTTGAAGCTAGTCCATCAGAAGTCCTGGAAGCCTGGACTTGCGACTGGTGGGAAGGAGGGGGCAGTCCTTCAGGACTGAGCCCTCAACCCCCAGGATCAGCCACTATCTCCAGGTAGATAGCATCAGAATGGAATTGAATTAAAGGACACCCAGCTAGTGTCTGCTGCTTGATATATAGCGGAAGCCTCCACATATTTGGTCACAGAAATCTTCTCTGTTGATTGTCATAGTGGAACAGCAGAGGAAAAACGGTTTGAGTTTTATCAAATGAGCATGTTTTCCAGAACTGAGAATTTTTTAAAAGCTGGAATACAGCAAAACACAATGCTAAGATACACTGCTTCAGAAATCAGGAAATCTAGGCCAGGCGCGGTAGCTCATGCCTGTAATCTTGGCACTTTGGGAGGCCGAGGCGGGTGGATCACCTGAGGTCGGGAGTTTGAGACGAGCCTGACCAACATGGAAAAACCCCGTCTCTACTAAAAATACAAAATTAGCCAGGCGTGGTGGCGCCCGTCTGTAATCCCAGCTACTCAGGAGGCTGAGGCAGGAAAATCGCTTGAACCCGGGAGGTGGAGGTTGTGGTGAGCTGAGATTGCGCTACTGCGCACTCCAGCCTGGACAACATGAGTAAAACTCCATCTCAAAAAAAAAAAAAAAAAAAGTCACAAAATCTGGCAAGTGGTCAACATTCACCTCGTTAATATGTGCTGAGCCTTGCTATGTGCTGTGAGTCCAACAGAACTTTCTACAGTGATGGCAATGTTCTATGGCCGCTCTTTCCAACACAGAAGCCATGTGTGGCTGTGAAGCATTTGAAATGTGGCTGGTGAAATTGTGGAACTGAATTTTTAAAAATTTATTTAATTTTAATTAATTAAAACTCAACAGCGGTTGGGCGTGGTGGCTCACACCTGTAATCCCAGCACTTTGGGAGGCCGAGGTGAGCGGATCACCTGAGGTCAGTTCAAGACCAGCCTGGCCAACATGGTGAAACCCTGTCTCTACAAAAATTAGCTAGGCATGATGGCAGTTGCCTGTAATCCCAGCTACTCGGGAGGCTGAATCAGGAGAAACGCTTCAACCCGGGAGGCGGAGGATGCAGTGAGCCAGGATCATGCCACTGCACTCCATCCTCAGTGACAGAGCGAGACTCCATCTCAAAACAAAAACAAAAACAAAAAACTCAATAGCTACATATGGTAGTGGCTACCACACTGGACAACAGCTTTAGCCTCTGTGCAGGTGTATAAACAGGTGCAAAGAAATCTATCAGTAAAACACATTGTACTGATAACTTATAAATAGATAAGAAAACAACAAAGACAGGCCATAACAGGAGGAGTTGGTATGGGAAGAGAGGGTCATACACATGTACCTATGTTTTAAGTGGCTGGAGTTCTGTAAGAGAAGCTTGTTCTATGTACTAATAAAATCAAACCTGGCCGGGCCTGGTGGCTCACGCATGTAATCCCAGCACTGTGGGGGGCTGAGGTGGGCGGATCACCTGAGGTCAGGAGCTCGAGATTAGCCTGGCCAGCATGGTGAAACCCCGTCTCTACTAAAAATACAAAAATTAGCTGGGTGTGGTGGCGCGCCCCTATAATCCCAGCTACTCGAGAAGCTGAGGCATGAGAATCGCTTGAACCCAGGAGGTGGAGGTTGCAGTGAGCCGAGATCGCGCCACTGCACTCCAGCCTGGGGGACAGAGCGAGACTCTGTCTCCTAAAAGAAAAAAAAATCAAACCCTTGCTTGTTGACAGCTTCCCCCCACCCCAAAATAGCACAAGCTCCGTGTAATACTACTTTTTCAGATTTTGGGTTTTTTGTTTTGTTTTATAGTTTTTTTTTTTGAGACAGGGTTTCATTCTATCACCCAAGGCTGGAGCAGCCTCAACCTCCTGGGCTCAATCAATCCTTCTGCCTCAGCCTCCAGTATAGCTGGGACCACAGGCACAGACCACCATGCCTGGCTAATTTTTGTATTTGTTTGTAGAGTCAGGTTTCACCATGCTGCTCAGGCTGGTCTAGAACTCCTGGGCGCAAATGATCTGCCTGCCCCCACCTCCCAAAGTGCAGAGATTACAGGCGTGAGCCACCACACCTGGTCCCACATCTTTTTTCTTTTGTCTTTTTTTTTTTTTTCAGACATGGTCTCACTCTGTCACCCAAGCTGGAGTGCAGTGGCGCAATGATAGCTCACTGCAACCTTGAGCTCCTGGGCTCAGGCAATCTTCCTGCCTCAGCCTTCCAAAGCACTGGGATTCCAGGCACAAACCACCGTGCCCAGCCAGCGCTTCACTTCTTTGTTGCCTTCAAGGTAATGATATAAAGCAACAATTCAATACCAAGTTGGTAAAATAATTTGTATTTCAAACAGAAAGACTGCCTAAAAATATTACCTTTTGCTCCTAGCACCCAGACAAACAATGAATAAAGGGAAATAAGGAAACCCTGGCAGCTGAGAAGGCCTCCTAGTCAATAGATCCAGTTTCTCCCAAGTTCATACTGCAGATGAACTTGTAGTTCATTTAAGTATCTAGATCTCTTTCCTTCATGTAGAGACCTTAATCAAAGACTCTTCTCAGGATTTTATTTCACAGCCTAAGAAATGTTTATTTAATTTAATAAAATACTCTTTTTCTTTAAGGTTGGGTCCATTACCAAATACTAAGTCATGTTGAAAAAATTATGTATATACATACATATGTCTATATATATATATATATATATATATATATATATATATCTCACCATAAAATACTATCCTAGGTTATCAATAGTGTGCTTATAGTGCTGATCTTACTCCTAGTAGAACTGTCACAGTTGATCACTGTCCATTATTTTAGGATATTCTTAGCTGTGGAGTTTGAGAAGACTATGAAACTATTATACATATTTGAAGTATAGTTATAGGTTATGTTAGTTACTTTTAATAAATTTAATGATTAGTTTGACTGTTGACTAGGCATATACAATTAAGTAGAAACGACACAAAACACTGAGTGAATAATTCTAAAAAGGCTTAGGAGGCTCTTTTCACTGTCCATGAAATCATCTTGTGGCCTCTTGAATCAGCTATGCACAAGGCACCAACATATCTACGTCGCACCATAAAGATTCCACAGTCTTCCATTCCCACAGGTGGCCTCAAACCTGGGTAGCAGCTGCTGGCTGGGATCATTCCTGCACAGCTCCTCCAGGCTCCCAGATTTTTTCATCTACTTCTATGGTTCTCTAATAGCAACATTTTTCAACTATTAATTTACTTTTATTCAAAATGATCCAACAGACACCCCCCAAGATTTAATATTTACGTTCATATATATATATTTGGAGACAGAGTCTTGCTCTGTCACCCAGGCTGGAAGTCCAGTGGTATAATCTCGGCTCACTGCACCCTTCACCTCCCGGGTTCAAGCAGTTCTCTGCCTCAGCCTCCCAAGTAGCTGGGACTACAGGCGCACGCTGCCACGCCCGGCTAATTTTTTGGTTTTTTGTAGAGATGGGGTTTCACCGTGTTGCCCGGGTTGGTCTCGAACTCCTGAGCTCAGGCAATCCACCCACCTTGGCCTCCCAAAGTGCTAGGATTACAGGCGTGAGCCACTGCGCCCGGCCTTTACGTTAATATTTATATAGACACTTTAACATTTGTCCTCCTCTCAAGGCCCCAGGAATAACACCAAGTCGTGAGTTAAATGTTAATTTTCTTAGCAACTTGAAAAGATTAAGATCACCTCTATTAGATTCTGGACCTTTGTATCCAAGAAGTCTAATAAGGAAACACCAACAAAAGCACACGTAAGAGAAACACAAACCAAGTTAACTTTGAAGATACGTTGTGCATGGCATAGCATTCATAAAAGACACGCCAGAAAACCTGATTAGACTCAGGACATGCATGGAACAATTGTGCTTACCAGCTTGAGAGAAAGCTTCATGTAAAAATTGGAGAGGTATGGGAAAAATAGAGAGAAAGAGAGAGAGAAAGAGAAAAAAAAACAACAACACATCAGAAGAAGAGGAACTTGGTCAGTTCCGCCATATTAAAATAACACACACGTCTACCCGCTGATTTATAAAAATGACTTGTAGCAGATCTGTGCAAAAGTTCACAAGAAGGGCTGCTCCCTAATAACATTTTTCTTAGGCTCCACATTGCCAGAGCCAAAGATCAGATAGAAAAGGAGGGTTTCTGTTACAGGCCTGTACTGGCCACCTCAGCCTAGATGTAAATTAAAGTAAGCTTATAGTCAGTGACACATAATGACTATAAAAGAAAAAATACAGGGCCGGGTGCAGTGGCTCACACCTGTAATCCCAGCACTTTGGGAGGCCAAGGCAGGTGGATCACCTGAGGTCGGGAGCTCGAGACCAGCCTGACCAACACGGAGAAACCCTGTCTCTACTAAAAATACAGTATTAGCCGGGTGTGGTGGTGCACACCTGTAATCCCAGCTATTCAGGAGGCTGAGGCAGGAGAATCGCTTGAACCTGGGAGACGGAGGTTGCAGTGAGCTGAGGTCGCGCATTGCACTCCAGCCTGGGCAACAAGAGTGAAACTCCATCTCAAAAAAAAAACAAAAAAAAAAGAAAAAATATAATCACACAACCTTTTGTTCTCCAAATTTCCCATGGAAAGTTTTATACAGACGAAAACAAGTCTGAACACCAATTACTTCCATGACAGGAAAGTAATATTTTAATCTTAAGGAGCTCTAATAAATATAAACATTGACATGAAGGCAAAGTCTGAAATTGGTGAATTGGTAACAAAGGGCTGACTAGCATTGCTCTAAGAAACTACCTGCAGGACCCAGAATGCCTCTCGCAGCCAGGCTAGAGGCCAACATTCTCTCCCACCCGAGAAGTGTGTGCCACCCCTTGCTCCGTGGAGGGTGTCTGCTGATGCTTTCTATGAAACTCAGCCCTGTCCACAGGGGTTATTTGGAGAATTATCCACTGTGACTGCTCTTTTTTTTTTTGAGACAGGGTCTCACACTATCGCCCAGGCAGGAGTGCAGTGGCGTAATCTCGGCTCACTGCCACCTCCGCCTCCCAGGTTCAAGCGATTTTCCTGCTTCAGCCTCCTGAGTAGCTGGGATTACAGGTGCCTGCCACCACGCCCAGCTAATGTTTTGTATTTTTAGTAGAGACGGGGTTTCGCCTTGTTGGTCAGGCTGGTCTTGAACTCCTGACCTCGTGATCCGCCCGCCTCCCAAAGTGCTGGGATTATAGGTGTGAGCTACTGTGCCCAGCTGTGACTGCTCTTTTTAAAGTATTTATTTACTTATCAATTTGCTGATTTTTGGTTTTGTTTTTGGAGACAGGGCAGGTTGCATGGTGGCACAATCCCAGCTCACTGAAGCCTCAACCTCTAGAGCTCAAATGATCCTCGCACCTCAGCCTCCTGAGTAGCTGGGACTATAGGTACGTGCCACCACGTCCAGCTAAGTTTTGTATTTTTTGGTAGAGATGGGGGTTTCACCATGTTGCCCAGGTTGATATCGAACTCCTGAGCTCAAATGATCCACCCACCCCAGCCTTCCAAAGTGCTGGGATTACAGGTGTGAGCCACCACACACAGCCTAAAAAACTAATTCTTAATTTAAGATTGATTCAAAGTTGACACTTCCTTGTAAATAAAAAATAACCTTTTAAATAAATTGTCCCTATATAGAAACATGAGATTTTAAAGGAAAGAACCAGAAAGACAAACTTTTGCAGGGGGAAAATGGTACATACAGTCACATTCCTGACTGTCTGACATGGGCAGTCTACAGTGATTCCAGCCCGCCTGTGAACTTGAGCATAGATCTACTTATCACAACTGGAATTCATTGTACGCACAGACAAGACTTATGGTGCACAGCAGAAAACTCCAAGTATCTTTCCTACAAGGCACACTATCATATACAGATATTTTCTCACACATTATTGTCTAAACATTGCTAATTCAAAGAACTAACATTTCAACTAGATACACTATTTGCTCTCTACTCGGCTACTTTCTTTACGCAAAGTTATATATTCTTTCTTAAGCATTCCACAGACAGAGTTCTCACCTCAAAATATTGTATAGGAAGATTATTAACACTTCATAGTAAAAACGAGTCATTAGGATTGAACAGAAATCCCCATTGAATAGGAAATACCAAATTCTCAGACAAATTCGACTTTATTTGTGATGGATGATCTATTAATACAAGAAGTGCCATCACAGTACGTGGAATTTCTTTTTAATCATTATATACTGGTTTTCAGTCTGAAGTTGTAAGCCAGCCAATTAGAATTTCTCTTAAAATTAGAAAGCGAAATCATTGGCTAAAATAATAATTTTGAAGATTTCATTAAGTGCATTGCTAGACACCTGAAGAATTAAAAAGCTGTCAGTTTCAGGCGACAGTTAAAGAGCCGTGGGAGCCACAAGCGTCAATAACACATGGGGAACACAGCCCAGGCGAGTCCATGTGTTATTGGACAGTCACAGTACTAACCTCAAGTACAAAGAAAGGGGACAGTGAAAATAAATATATATAGAGAGAAGCAAAATCATTTTACTGTGCTAGGAGATCGCTCACGCTTCCTTGATTTGTTTGTTTGTTCTCCAAGCTTTAGGGCATAACTCCCTTATGGATCCATTTGTTACAAACATGGATATGGGTGACTGAGCTACACTGCCGTCTGTAAGAGCGTCACTCTCCCGTGACCACGCACTGCAGCTGTGTTTTATGCGTGAAATTCTGCGGTAAAGTCATACCCAATGACATCTCAGACGGCAGTCACAGTCCCTTTAAAGATTTTACCAGAACTAGAATGAAAAGAGAAAAACAAAAAAAAAAACAAAAAAACAAGCTCAGCTCACCACTGTTATTAGAAAGTTTGCTTCCTTTATTCATGCAAGCTTTTCGGATAAAGTTCCGTATGGTTGAATTTATACAATTAGGCTTTTCTTTTTTTTTTTTTTTCCTGGTGTCCAGTTCTCTCAATTAAGAATTTCATTTCGTAGTGTGGAAGCATAACAAGTGCCTCTGGGTCCCCAGTCTTGGTGCTGTGAATGGGGTTAGTGGCTGTGCCATGACTGTATGACCTGGCCATCACAGGTGAACTTACAACATAGTCCCTAGCCTCAAAGGCATACGTGGGTTTCCCTATCGTCCTCTTCATGAGTTCTTTGTGAAAACAGAAAGACTGAGTCTGCCAATAACCAGCAAGAGAACAAGATAAAATAAATAAAATTAACCATAAGACTTTAACATATGACAAACAACTGGTAAGGATTTTCAAAATCTTTCGGTCAACTTTGATGGTATTTTTCCATACAATGAACTCTAAAATATGAAAAACGTACATCCATATTTTAGATATAAAAGTCTCTTGCACAGGCCAGAAAATGAAACTTTAATTTAAGCAATAAAATTCCCCTTTGTAGACTGCAAATGGAGAACATGCTATCTAGTTTCATTTTTCTTCAACTTACATAAAAATGAAACAATGGTTAATGTTCTGGCGGCATCTCTAAACATATTCAGTGAAACAAAATTTCCTTACAAATGTCAACAGCTTACAACAAATAACATTTTATCCTGTTTAATTATTTAGAAACAAAATCAGTTATGCTGAGATATGTTTGCATGGGATTTATATACTCTGATCATAGAAACAAATTATTGACATCTGAATCTGAAAGCTGCAAAACATGATAAAAGACATAATAAAATCACAGATTTGTTATTCTCTCAGGAACTTTTTCTAGTTAAATTATCGTTGGCATAATGCTGTTAAGTTACAAAGTAGAATAAATGAGAAGGTAGGAAGGGCTGTACCATGTTGGTCACGGAAGCTGTCAGCCATGCCATGGATGTCCCATGCAAGATCCATGTTGAGACTGCTTAAAAATGAAATCTATTTCTCCAAACTTTAGATTTGCTTTTTGAGCTTGTGCTTCCTCTTTTTTTGCACTGCTATGTCCTAGAGGAAGGAACATTAATTCTGACCCTAAGAACAGAATGACCAAAAGTGAGGGAAGCAAAACTATTTCTCTATTTCTTTACGATTGCTTCTAGTGGGTATATGTATGTGGTTTAACCTCAGGAAAATAAACACATCATTTGGGAAATTTTTTTTAACAAAGATTTGCTGAGCACACGTTTGAGGAGTAAGAAATAAAATTCATACTGCTGATTATGGTAAAACAGAGATTTTCCTTTAAATCATCAAAAGAACCAGTTTCCGATTCCCATTTCACTGTTTTAAGTGTTAATCTTTTTTTTTTAGACGGAGTCTCACTCTGTCACCCAGGCTGGAATGCAGTGGCATGATCTCGGCTCACTGCAACCTCTGCCTCCTGGGTTCAAGTGATTCTCCTGCCTCAGCCTCCTAAGTAGCTGGGATTACAGGTGTGCACCACCATGCCCAGCTAATTTTTGTATTTTTAGTAGAGACAGGGTTTCACCATGTTGGTCAGGCTGGTCTCAAACTCCTGACCTCGTGATCCACCCACCTCAGCCTCCCAAAGTGCTGGGGTTACAGGTGTGAGCCACAACGCCCAGCTTATCTTTTTCTAACCATCCTTTTCTTACATTTATTGATTACTGAATTCTTTGGTCTTTTTCTAAATAGTTAGAGAATATCATGAACCACAGATTCACAAACCATTTTTGGCCAACAGACTGTGTAATGTTAAGAGAAAACTGGAATAGACACATAAACAAATGGTAAACAATCATGAATATTCATCATGAGAGTCCAAAAAAATACAGAGATAATATATAAATATAACACATGAGTGCTTGGTAAAGCGGCAGAGATGGGTTAACTGACAGTTCATATGAAACTTTCAGTCTAGCAAAAACACCCTTGTCTTGGAAATTCTTGGATTAACAATGAGTGGAGTTCTAAACGCCAGCATCGTTGAGCCAAGAAGCTGCAGATTACTCAAGTCCTAATTATACATCTCAGCTCAATCCATCATCCACTTTTGAAGCTGTATTCTGCCTTCCACCAACGGCTTTTTTCACATCTTTAGGAAATTACATTTCTAATTCTTAACCTGATATGATAGATAGCATTAAAGCAAGATAATTCAAGATAATTCTACCAACTATAAATTTGAGATTCTCATATTAAAAGAACTCTGCATGTGAGGAAATATTGTTTTGTCCCCTATTTTTAAAAAGCATTGATAATAAACTTGTTATCAATTATGAATTTACATTCTTTACTTTTTTTTTTTTTGGAGAAAGGGTCTCACTCTGTTGCCCTGGCTGGGCTCCAGCAATCCTCTCATCCCAGCCTCCGCTAGGACTACAGGCACATGCCACCATGCCTGGCTATTTTTTCATGGGTTTTTTTTTTTTCTTTTTTGAGACAGAGTCTTGCTCTGTCGTCCAGGCTGGAGTGCAATAGCGTGATCTTGGCTCACTGCAACCTCCACTTCCCAGGTCCAAGCGATTCTCCTGCCTCAGTTTCCCGAGTAGCTGGGATTACAGGCACCCGCCTGTAATTAGCCGGACATTAACCATGCCCGGCTAATTTTTGTATTTTTAGTACAGACGGGGTTTCACCATGTTGGTCAGGCTGGTCTCGAACTCCTGACCTCAGGTGATCCGCCCTCCTCGGCCTCCCAAAGTGCTGGGATTACGGGCATGAGCCACTGTGCCAGGCCTCTTTTTTACACAGAGTTGTTTTTGTGGAAATACGATTGTCAGGTTAACAATGACTACTGTTATTCTTTTACTAGTAACCAGCTGTTGATTCCAAGTCTAAGAAGGACATCTCTCCTCTAGTTAATTAGTTGTAGTTTAGAATCTTTTCCCAGGCCAATGTGTCAGTTGACACTCAAGAAAGGATGGCATCCACCTCTGGCTTTGGGGCACTACCAGGTACTATTTGGAAAGAAGTAACCCAACCGTCAGTTGACTGGAGAGTCCAGGAGAAGGGAAAAGTAAAACTTATGTTTGTACAAGAAAGCATTCCACTACAACTGTATTGCAACTCCCACAGGGTAGGATTTAAAAAAAAAAAAAAGGAGAAAACCTTACTGGATATGTTAACGCTGCTGGGATTACAGGCGTGGGCCACTGGGCCCAGTCTAAAGATCTGTTTACTCATTATATTCATTATAAAAGATATTTTGGGAAGGCTTAGACTAGACTGGCCATTGAGAATGATTTGGGAATCTACACATTGCTTTATGCCAATCTTTCTCTGTAAACGAAACTGGTATCTACATTGGATGGCTGCATCAATTCCATTATCTCTATGATGTAAGCGCACATCAATCTTAATGAGGACAGCGGACTTCAATCTTAATAACAACCACTTACGAGTCAATATAGTAGTTTCTCCCTGAATGTGGATGTCACAGAATCTCAGACTCTGTAATCAGACTCCCCGGATCTAAATCCCGGCTCTGTATCTTCCCACCTTCACCTTTTTATGCCTCAATTTCCTTACAGTAAAATAAGGAAATATGAGTACTACCTGGGCTTCATAGGGTGGCTGGAAAAAAGTAAATGAGCACACAGAACAGAGCTTTGCACACAATAAGTGCTCAGTAAGTGTCAGCTGCTTTTATTGTTTCATCCTTTAAAGAGAAATTCTGCATCAGGCCCCTTCCAATCAACAGATATTTTATCAACATCTTATATAATCTCACTAAAATAGCGAATGAAACCACTGTGACTTATGACTCTTCTCCTTTCGACCCTGAGGCATAGCTCAGGCAAGTATCTTCATTACACTCACATTGCTTCAGTAGTTATTAAGGCAATATTTTCTGACTTACACAGTGACTTCCAATTCCTCATCTCATAGGTTGCTAGTTTTATGTTTTTATTATTTATTATTTTTTTTTAGAGATGGGGTTTGACTATGTTGTACTGGCTGGTCTTGAACTCCTGAGCTCAAGTAATCTTCCTGCCTCGGCCTTCCAAAGTGCCAGGATTACAGGCATGAGACACTGCGCTTGTCCTATTAATTTTTATATATTTTTTTAAGAGATGGGGGTCTCACTATGGTGTCCAAGCTGGTTTTGAACTCCTGAGCTCAAGCAATCCTCCTGCCTTGGCCTCCTAAAGTGCTAGGATTACAGATGTGAACTATCACGCCCAGTCTCAGGTCGCTAGTTTTAGAAATGAAATCTAAGTGGTTTTTTTTGGTAAAATTAAGGTAGAAAATGCATGACTTGGATGCTTTAAAGAGGAAGAGGGGTAAAGTCCTTCCAAAATGTACTAGAAACGAAAAGAAAAAGGCCGGGCGCAGTGGCTCACACCTGTAATCCCAGCACTTTGTAAGGCCGAGGCGGGCGGATCACAAGGTCAAGAGATCGAGACCATCCTGGCCAACATGATGAAATGCTGTCTCTACTAAAAATATAAAAAGTAGCTGGGCGTGGTGGCATATGCCTGTAATCACAGCTAATCAGGAGGCCGAGGCAGGAGAATCGCTTAAACCCGGGAGGTGGAGGTTGCAGGGAGCCGAGATCACGCCACTGCACTCCAGCCTGGTGACAGAGCGAGACTCTGTCTGGAAAAAAAAAAAAAAGAAAGAAACAAATAGAAAGAACTCTGGGCTGTCTGGTTTTCTCCTTTCTTCCAACCACCATGCTTCCTTCTTTCTTTCTTCCTCTTTCTGGCTTTTCTTTCTAGCTATAATGGTTTTTGTTTTTTTTTTTTTAACTTTTTTATATGTTATGGGAAAACACAATGGATTCATTCACAAACAAAATTAGTTATGCAGAACCAAACATGCAACCAAAGCACGCCAGAGAGACAGGATTCCGGAGCAGAACTTACCCCACGCTTTAGGCTCCTGAAGCAGTGGATTTTGGGTTTGGAGGTCATGAACTCGTTGAAGCGATGGGAGAGGGGTTCCTTTTGCTGCTTGGGAGACTGGGGGCCGTTGGGAACAGCAGAGGGTGAGGCAGAGGCAGGAGGGGGAGGGGGAGGCTGATGGGGGGATGTTAAAAGGGACATAAGCTACATGTAAGAGATGGAGCCGTGACAGAGTAAAAATCAGAAACAAGAAGACACAAAACAAAAATAAGCATCAAATAATATTTGAAATCCAACGCAAGTAAAACACAAACAATTAAATTTTAGGCCATGGTCCAAAAGAAAACATGTAGGAGGTGGTTAAATGAAGAATATGATGAGAGTTGGGAGGTTTAGTAAGTAATGCGACAGAAGAGCAAGAAATATCTGACAAGAAGCTCGTGCAGACTTTCCCATGCAAACTATAGCTCTAGTTAGTTACTCTAAACCAGCTTAAGCCAGAGGGTAAATATTTCTACATTACCTAAACTAACATAGCTTGATGGGAGAAAATGAAAGACCTTCAATGCTAAGGTTGTGGAAACAGCAGTCTGTTTAAATTAATAAATAGTAAGTCATTCTAAAGTTAAAGCAGTAATGCTGCCTTGATCATATTCTACGTCCCCAGGTTAATGCTGTCATGCACCTATGTATCGCACTATGAAAAGAAAATGAAAAATGTTCATGGGTACACATGTTAACATGAATTCAAAACCAAGTTATTAACATGGTAACGATTTCCAGTAGATGTGCGGATAAAGTGTTACAGGAATGTCCCACTACATCCTCTCTCCCAGCCAAGGTAACCAGCAGTCTAGGAGAGGAAGGAGGGAAAGGCATGAGGCGAAACGGTGGAGAGGTCAGTACTCTGTTAGTGTGGGAGTCACGGTACGAGGATAATGCATCTGAAATAAGACACAGGGCCATGGCAAAGATACCACCACCAAAAAGAAATACTGTCTCAACATAAGGTAGCACACTAGCTTCTTCTTTTGCATTCTGAAACTACAGGTTTAGGATCTTAGTTTTTCTAAGACTAAAAGATCAAGTCAAAATCTCCACACCTTAGAAAACTCATTTCACGCCAACCATCAGTACCTTATTTTTTTTGATGAACGGCCATAACTTTCCTTTGGATTTGCCACCAAATTTGAGGTCTGGTTTGCCTTCTCCTCTGGAATTTGAAAGGCTGTTATCTGACACAGTGCGCTTCATTGGCTGAGTGTAATCCTCAAATTCAATGTCTCCAGGAGGCTCAAACCCTGATTTATAAGCTTCTATTACCAGCTGTGAATCCTGAAATTATACCCACAAGCATATAAATACATTCAGAAGCATGCAAACACTTTTTAAACAATGAATTGGCCAGGTGCGGTGGCTCATGCCTGTAATCCCAGCACTCTGGGAGGCAGAGGCGGGTGGATCACGAGGTCAGGAGATCAAGACCATCCTGGCTAACATGGTGAAACCCCGTCTCTACTAAAAATACAAAAAATTAGCCAGGCGTGGTGGCGGGCGCCTGTAGTCCCAGCTACTCAGGAGGCTGAGGCAGGAGAATGGCATGAACCCAGGAGGCGGAGGTTGCAGTGAGCTGAGCTCGCGCCACTGCACTCCAGCCTGGGCGACAGAGTGAGACTCCATCTCAAAAAAACAATGAATTATGATGATCTCATACAGATGATAACTAACGAAATTGTACTGATTGATAATAACTTTTTTCCTAGTAGCTTTTTTTTTTTTTTTTTTTTTTTTGAGACAGTCTCAATCTGTTACCCAGGCTGGAGTGCAGTGGCGTGATCTCAGCTCACCGCAACCTCCGCCTCCCAGGTTTAAGCGATTCTCCTGCCTCAGCCTCCCGAGTAGCTGGGATTACAGGCATGTGCCATCATGCCTAGCTAATTTTTGTATTTTTAGTAGAGATGGGGTTTCGCCATGTTGGCCAGGCTGGTCTCAAATTCTTGACCTCAGGTGATCCGCCTGCCTCGGCTTCCCAAAGTGCTGGCATTACAGGCTTGAGTCACCACAGCTGGCCAGCTTTTTTCATTCTTCTCAAAAGCCATCATTTGAGCTTTTCATCCGAGCTTTTAGAATTTAGAACTATTGTTTTCTGATTTTTTTGTTTGTTTTTGAGACAGAGTCTCGCTCTGTCACTCAGACTGGAGTGCAGTGGCGTGATCTTGGCTCACTGCAATCCCTGCCTCCTGAGTTCCAGCAATTCTCGTGCCTCAGCCTCCCGAGTAGCTGGGACTACAGGGGCATACCACCACACCCAGCTAATTTTTGTATTTTTAGTAGAGATGTGGTTTCACCATGTTGGCCAGGCTGGTCTTGAACTCCTGGCATCAAGTGATCCACCCGCTCCGGCCTCCCAAAGTGCTGGGATTACAAATGTGAGCCACTGTGCCCAGCCAGCAGCATAACTTTTATGTTGAATATTTGTGTCTTCAAATTAACAGTAAAAGCCTATGCTGGTGTTCTAGTTTATATTTTTTTGAGAAATAGGTCTCTAGGAATTCAAATGGAGAACACTGCCCTAAAGCAGTATTCTCAACCAGAGAAGCTTTTGCCCTCCCAGAGGACATGTGACAATGTGTGGAGACATTTTTGATTGTCACAACTCGGGGAGTGCTACTGGCCTCTGCTGGGTAGAGGCCAGGATGCTGCTAAACATTCTGAAATGCCCCCAACAAGAAAAATGATCTGGCCTGAGATAATGTCAAAAGTGCTGAAGGAACCCTGTTTTGGCCGGGTGCAGTGGTTCACACCTGTAATCCTAACACTTTGGGAGGCTGAGGCGGGCGGATTACCTGAGGTCAGGAGTTCGAGACCAGCCTGGCCAATATGGTGAAACCCCGTCTCTGCTAAAAATACAGAAATTAGCTGGGCGTGGTGCGGGCGCCTGTAGTCCCAGCTACTCAGGAGGCTGAGGCAGGAGAATCGCTTGAACCCGGGAGGTGGAGGTTGCAGTGACCCAAGATCACGCCACTGCACTGCAGCCTGGGCAACAGAGCGAGATTCCATCTCAAAAAGAAAAAAAAAAAAAGAAAAAGAAAAAGAAAAAGAGAAAGAAACCCTGCCTTAGAGGAAACAAAGCCTTTACCTTTTTTCCAGGAAATACTTCAATTCAATTCTGTCATGTCTCGGACAATTTACCACTTAAATGTGTTTACCAAAAAAGGAATTATACAGCTAAATCCAAGACACAGAGCATGTGTGACCACCAAAAGCAACCATCCACCATGAGATGATGACATGAGGTCAAATGGAAAGGGGATGGGGAGAAATAATGGATCTGCAAATAGTTATCAATGAAGTCCAAATGGCAATACTTACATTTTTCTGATCAATTGATTCGGCTGCTTTTACTATTCCATCCAGGCACTTCCCAATGATTGGGATCACCTGCCGATCAACCTCTGCATATGTCTTCATGGACTCTCCCATTCTCACAATCCTCCTTTCCTCCATCTCTTGTATTTTCTGCAACATTAGATTTTGTATAAAGTAAGTTTGGTCCATTATTATTAAACAAAGTTGTTTTTCGGCAGCATTGTTACCTCTAACAAGTTCTCTTTGAGGAAAAAATGGGTTAGAGTTAGAGCGGCTCTAAGTACACGGAGCCTCCATATTACCCAGCTGTACATTTATTTTATAAATTGCTAGACATGTTAGGCTGCCCAAATATATGCTTTGCACAATTCCATTCTAATTTTAGTAAGAATGCCAAACTCAATAGTTCTTTTTTGTTTTTCTTTTTGTTTTTTTGAGACGGAGTTTTGCTCTTGTCACCCAGGCTGGAGTGCAGTGGTGTGATCTCAGCTCACTGCAACCTCTGCCTCCAGGTTCAAGTGATTCTCCTGCGTCAGCCTCCCAAGTAGCTGGGATTACAGGCCCCACCCCCCCTCCCCCCGCCACCACACTTGGCTAATTTTTTGTATTTTTAGTACAGATGGGGTTTCGCCATGTTGGCCAGGCTGGTCTCCAACTCCTTACCTCAGGTGATCCACCTGCCTAGGCCTCCAAAGTGCTGGGATTACAGGCTTGAGCCACCACACCTGGCCAATAGTTTTATTACTAACACTATTTGTAATCTACCTCAAACGTTTTCTCCATCTTTAATCTACTACTTTACCTTTTACCAAAAGCACAGTATTTAATTAACTGCCTCAGCCCAATACATGCTAGTGTATCTTCCAACTATAATTTACAAGGACTTGTTTGCTGTGTGTGTAGACACCAAGAAGCAAATATATTATTTATTTTTTCTACAATTGGACTCAAAGTTGCAAAAAATCTGTAAAATGGAAGAACATATGTCTATCTTTTCTCATACCATTTTTGACAACCTAACATGAGCAAAAGAAAACAATCCAAAAGAAAGAACTGTCATTTGTTTAAATCCTATAACTCTATGAATGCTGCTTTGACTTCTATAGTTAAGTTGGCATTTTTATAACCACAATCATCCCTTTAGCAAAGACAGCATTAATCACAGAATCATAGTTTAAGACTGACAAATAGGCGCTGTGGCTCACGCCTGTAATCCCAGCACTTTGGGAGGCCAAGGCGGGCGGATCACCTGAGGTCAGGAGTTCACGACCAGCCTGGCCAACATGGTGAAACCCCGTCTCTACTAAAAATACAAAAAAGGTAGCCAGGTATGGTGGCAGGTGCCTGTAATCCCAGCTACTCAGGAGGCTGAGGCAGGAGATTCGCCGGAACCCAGGAGGTGAAGGTTGCAGTGAGCTGAGATCATGCCACTGCATTCCAGCCTGGGTGACAGAGCAAGACTCCATCTCAAAAAAAAAAAAGAAAAAAAGAAAAAAAGAAAAAAGACTGACAAATAATTGGCTGCAGGTGCAAACTATAGAAATTTGCAAAGTTATTGATTAATCTTGAGATTATTATATTTCATTCATATTGCTAGTCAATGCTTGATCTAGATGCTTTAAAAAATGATTTATCATGCCTATAATCCTAGCACTTTGGGAGGCCAAGGCTGGAGAACTGTTTGAGTCCAGGAATTTGAGACCATCCTGGGCAACACAGCAAGACCCTATCTCTATAAAAAATTTAAAAATTAGCAGGGCATGGTGGTGCATGCCTGTAGTTCCATCTACTTAGGAGGCTGAACTTGGAGGATCCCTTGATCCTTTGAGCCCAGGAGTTCAAAGCTGCAGTGGGTCGTGATTGTGCACTGCACTCCAGCCTGGGCAACAGAGTGAGACTGTCTCAAAAAACAAAAACAAAACAAAACAAAAAAAAGGGCCAGGCATGGTGGCTCAGGCCTGTAATCCCACCACTTTGGGAGGCCGAGGTAGGCAGATCACCTGAGGTCATGACTTTGAGACCAGCCTGGCCAACATGGCAAAACCCCGTCTCTACTAAAAATACAAAAATTAGCCGGGCCCAGTGGTACGTGCCTGTAGTCCCAGCTACTCGGGAGGCTGAGGCAGGAGAGTCACTTGAACCTAGGAGGCAGGGGTTGCAATGAGCCGAGACTGTGCCATTGCACTCCAGCCTGGGTGACAAAGCAAGACTCTGTCTCAAAAAAAAAAAAAAAAAAAAAAAAAATTAGTGGAAATTTGGAATTATATAAAGACTCAGACTCAGAATACAAACCCAGCAATCACGATTCAGAAGTGTCATGTTTCTAAGGAAAGCAAAGCATAAAACATGAAATCTGAGAGATGTTCAGGACTTACCTGGAAGATGTTGGGGATGTGAGTATGGTAATATTCATGCTGCTCATGGTTGAATTTCTGGAGAATGGATGAGTAATCTGCTTTGCTGTCCTCTGCCATTTGGTGACGTATTTGAGCTTGTTGTCGGGCCTTAGGGCAAAAACAAGAATACTCCTACGTTTATACACCATAGATAAAAGCCTGGGTGCAATCAATAAAAGCCTAGAACTGCACACTGGGATGCCTAGGGGCCAGATTTACCTCAAATGTATTCCGCGGGTGCTTTTTAATGTTCTGAATTGAATTGACTTTAGGTAAGCAATGTGCATCCTAGTTTGTATAAACCTCCACCATTCCCTACTGCCTTAACGTGGCGTGTACCTTCTAGTTTGACACACCATTCTATACTGTCTGCACTTGGGCCAATTTACATTATTTGGATGACCCTTGTGGGAACCTCTGCTCATCTCATATACACATTTTTTTTTTTTTGAGGAGGGGATGAGAAATTCATTTTTTTTTTTTCTTTTTTTGAGACCAGGTCTCGCTCTGTCACCCAGGCTGGAGTGCAGTGGCACGATCCTGGCTCACTGCAGCCTCAACCTCCTGGGTTCAAGCAATCCTCTTACCTCAGCCTCTCAAGTAGCTGGGACTACAGGCGTGCACCACCATGCTTGGCTAATTTTTGTATTTTTTTTGTAGATAGGAGGTCTCACCACATTGCCCAGGCTATTCTTGAACTCCTTGACTCAAGCAATCCACCCGCCTCAGCCTCCCAAAGTGCTGGGATTATGGGCATGAACCACGGTGCCTGGCTGGGAAATCCATGAATTTTTAAACCCAGTTCTCAATGGGGTTCATGCACTAAAAAGGCATATGAACCACTGACCTAAGGAGACTTTTCTAAAGCTCTCTAGCATGTTTATATTTAGTATATATGCTAAAGAGGGAATAAGTATGGCAACTTCTTTATGCTTTTTATGTTTTTTGAGGAGTGCTATTTTATGTTTTACTGCATTGCTTTTCTCCTAAAAAATCAATAATTTACACATTTGTTTTTCTCTAATTCATATTCTGATTGATCACATACCTAAAAAAGGGGCAACAATTGTTGACTAGTTGCAGAATGGATTTTAAAGTTCAAACAGGAATGTCTATAAATTCTAAAGTCATCCAGAAGTACAAGAGGTTGTGCCGTTAATACCACCTTAGATTCACATAGCATTGTGGTGTTATTTTGATAAATATAATCTTGTGAATCTCTAACACAATTTGAGGTCCACACAAGGCAAAAAACTACCTCCTGCCAGATGAAGATAGGGTTTTTGGTCTTTAAGTGACCTGGCAAATTCACTGCAGTAAGCCAGAAACACAACAGGAAATAGGCTGTCTTCCAACATAACCAGGGCAACTATTTGTTTGTTTGCTTGTTTTTGTTTTGTTTTACTGAACCAATGTTTCAGAAAACTAAGACCTGGCTGGGTGTGGTAGATCACGCCTGCAATCCCAGCTCTATGGAAGGCTCGGGTGGGCAGATTGCTTGAGCCCAGGAAACTGAGACCAGCCTGGGCAACATGGTGAGACCCCTCTCTCTACAAAAATTAGCTGGGCATGGTGGTATGTGCCTATAGTTCCAGTTACTCAGGAGGCTGAGGCAGGAGGATTGCTTGAGCCTGGGAGGCTGAGGCTGCAGTGAGCTGTGATCACTACCACTGCATTCCAGCCTGCGCAACAGAACGAGACCCTGTGTCAAAAAATAATAATAACAAATAAATTGGCTGGGCGCGGTGGCTCACGCCTGTAATCCTAACACTTTGGGAGGCTGAGGTGGGCAGATCACAAGATCAGGAGATCAAGACCATCCTGGCTAACATGGTGAAACCCCGTCTCTACTAAAAAAAATACAAAAAATTAGCCGGGTGTGGTGGTGGGTGCCTGTAGTCCCAGCTACTCGGGAGGCTGAGGCACGAGAATGGCGTGAACCCGGGAGGCGGAGCTTGCAATGAGCCGAGATCGCGCCACTATACTCCAGCCTGGGCGACAGAGCAAGACTCCGTCTCAAAAAATAATAATAATAAAATAATAAATAAATAAATAAATAAATTAGTTGGGTGTGGTGATGTGTGCCTGTGGTCCCAGCTACTTGGGAGACTGAGGTGGGAGGATTGCTTGAGCTCAGGAGGTCAAGTATACAGTAAGCTGTGACTGCGCCACTGCACTCCAGCCTGGGTAACAGAGCAAGACTGTTTCAAAAAACAAAACAAAACACCAAACAAACAAAAACAAGAAAATTAAGACCTAATCATGAAAGAAAGAAAATCAGAAACACAAGAAAAAGACAGAAAAGAAGAAAAGAGAGAAAGAAAGGGAAGAAAGAACGAAAGAGGCCAGGTGCGGTGCCTCACGCCTGTAATCCCAGCACTTTGGGAGGCTGAGGCGGGTGGATGACGAGGTCAAGAGATTGAGACCATCCTGGCCAACATGGTGAAACCCCGTCTCTACTAAAAATACAAAAATTAGATGGGCGTGGTGGTGGGCGCCTTTAGTCCCAGCTACTTGGGAGGCCGAGACAGGAGAATCGCTTGAACCCAGGAGCCGGAGGTTGCAGCGAGCCGAGATCGCACCACTGCACTCCAGCCTGGGCGACTGAGCCAGACTATCTCTCTCAAAAAAAAGAAAAGAAAAAAAAAGAACAAACGAATGAAAGAGAAAGAAAGAGAAAGTGAAAGAGAGAAAGAAAAAGGAAGGAAGAAAGAAAAGAAAAGAAACACATGAGAGGAAAGCTGAAGTATTTGTTCCACTTTCTTCTTGATGGGAACATTTAGTATTGGCTTTTTTTTTCATGTCAATCTTCTTTATTGGTTTCCTGCCTATGTGACTTGAAGGGTTAACCTGAATTTCACTTCACACATTTTACTCATACTCATCTGGTGAAAGCCTAAGGTAATTCACAGTTGCTTCCCTTATTTTCTTCCCTATTCACACGTGAACACTTCCCAAATGAAGGTAACAATATCAGTATTTCCAAACACATTTCCTTATTACTGAGGTTTTTTGAGTTTCTTAAGGCCTTTGGATCTGTCGGTGCCATTTTATCCTCTTTTCATCTACCCTCAGTTGATTTCAGCTGCCGCATTCTTCCTCTTTGTTGGTGGCCTGTTAACTCCCTTCCTGACCATATGCCTTGGCGTCTGCTTCTTCCTGTGTCCACTAGTAAATATATTAGTCTAGCCCCAAAATGTTAAGTACCCAGCTACCCTCAAAAATCCACCCCCTTCCAACACACAGTAGCCCTCCTCTGTTTAAATAATAGCTTTCCCACCTACATGCATTCCATCTGTTCCCCGAGCCCGTCCAGCACAAATGCCCTATTAACTCTTCAGCTGCTGAGTTTCATCATGTATCATTTCGCTATGAATGTTTAAAAAAAAATTCCCATTAGACCTCAAATTTCTAAAACAGTCTCTATTTTATTCACAAGGCTTCCTCAGAAAGTCTCACAAAAATCCAGTGGGGGATTTCTTCATCTCTTCTGTAAAGAACAGCAAGAGCTCAGGAGGTAGTTTCCCCGTTTATTTTGAAGATTCTATCTAAGTGAGTTTTTAAAATAACTTAAGATCTCAAACAGGCATCACATCAGAATGCCATCATTATATATAATATGTATGCATGTACTTACACGCACACACATACACACACACACAACCCATGAGAGCAGATAAAAGCTTTCTGACAATAAATCCACTCACGCCAATATTTTAGAATATTTTACCCAAGTAGAATATTTTACCCATGAAAGCTGGTGCCAGAGGTACCCCACCCAGCACCATTTGGTTGGAAGTGGCTGTGATCCTCTTCCTGTAGCTCCACAGAATCCCTAATCATGTTTTAGCTTTAGCTGCATAATTCCTTCTGTAAGCATATTACCTCCTAATAGATTCATAATGCCCTTTGCCCTGTTTCTATGCAGTAATCCTGAAAACATAACAAGGGCCCTAGACGTGAACTGTGGAAGACGCTGAATAAGGACCAACATGTCTACAGTCCAGCCTAGAAAGTAAGCTGTGTAGAAGATAATAAATCAAAGTATATTTTAGACGGTCTGCCTTTTATGTTAAAGGAACACTGTCTCTCCAGGAGTTTTTCTTCCATGCTTGGACATACAATTGCAAAGGACGATCTATTTCTACAGTCTCACTCACTCTCACTGACTACAAGGATAGGGAAACCTTCAAAAACAGCAAAATACTGTGATACATCAGATTCTCCAAAGCCGCAGCAAAAAGACAGGACTGTCTTTTTCTCAGTCCCTGCATCCAGCTGCTTTGAATTAATATCCACTTCTGAAACTCTGGCCTAGGAATGCACCATTGTTCTAACCAAATTTCACTATGGAAAATCTATTTCTGTTTAGCAAATTGTTTATTTGACAATGGAATTTAAGAGTCGCTAAAACTAGTGTTGAATCAATTACTCATTATGACAAAAATACCTTTAAAATATCTTGTATTTTGGAGAACTTATTTGGGATAACAGTTAATGGTATTTTGGAGACTATCTCCTAATGTCTAAGACTAAGTGGAGCTAATAAGCATCATGACTTCTCATCTCTTTTTAAAAGTCAGTCTAAAAATAGCAACTATTACCTCAAAGAGATAGTGTTTCCATTCTAAACCAGACCATAAGCTATTCTTTCAATTAAATTAAATTTCCCATTCTGAGAATAAAGACACTGCATCTTACAGCAATATTACTACAGGGCAGAAAGATGTACAGAGAGTTGGCTTGTTTTACTTGCAACGAGTCAGTGTCACAGAATTTCAAGATAATGTTCTAAAAAGTCCAGAATAACCCCCGCTGCCTAGGCTGGGTCACAGACGTCTTAGAATCAGATCTACGCTGCTTTTGTTGTCCAACAGGAAGACAGAATTTAAACTTGAGAATTTTTTGACAAACCCTTGGGAATCTCCCTCAAATAAATCCAAACAGACCTAAGGATGTATGGCTTATACATGATTTCACTTCTTGGTAATTTTTTTTTTTTGAGACAGAGTCTCACTCTGTCGCCCAGGCTGGAGTGCAGTGGCACAATCTTGGCTCACTGCAACCTCTGCCTCCCAGATTCAAGCAATTTTCCTGCCTCAGCCTCCTGAGTATATGGGATTACAGGCACCCGCCACCACGCCCGGCTAATTTTTGTATTTTTAGTAGAGACAGCGTTTCACCATGTTGGCCAGGCTGGTCTCGAACTCCTGACCTCAAGTGATCTGCCTGCCTCGGCCTGCGTTAGCCTCCCAAAGTGTTGGGATTACAGATGTGAGCCACCACGCCCAGCCCACTTCTTGGTAATTCTTAACATAGTCCATTCTCAATATCATTATGGAACTAAGCCATACTGCCTAAAAGGTCAGAGTTGCAGTTTCTAAATAAAGAAAACAATATTTTAGAAACTGAACTGTAGCCCAATATTTTGAAATCCTAATGGGTTTAAAGACAAAAATACCGTCATCCATTCAGTTAGCTAAATTTAGATTATTAGCATGGCCTAAATGTGTGGCTATTTCCTGTTTAGCTCATTTTTTTTTTTTTTTTTTTTAAGACAGGGTCTCCCTCTGTTACCCAGACTGGAGTGCAGTGGCACCATCATAGCTCACTGCAGCCTCAAACTCCTGGGCTCAGGCGACCCTGCCACCTGAGCCTCCCCAAATGCTGGGATTACAGGCATGATGAGGCACCATATGCCAGGCCTGTTTAATTCAATATTACTTTTTCCTTAATATTTCAAAATATTAAGGAGAATAACACTCTTGGCAGTGTCTCAATTGTCATAAGCAGAGAATACAAGTGTACTAAGAAACTTGCTCATTTCACATGAGGCATGTGGTATAACCGAGTTATAACCTTGCATCTTACCACTCTTGCATCATCATTTTTCTTTTCTTTTCTTTTCTTTTTCTATTGAGATGGAGTCTCACTCTGTTGCCCAGGCTGGAGTGCAGTGGTGCAATCTCGGTTCACTGCAACCTCCGCCTCCCAGGTTCAAGTGATTCTCCTGCCTCAACCTCCTGAGTAGCTGGGACTACAGGTGCCTACCACCATGCCCAGCTAATTTTTTGTATTTTTAGTAGAGATGGGGTTTCACCTTGTTAGCCAGGATGGTCTCGATCTCCTGACCTCGTGATCCGCCTGTCTCGGTCTCCCAAAGTGCTGGGATTATAGGCATGAGCCACCGCGCCCAGCCCTCTTGCATCATTTTTCAAGGCTGCCTATGGCTTTTGACCTTTTAACTAGATGAGCAAATATAGACTGGTTCTATTTATACATTGATCGAATGAATAAATAAAGAGACTTACTAAGTTTTTAACATGGCCCCAGATCTCTCAGTTTTATACATTGCTGTTCCTTAAATGATAAACTATATAGGTTGGTGCAAAAGTAATCGCAGTTTTTGTCATTTGAATGGAAGGGCAAAAACCACAATTACTTTTGCAGCAACCTGATACTTAAAGCAGCAGTGTCCAGAGCTTTTGGAAAGCTGCTTTTCCTTTGTTGAAAGGATATAACAAATTATAAATGCCCACCTTTTGTCACCAAAAGTTTGGGGAAAGCCATGTGGAATATTTTACAGTATCGCTGGTAGCCCAAACAACAGTCAATGTTTTTTGGAACAGCTGCATCTTTAGTATTTAACGTCGTTATCACAAGAAGAGACCAATTATATGTTAGGATGGATGGAAATGGGGGCTCAATCTAGATTTTATTCCCTTTCCTCTAAGAATGCACTCTTTTGCCCACAGACAGGATGCCTGTAATCATTATTCAGTGAGCAGCAACCTGCAGCAGCTCCTCCTGACTGGCAGATGGGCCTGGCGGCCACCCAGAGGCTGGGGACACAGCAAGAATCCAGCACAGCACCGATCCCGATTCCCTCCTCCCCAAACTACCTGAGCCATGGACCTCATTTTGTGGACAAAATTAAACTTGCCACTTTCACAACCTGTGTTATCTAGCCACCTTTTGTTCTTTTTTCTCCTGCTTAAAAAAAAAAAAAATTTTGCTGTAGGTAATTCAAACTTACAGAATTGTATGGTTTAAGAAATAAAAGTTTCTGCACATTCCAGCTCCTGATAACCACTAGAGGATCATGACTTTCAGACGTGGCCAGGTAAATGAGAATAAGCACTGGTATTTTTACAGCACACAAATGAGGTAGAGGCCACTGGATATTATTTTCTATTTCTAGGTATTTTTGAGAACAGAAAAAATAGCAACCTGTTGGAAATCCCTGAAAATCCTATTCGTATTTCTCTAGGATTTGTCAATGGTTAGGAATAAAACTAATGGCCAGGTGCGGTGGCTCACGCCTGTAATCTCAACACTTTGGGAGGCTGAGGCAGGTGGATCACCTGAGGTCAAGAGTTCGAGACCAGCCTGGCCAACATGATGAAACCCTGTCTCTAGTAAAAATACAAAAATTAGCTAGGCATGGTGGCACATGCCTGTAGTCCCAGCTGCTTGGGAGGCTGAGGCAGGAGAATTGCTTGAACCCGGGAGACAGAGGCTGCAGTGAGCCAAGGTCACGCCACTGCACTCCAGCCTGGGGGACAGAGTGAGACTCTGTCTCAAGGGGGGGAAAAAAATAAAAGGAATCAAACGAATTTTACTCTAGTCTTTGACCCAAAAATTCTGCTTCTGAAAATTTATCCTAATGATATAATAACAAAAGATATCCAACAGTGCTGTTTATAATAGCCAATAATTTAAAATAATTTGAAACAAACAAATCATTGGTTAAATATTATGTCACACTTTTGATGAGCTATGTATATCCTGTTTTAACAATGTAAAGCCATATTTAATAAGATGAAGTAAATGTATATATAACTTTTAAGAATTTTTAAAGTTGGCCGGGCGCAGTGGTTCACGCCTGTAATTCCAGCACTTTGGGAGGCTGAGGCGGGCGGATCATGAGGCCAGGAGTTCAAGACCAGCCTGGCCAACACAGTGAAACCCCGTCTCTACTAAAAATACAAAAATTAGCTGGGTGTGGTGGCACGTGCCTGTAATCCCAGCTACTCGGGAGGCTGAGGCACGAGAATCGCTTGAACCCAGGAGTTAGAGGTTACAGTGAGCCAAGATATCATGCCACTGCACTTCAGCCTGGTGACAGTGAGACTCCGTCTCAAAAAAAAAAAAGAATTTTTAAAGTTTATCAGAGTTTGCCTTTGACAAATTTATAAGGGCAGCTAAAACACAAAACAGAGAAAAACTTCAAAATAAGTTAACCAAAGAAATATGCTTTATATAACCTAGAAGTGAACCAAATTTTAAAAAAGGCTGGCCGCGGTGGCTCATGCCTGTAATCCCAGCATTTTGTGAGGCTGAGGTGGGCATGTCAGTTGAGGCCAGGAGATTGAGACCAGCCTGGCCAATATGGTGAAACCCCATCTCTACTAAAAAATACAAAAATTAGTCGAGTGTGGTGGTGCGTGCCTGTAGTCCCTGCTCCTAGGAGGCTGAGGCAGGAGAATCACTTGAACCTGGGAGGCAGAGGTTGCACTGAGCCGAGATTGAGCCACTGCACTCCAGCCTGGGCAACAGAGTGAGACTCTGTCTCAAAAAAATAAATAAATTAATTAATTTTTTAAAAAAAGCTCTGAAAAGCTAATGGAGTAGAAGGGACACTAAGGAAGAGATGAAAAAGCTCTTTGTCCAGAGCAAAGTTGTTGGATGATAAACGGCATTGTTTAAATTTCCCAGCAAACTGTTGTATCTAGAATATATTTTCAATTTCAAGACTAAGAATGCATTTAAAAATTCCTTTTCAGATAGAGTGCTGTGAGTTTTTGTTGGAGACTTCCAGGCCAGGAGCTTGCCAAAACAATGAGTCTGTCTTTGATAAATTATAAGGGCAGCTAGAATACAAAACAGAGAAAAACTTCAAAATAAGTTAACCAAAGAAATATGCTTGAACTATTCCAGCAATTTCCTGACTCTTTTTTTTTTTTTTGAAAACAGTCTTACAACTTTCTAGCTCCAGTATTGTAGGTGGAGGGCCACTGAAATAGAAGGAGAGAATGCAGAAAGATAGCCAGTGAGACCAGCATCTCAATCCCACATGGCCCATTCACTTGCTAAACAGTTTTAAGAAAAGGTCTTCTGTTTCCCTATGCTCTGGTTGCCTTATTTGAAATATCTATTTACTCAAGGTGAGTGACAATTTCTGCTAAAAGAGAAGAGGCCAATGCTGATATTTCTCATCATGATGTTGGCAAGCCTCCAAGGGAGGCTGGTAGAAATTCAGCACGAGCTTGGAGATCCTGCTAAGATGTAAATGATGGTTTCCAAGACTTGGCCCCCCTTTCCCCCCTGGTTTCTCACGCATGGTCATTGGCAAGAGACTTGAGTTTTTCATTATGGTAGGTTTGAAATTGATTATTATTACTTTTGAGACAGAGTATCCCTCTTGTCACCCAAGCTGGAGTGCAGTGGCATGATCTCGGCTCACTGCAACCTCTACCTCCCAGATTCAAGCGATTCTCCTGTCTCAGTCTCCCAAGTAGCTGGGGGCAGTGGCTCACGCCTATAATCCCAGCACTTTGGGAGGCTGAGGCGGGTGGATCACCTGAGGTCAGGAGTTCAAGACCAGCCTGACCAATATGATGAAACCCCGTCTCTACTAAAAATACAAAAATCAGCCGGGCATGGTGGCATGTGCCTGTAATCCCAGATACTTGGGAGGCTGAGGCAGGAGAATCGCTTGAACTCACGAGGCAGAGGCTGCAGTGAGCCGAGACTGCACCACTGAACTCCAGCCTGGGCAACAAGAGCAAGCCTCCGTCCCGAAAAATAAAAAAATCTTGCATATGTTATCACATGTTATTCAGTAATATACTGTCAATGAAGTAAATATGTAAGACTATAAGCCCTTCCTGCACTAACCTCAATGTTAGTTTTGTCTTCTTTTAGATGGGAAATAATTAGAGAAACTTCTTGTGACCACAGAAGACCAGGAAGCTTATGTAGGTCTCAAGCTGTGGAGTGGGGGAAGAGTGTCTTCTAAAATACAAAAGCTTCAGCCTGTGCTAGTACAGATGGTGCAAGATTCCCCAAGCCAAGAAATTAACATAAAAATTAGTTCCAGGTTGTCTGGCAGAAACACTATAAAACCTCACTGGGGGGATACTTCTACAATCCTGTTTTTATAAGATTCCCGGAGAAAAAACAATCTCTGTCAAAGTTACGCTCATACAAAAAAGGTAGTAATAATATAAATGCACAAGGAAATAAACCACCATGAGAGCTGATGCGATAGTAAGAAAAATGAGAACCTGAGCTAAAAGAACAATGTGAAAGAAAATATAAGAACAACAGGCCAGGCACAGCGGCTCACACCTGTAATCCCAGCACTAGAGGAGGCTGACGTGGGAGGATCACTTGAGGCCAGGAGTTCGAGACCAGCCTAGGTAACATAGTGAGACTCCATTTCTAAAAAAAAATTAAAAATAAGCAGGGCATGGTGGTGTACAGCTGTAGTCCTAGCTATTCCAGAGGTTGAGGTGGGAGGATCACTTGAGCCCGGGAGTTCGAGGCTATAGTGAGCTATGATTGTCCCACTGTACTTCAGCCTGGGCTTAGGTGACAGAATAAGACCCTCTCTCAAAAACAACAACAAAACAACGACAACAACAATGACAACAAAACAACATTTTGAAGGATTAAGTTAGTAAAAGATGCAAAAGGAATCATAAGAAAATAATAAGATGCTCTAAATATAGATCAGGTATATCTTCAAAAGAATAAAATGGAACTTCTAGAAATAAAAAATACAGTCATTGAAATTTTAAAATTCAATAGATGAGTTAAATAGAATAATTTGAAGAGACTTCATGAAGTAGCTGACAAAGTTACATCATATGTAATATATAGGAAATGAAATCTATGAAAAAGAAGTTATGAGGCGTGGGGAACAGAATGAGAAATTTCACACACATCTAATATGAATCCCAAAACCAACAATATTAATAACAACATAATATAGGAAGAGTTAATGCTGGAGAGTTTTCATATATATATATATACATATATATACATATTTTTAGATGGAGTCTCACTCTGTCACCCAGGCTAGACTGCAGTGGCACAATCTCGGCTCACTGCAACCTCTGCCTCCCGGGTTCAAGCGATTCTCCTGCCTCAGCCTCCTGAGTAGCTGGGACTACAGGCGCACACCACCACACCCAGCTAATTTTTGTATTTTTAGTAGAGACGGGGTTTCACCATGTTGGCCAGGATGGTCTCAATCTCTTGACCTCGTGATCTGCCCACCTCGGCCTCCCAAAGTGCTGAGATTACAGGCGTGAGCCACCACACTGAGTTTTCATATATTTATGAAAGGAACAAATCCTCTAGGAACCCCAAACAGAATAAATTAAAAATAAAAAGTCTGTGCTTTGAAACATCATATTGATGCCATGGATACCAAAGGGAAATACAAGGTCTTCACAACTACAGGAGAAAGCAAAATATCTACAAAGAAATGCTATTAAATAGAACGTCAAGGCCGGGTGTGGTGGCTCACGCCTGTAATCCCCGCACTTTGGGAGGCTGAGGCGGGCAGATCACCTGAGGTCAGGAGTTCAAGACCAGTCTGGCAAACATGGTGAAACCCTGCTTCTACTAAAAATACAAAAATTAGCCGTGCATGGTGGCCCACGCCTGTAATCCAGGCTACTTGGGAGGCTGAGGCAGGAGAATCACTTGAACATGGGAGGTGGAGGCTGCAGTGAGCCAAGACTGCGTCATTGCACTCCAGCCTGGGCAACAGAGCGAGACGCCATCTTAAATAAATAAATAAATAAATGCTATTAAATAGAATGTCAAATTCCCAAGAACAACTGACAATGATAGACAATGAAATTACATTTTGTTTTTAACTGAGACAGAGTCTTGCTCTGTTAACCAGGATGGAGTGCAGTGGTATGATCACAGCCCGCTGCAGCCTCAACTTCCCAGGCTCAAGCAATGATCCTGCCTCAGCCTCCTGAGTAGATGGGACGACAGGCACACACCAGCCTGCCCAGGTGACTTTTCATTTTTTGTAGAGACAAGGTCTTCCTACGTTGCCCAGCCTGGTCTCGAACTCCTGGGCTCAAGTGATCCTTCCACCTTGGCCTCCCAAAGTGTTGGAATTACAGGCATAAGCCACCACACCTGGCCTGAATGATATTTTTTAAAAGTTTAGGCTGGGTGCAGTGGCTCACGCCTGTAATCCCAACACTTTGGGAGGCTGAGGCAGGTGGATCACATGAGGTCAGGAGTTCAAGACCCCCCTGGCTGACATGGCAAAACCCCATCTCTACTAAAAATACAAAAATTAGCCAGGTGTGGTGGCAGGCACCTATAATCCCAGCTACTTGGGAGGCTGAGGCAGGAGAATCGCTTGAACCTGGGAGGCGGAGGTTGTAGTGAGCTAAGATCGCACCACTGCACTCCAGCCTGGGAGACAGTGAGACTCTGTCTCCAAAAAAAAAAAACCAAAACCAAAACAAACAAATGAAATGTTTAGAGAAAACAATTGTCAACCTAGAATTCTATATCTAGCTAAACTATCACATTAGAGGGAGGACAAAAATAAAGACATTTCAAACAAATAAAGAAAATTTACCAGTCACAAACTCTCATGGAAAAAAATTAAAACAACCCATCTTCCAGGAAGAAGGAAATTTAACTCCAAAAGGAGTGACATGGAAGATGTGACAACACTTGGTCTGCATTACCACACAGCTACAGATGTGTAAATGGATGGTGAATAATGGCCGCCCCCTTTACGTCTGACTTGGGCCTCCTAGGCCAGTACAACCCCCACCTCTCTTTATTGGGTCCTGATACTGAGGCCCTGTGCTAATAGCTATTTGTCATCTTACCTCAACCTGCCAGTCTCACATGTCTATTATCTGCCTAGTTCTGTAGGAAAAAGCGGTGGCTAAGAGTAAGGAGCTTATTTAATACAATCCAGTAGTAAAGCTGAATGGTAAACTGGCAAGAACACTGAACTTGAGGCACAGAAACATGCTTCAGTCTTGGCTGTACCTTATCCAGCAGGGCCACTTTAGGCTAATGGTAATTTCACATTTTATAGGTTTACCCTATTTATCTATAAAGGGATAAAGGAAACATGGAGAGGACTAAAAGCCCTTTGGAAAATATAAAACACTTTCCAGTGTAGGTTTTTTGAGGAGTAGGTTCAATAGCATTTTATCGGGGTCACATTCATCCTGCCATTTGGCTTTTTTCTTTCTTTTTTTTTTCTGAGATTGGTTGGGGTGGGGGTGGGGTGGTCTCACTATGTTGCCCAGGCTGGTCTTGAACTCCTGGGCTCAAGCAATCCTCCTGCCTTGGCCTCCCAAAATGCTAGAATTATAGGCATGAGCCACTGCATCCGGCCCATTTGGCTTTAAATATCTTTCACAAACTGTTCTCATCTTACTTCTCCAGCTAGGTCCCACAGAGTCCCCTGTCCTGGCAGGCAGGTCAACGTCGGCAACATGCTCCCTCAGTGCCCTGGATGAAGTTGTCTCTACCTCAGTGGCGCTTTCTCTTTTCTGTTTCTACATATCCTTCAGGTTCAAGTCCTGATTCCGACTTCAGGCCTGTCCCAACAACCTACAGTCTGCACAGACCTTTTTCAGATGCAGAATGCAGGAGCAACTGCTGAGCTCCTAGTGTTTTGCTGATGAAAGGACCAGGTGATTTCATATATGATGGACCTCATTGATCGTTTTTATAATTTTTTTTCCTTTATCTCACTGGCAAGTATGTAGAGCAATCATTAATTGCTTTTTTTTTTTTTTTTTTTGAGATGGACTTTTGCTCTTGTTGCCCAGGCTGGAGTGCAGTGGCGTGATCTTGGCTCACTGCAACCTTTGCCTCCCAGCTTCAAGCGATTCTCCTGCCTCAGCCTCCCAAGTAGCTGAGATTACAGGTGTGCACCACCATGCCCAGCTAATTTTTGTATTTTTAGTAGAGATGCGGTTTCGCCATGTCAGCCAGGCTGGTCTCGAACTCCTGACCTCAAATGATCTGCCCACCTTGGCAGCCTAAAGTGCTGGGATTACAGGCATGAGCCACTGCGCCCGGCCTAATTGCTTTTAAACTGCTATTGTGGTCGGGCACGGTAGCTGACGCCTGTAATCCCAGCACTTTGGGAGGCTGAGGTGGGAGGATCACGAGGTCAGGAGATCGAGAACATCCTGGCTAAGACGGTGAAACCCTGTCTCTACTAAAAATACAAAAAAATTAGCCGGGCGTGGTATCGGGGGCCTGTATCCCCAGCTACTAGGGAGGCTGAGGCAGGAGAGTGGCGTGAACCTGGGAAGCAGAGCTTGCAGTGAGCCAAGACTGCACCACTGCACTCCAGCCTGGGCGACAGAGCGAGACTCCATCTCAAAAAAAAAAAAAAAAACCTGCTATCGTTCTGATGATCTTCACACAAGTTGGCATGCTACATATCATACTCTACCTTATTCCCCAACTGACTCAAGTTTTCCTTCTCTCTCCGTCTCATGCTTCTCTCATCCTTCTCTCTCCAGTCTGCTAACTGGGGACTTCATGAAAGGTATCTATTACAGTCCTACTGGTGTTTCACACTCTTTGTCAAATAAATATTCTTGTTGAATGTCTAGATGCCCAGAATGCCTAGAATGTTAAAAATATGGCCGGGTGCGGTAGCTCATGCCTGTAATCCCAGCACTTTGGGAGGCTGAGGCAGGAGGATCACGAGGTCAAGAGATCGAGACCATCCAGGCCAACCTGGAGAAACCCTGTCTCTACTAAAAATACAAAAATTAGCTGGGCGTCGTGGTGGGCGCCTGTAGTCCCAGCTACTTGGGACGCTGAGGCAGGAGAATTGCTTGAACCCGGGAGGCAGAGGTTGCAGTGAGCCGAGATCATGCCCCCGCACTCCAGCCTGGCAACAGAGCGAGACTGCGTCTCAAAAAAAAAAAAAAAAAGTAGACTAAAGGGTAAGAGATGAGGAGGAAGGAGGCAGAAATAATGCAAGGAGAAGGATACAGGCAAAATACAGATGGCAATAACAGTGTCAGCCAATCAATTGCAGTTCAAAAATAGGCCACTACACATACATCACACCCACTGAAACCTCACACCCAGCCCTTGAGGTGCATATGCATCCTTACTTACAGAACAGGAACCAGAGATGAAGTAAGTTGCCACATGTCATGCCATTTGTAAGCGACAGAAACAAGATTTGAACCCACTTCCACGTAATACAAAGATCAGGAACAAGCTCTTAGCCATGGGCTAGGCCATTTACTATCATTGAAAATTAAAATACCTTATTAAATGACTTACCATACAAAAGCCTTTAGAACAGTTCAGGCCACATACTAAGTGCCAAGTGTTGAAGCTAAACACACACACACACACATAAATAAATACATATATATTCAGGGAATTCATTTCTTCATTTCTATCTTCAGATCTAGGGTATGAGAACGATGCTGCTTGATTGCTATTTTGTACATTAACTTATAGGCTTGTTAATAATTATGCTTTTAGGAGTAAATATAAACTCCACAGACATAAAGAAGAGAATAATAAACGTGTCTTTTCTAGAATCTTTCATTTGAACCTTGATCCACTTATAAAAGAACAGTTATAGCAACAATATCCATTTTTGGTAATACTTATAATAAAATTCTTTATACTTTTCTCTTCTTTGCAATAAAAAGCATTTGAAACTTTTTTAAGCCTAAAAAGATTAAGCTGCAGTTGCAAAATTTATTTCCTGCATTTATACTAACCACTTCCTTTTTAAAAAAAAATGTTCTCTAAATTGTTATAGTGAACAATTCCTTCAGATGACTACAGTCAGACATTTTAGAAGAAACAGAAACGTGGGGAAGGCACTGAAGATATTAACATGTTCCATAAAGATGTCAACCTAGTACTACAGCAATGGTAACCAAAATATTCAATAGTACAATTCCTTATATGTACAATAACTAAAGTGGTCATTGTGCTAGAGACTGTTTCCCCAAATGGTAAAAAAATTTAACACTCTGCTACGCAGCTGGCTTCACTTAGAATAGAGCCAACTCCATCCTGTTGGCTTCACAGAGTTGGCAACACTGATTCCAACCGAAGAAAACCTAAACTACTAAATTTCGTTTGTTTTCTTAAGATAATTATCAAACTGATCATCATTTAAAGTAAACTCCTTCATTCTTGCTTAAAATTGACAGATTCCTATCTATAACTTTCTTTTTCTCTTTAAAATATTCTATTATAGAATATATAACACATTAAAAATTACATGTGGCTGGGCATGGTGGCTCACACCTGTAATCCCAGCACTGTGGGAGGCCAAGGCAGACGGATCACTTGAGCCCAGAAGTTCAAGACCACCATGGGCAATGTGGTGAAAGCCTATCTCTACTAAAAATACAAAAAATTAGCCGGGTGTAGTGGCGTACGCCTGTAGTCCCAGCTACTCAGGAGGCTGAGGCACGAGAATCACTTGAACCCAGGAGGTGGAAGTTGCAGTGAGCTGAGACGGTGCCACTGCACTCCATCCTGAGCGACAGACCAATACTCTGTTTCAAAAAAAAACAAAAAACCAGAAATGAAATTTTATTTTTTATAATTTACATCACAGAATTCTACTTTAATTCATAAATAACTCAGGATTTCCTATTCTGCTTCACAACAGGGACATCTATATGTAGAATTAAAAAGTTAATCATATTCAAAGCCAAATACTTCGAGAAGTCTGTATACAAAAAATGGAAGGCAAACTCCCAAAGAAACTGATACACTGTTCAGTGCTCATGGTCAGATTTTAACTTAAGTTTTAAAGCATTTCCTCAAATCGGGTTATATAATAAAAACTCCTAATTAGTCAGAAATAAGGAAACCTCTCGCACTGTATAGAGAGCTCTTCTGGCCATCCAGTACTCAGAATTAATTGCAATGAATTAGAATGAAGAGGCACCATTAACTTTTGGTGGAAAACATCGGCTCATAAATTGAGACTCTAGCAGAAAAAGAACCATACAAGTTAAATGAAACTAGACCGATAAGAAAAGGAAGAAATTGTTACTGGCGTTTAAAAAACATAACTTGAACTTAACTAACAATTTCTGCAGCTGTTTGTAACCACTAACTGCAGATTCTGTTAGACAATATCCTATTTTGCATTTAGAAATTATGTAAGAGCCAACAGTCATAAGGCAAGGGAGAATTAGAAAAAGGGAATTATTCATTGCCTGACATGGATGAACTCAGTTTAATGCATGCATTTAGAAAACACTGTTCTCTCTGTTCAGAAATATTAGTTCACATTCCACTCATTTTGATAACCTTTTCCTTTCTCATCCCAATACCACACTAAACCCATTGCTACACTATCAGAACACAAAGATTAGGTGTAGCCTCTCATCCAAGTTTGTATAGCATGGTGTTATTTCAAAGCAGAGTGACAGACAAACTGTGATTTTAAAGTCTTTGTCACCAGAATGCCATTCAAGAGTTGTTTGGGTGGGCAAGTGGGAAAATTCACAATACAGTAAACCAAACATTAGAAAGAAAACAGGCTGGGCACGGTGGCTCACGCCTGTAATCCCAGCACTTTGGGAGGCCAAGGTGGGTGGATCACCTGAGGTCAGGAGATCGAGACCAGTCTGACCAACATGGTGAAATCCCGTCTCTACTAAAATACAAAAATTAGCCGGGTGTGGTGGCAGGCGCCTGTAATCTTAGCTATTTGGGAGGCTGAGAAAGGAGAATTGCTTGAACCCAGGAGGCAGAGGTTGCAGTGAGCAGAGATCGCGCCATTGCACTCCAGCCTGGGCAACAAGAGTAAAACTCCGTCTCAAAAAAAAAAAAGAAAAGAAAAAAAGAAAAAACAAAAGGCAAGTTCCTCAGAGTCAAGGATCGTGTGATTATGTGCTGGCATCTATACCCGCATACCTTGCCAGTAGATAGTCAGTGAACAACGGGCAAGGGAATGAATGGATACATGTGAATACTTCACGACTTAGGAATCCCACCAGTGAGTTACTTTTTTTTTTTTGAGGTGGAGTTTTGCTCTTGCTGCCCAGGCTGGAGTAAAATGGCGTGATCTCGGCTCACTGCAACCTCTGCCTCCCGGGTTCAAGCGATTCTCCTGCCTCAGTCTCCCGAGTAGCTGACATTACAGGCATGCGCCACCACACCTGGCTAATTTTGTATTTTTAGTAGAGACAGGGTTTCTCCATGTTGGTCAGGCTGGTCTCGAACTCCCAACCTCAGGTAATCTGCGTGCCTCAGCCTCCCAAAGTGCTGGGATTTCAGGAGGGAGCCACTGCACTTGGCTGAGTTGCATTTTTTAAAAGATAAGTCCATGAAGTCATAATTCTACTAGAATTCCCTTAAATTTAAAAAAAAAAAAAAAAGGAGGGGGGCAGGTGTGGTGGCTCACACCTATAATCTCAGCACTTTGTGAAGCTGAGGCAGGAGGATCACTTGAGGCTAGGAGTTCAAGACCAGCCTGGGAACACATAGGGAGACCCCGTCTCTACGCTGTGCATGGTGGCATGCCCCTGTGGTCTCAGCTACTTGGGAGGCTGAGGCAGGAGGATCACTTGAATCCACGAGGTTGAGGCTGCAATAAGTTTTGATCACACTACTGCACTCCAGCCTGAGCAACAAAGGGAGAGACCCTGTCTCAACAAACAAACAAACAAAATACCTATTTAATTTAATTTATTTGTCTGTGCTATTGCTCATACAAAACACCTATTTTGGTGTCTTTTTTTTTTTTTTTTTTTTTTTTTTGAGATGGACTTTTGCTCTGTCCCTCAGGCTGGAGTGCAGTGGCGTGATCTCGGCTCACTGCAACCTCCCCGTCCCAGGTTCAAGAGACTCTTCTGCCTCCGCCTCCTGAGTAAGTGGGATTACAGGCATGAGCCACCACATTCAGCTCATTTTTTGTATTTTTGGTATTTTTTTTTCAAGACGGAGTTTTGCTCTTGTCCCCCAGGCTGGAGTGCAATGGCATGATCTCAGCTCACTGCAACCTCCACTTCCTGGGTTCAAGCGATTCTCCTGCCTTAGCCTCCCAAATAGCTGGGATTACAGGCACGTGCCACCATGCCCGGCTAATTTTTGTATTTTTAGTAGAGACAGAGTTTCACCATTTGGCCAGCTGGTCTTGAACTCCTGACCTCAAGTGATCCGCCAGCCTCAGCCTCTCAAAGTGCTGGGATTACAGGCGTGAGTCACTATGCCTGGCCCAAAACAGCTGTTTTAAAAGGGTTCAGAAGGACATACCTCAAGGGGTTAAGAGTAACTACCTCTGAGAAGAATGGCAAAGAATACTTTATCTCGGTGTTTTAATTAATTTTTTTTTACAAGAGTAAGATGCGGACATGGTATAATTTTCCCATGTTCCTTTGCAGTTTCCCTCTCAATATCCCAAAACAGAGAGTAAGGATGTCTAGTCCACCTCGTTGAAAGGGCAGCAGGGGAGCCTGTTTCACCTTCAGCTGAAACACAGGGGTCATGAGCTGCAGGATGACCTATCCCAACATGTACTGCTTCTTGTACAAACCCAGATTAACTAATTCCAAATCACTCGAGCTCATTCAAAGCCTTCAAGTTCAAAACTCTATGACAGCTGCAAAATGTCAAAGAAGAAAAAGAGACTGCATGGTTCCTTGAGTTTTCCCTGCCAATAAAAATTGTTCAATTAAGCTGATTTCCTCTCTTCATTTTTCCTCTAAGGAACATGGCATCCTCATGGCATCCAAATCTGCACTCTTGCCCAGAGATAAAAACTGCTAGCTTTTTCTTATATCTACTTTATACTGTAAACTTACTTTTAATTAAACTGGGTGCCTTAAGGATGACATATACTGTCTTATAAGGGAACTACTAAACATCTGGTCACACGCTGGCATCTAACACAATGCCAAAGCGTACCGAAGTCTGAGCATGGATGTGGATGAATGGAGGTGATTTGAACACAGTGCTGGCCAGGCACATTGGCTCACACCTGCATTGCCAGACTTAGGGAAGCAGAGGTGTGAGGATAGCTTGAGCCCAAGAGTCTGAGACCTGCCTGGGCAACATAGCAAAACCTCGATCACCACAAAAAGTAAAAACAAACAAACAAACAAAACAAAAAAAAAAACAGTGAACACAGTGCTAATAAAAATGTGGTTTCAAAATGTGGTTTCAATCCATATCTGGGCATTAACTCTCAAAAAGAAAAGAAAATCAGGCTTATACCCAGGATCCTAGGTAGTTTAAAAAATGAACGTATGCTTATAGTTCATATCAATTGTATCAAGCACAAGACAAAGTTCACATGTACAAATAAGGCTTTTGTAAGCACAGGCTTACCGTTCCCAGTGCTGTGTGGCTGGCTGCTAGAAAAAAAGGAGGATGCGCTGCTTTGAATACAATTAGATAATTTAATCATTTGCGGGAACTGGGGGAGAAACATTTATGTTAGATTCAGAGACTGTCAGAAATCATAATGGGAGATGACATTAAATAATGATAAGAACTAAAACTGCCTCCAGTTAGCTTGACGCTGACATAAGCCTTCACAGGCAACAAAGTAAAAAACTGACAGAACAGTCAAAGTACTGGGTGTTTTGGGAAATTACAGTGTTTCAAGTCAAATCCAAAGCAAAATAACTTAAGAATTTCAATGTTTAGACATTGCTGCTCCCTCAGCTTCAATGTTTGTGATGCCAAAATTGGGTAATTCATCATATCCTTGGAAAGGAGGTAAGTGGCACTTTCATAAAAATAGCAAAACGATGCTCCCAGTGTAAGAAAAAGTACTAGATCTTTGGAAATATTCAAATAGTTGAGGATAGCAATTCAATTTGGCAGCACAAGTTAAAAGTCCTAAAATCACCTTTGGATTCAGCAAGTGCACTTTTTAAAAGTTAAAACTGCCTTGGATCTGGCCTCAGGGAGAAAAACAAAGAAAAAAGTCATCCTGGAAATTTCTGAACCACAAACAGCCAGAACTCAGAGCATGTGTGGAGTCCAAACCCTAAGTTGAAAACTGACATTAATGCAGCTTGGTAATGAACCCAGGTAATGCCCGCTTCGGGAGAACCCACTTTAAGTCTAGGCCTCCATCACCATAGATTAAAGATCCACGAAACACACATTCATAATTACACACAGTCTGCTCTGAACCTCACAGTTTTCTCTACTACGACTTGTACCTTTTTCTTTTTTTTGAGACAGGGTCTTGCTCTGTCACCCAGGCTGGAGTGCAGTGGTGCGATCACTGATCACTGCAGCCTCCACCTCCAGAGCTCAAGCGATCCTCCCACCTCAGCCTCCTAAGTAGCTGGGATTACAGGTGCAAACCATCACGCTCAGCTAATTTTTAATTTTTTTTTTTTTTTTTTTTTTGAGACTGAGTCTCCCTCTGTCACCCAGGCTGGAGTGCAGCCGTGCGATCTCGGCTCACTGCAACCTCCACCTCCTGGGTTCAAGCGATTCTCGAGTAGCTGGGATTACAGGCACATGCTATCATGCCTGGCTAACTTTTGTATTTTTTGTAGAGATGAAGTTTCACCATGTTGGCTAGGCTGGTCTCAAACCCCTGATCTCAGGTGATCCACCTGCCTCGGCCTCCCATAGTGCTGGCATCACATGCGTGAGCCACCATGCCCGGTCTAATTTTTTGATTATTTTGTAGAAACTGGGTTTCTGTATGTTGCCCAGGCTGGTCTTGAACTCCTAGCCTCCAGCACTCTTCCTGCCTCAGCCTCCCAAAGTGCTAGGATGACAGGTGTGAGCCATCATGCCCAGGTGACTTGTACCTTCTTATATAATTTCTATTTATTTATTTATTTATTTATTTGTTTGTTTGTTTGTTTGAGACAGGATCTTGCTATGTCACCTAGGCTGGAGTGCAGTGGTGCAATCTTGGCTCACTGAAACCTCTGCTTCTTAAGTTCAAGTGATCCTCGCATTTCACCCTCCAGAGTAGGTGGGACTCCAAGGGCACACCACCATGCTAGGCTAATTTTTAAAAAACTTTTTGTAGAGACAAGGTCTCACCATGTTGCCCAGGCTTGTCTCAAACTCCTGGGCTTAAGCGATCCTCCCGCCTTGGCCTTCCAAAGGGCTGGGATTACAGGCATGAGCCACTATACCCAGCTTTATATGACTTCTTATATGGGGGAATTATTTTAGTATAACCCAGAAGTCTTGCTGGTCTATCTTGCAGTTTTACACAGCATCTTCAGGTTTGGATGCAATCACAGTAAGCTTTCTTTTAACAGTGAACTTGAACAATACCGTGAAAAGCATGACAAACAAGCTAAGGCTGGGTGTGGTGGCTCACACCTGTAATCCCAGCCCTTTGGGAGGCCGAGGCGGGAGGATCACCTGAAGGCAGGAGTTCGAGACCAGCCTGGCCAACATGGTGAAACCCCATCTCTGCTAAAAACACAAAAATTAGCCAGGTGTGGTGGCTCATACCTGTAATCTCAGCTACTCAGGAGACTGAGGCATGAGAACGGTTTGAACCCGGGAGGCACAGGTTGCGATGAGCTGAGATTACACCACTGCACTCCAGCCTGGGCAACAGAGCGAGACTCTATTTCAAAACAAAAAAACAAAACAAAAAACAGGCCAGGTGCGGTGGCTCATGCCTGTAATCCTAGCACTTTCGGAGGCTGAGGTGGGCAGATTACCTGAGGTCAGGGGTTCGAGACCAGCCTGGCAATATGGTGAAACCTCGTCTCTACTAAAAACATGAAGATTAGCCGGGTGTGGTGGCAGGCACCTTAATCTCAGCTACTTGGGAGGCTGAGGCAGGGGAATCGCTTGAACCTGGGAGGTGGAGGTTGAAGTGAGTGGAGATCATGCCACTGCACTCTAGCCTGGGCGACAGAGTGAGACTCAAAAAACAGAAAAAAACAAACAAAAAACCAGAAACCAGCCACATGCCATTTGCAAAAGACACATGTAAATATGAGGACAAAGAAAAGTATAAAGTCAAAGTATGGGAAAGATCTGCCAGGCAATGTTAACTTAAAGATATCTGGTTTACATCAGGTAAAATAGACTTTAGGGGATTAAGCTTGACTGGGAAAGGGGGCCACTTTTTATTGATGAAAAATGAAATCACTTGAACATATTACAATTCTAAACTTCATTTGTTTAATAGAATAACTCCATAATAAAAGAGTAAAATAGACAGAACATCAATAATCCTCTACCATTATCACTGTAATAGTTGTAGATCACTGGCAACATCCCATAAATGGTTTTGTGCACCTTTTACATATTAACTCAGTTAATATTCGCATCAATCCTGTTCCTCAGTGTCCCTATTTTATAGACAAGGAAATTAAGACATAAGGATGTTACACATTTTTCTCAGAAAGTGTTAGAACAAGTTGAAAAACAAAATCCTTAATGATAGGAATATTTGGATAAAACAGTAAGTTTGGCCTAATAAAAATACTAGAGAATACATATTATTTTCAATTACTTACAGAATATTTCTAAAAACTGACTGTGTACTAGGGTATAAAACGAATCTCAACAAATAGAGAAGACTCAAACTCATACAGATTTCCCAGGACCATAATGCAATTTAGTTAGAAATCTTGCCAGGTATGGTGGCTCACGCCTGTAATCGCAGCACTTTGGGAGGCTGAGGCGGGCAGATCACTTCAGGTCAGGAGTTTGAGACCAGCCTGGCCAACATGGTAAGACCCTGTCTCTCCTAAAAATACACACAAAAAATTATCCGGGCGTGGTGGTACACACCTGTAATCCCAGGACTAGGGAGGCTGAGGCAGGAGAACTGCTTGAACCCGGGAGGCAGAGGTTGCAATGAGCCAAGATAGCACCACCGCACTCCAGCCTGGGTGACAGAATGAGACTACGTCTCAGAAAAAATAAATAAATAAATAAATAAATAAATATCTGTAACAAAAGTTGAAATATGTCATACATTTGGAAATTTAAAACCATGCTTCTAAATTGATCATAGGTGAGAGATTAAACAGTAAAAGAAAGGACAAATATCTGGAAATGGACAACATTAATAATACCACATACCAAAATATGTGGGATACAGAGAAAACAGTACTTAAGTGGGAAGTCTGTAATCTTAATGTTTATAATGGAGAAGAAGAAAGACTGAGGTAAGCATCTAAAGAAAGAACTTTTTAAAAGGGTAATGGAATAAATCCAAAGGTAATGATAGAAGGAGAAGGAGGGGAATGGGGGTGGTGGGGGAAGAAGTTAAATAAATAGAAAATAAAAATAGAAAAGGGAGGCTCCACAAAGATAAAATCTGATACTAGTAACAATGATTTTAAGGCTGGGCACAGTGGTTCATGCCCATAATCCTAATACTTTAGGAGGCTGAGGCTGAGGCCAACCTGGGCAACATAGTGAGATCCCATCTCTATATACAAAAAATAATAATATAATAAAATAAGCATAAATAATTTCTTAAAAAACGTATCCAGAAAAAAAGAAAAAAGTATTAAAAAAGGTATTAGGAGTAAATAGGGGAGATATATGCAGCAAAAATTAAGGTGAGAACATATTATGGGCAACTTTTTGCCAATAAATTTGAAAATTTATGATGAAATGGATATATTACTATAAAAAGGTAACCCACTAGGATCAACCCAGAAGTAGACAATAAAATATGGAATCCGTAGTTTGTAACTGATTTACGCAAAGAAGTATCATAAAACATTTAAGGGATAGTGAGTTTAATTTTACATATATTATTTCAGAAAAAAGAGCAAACACTCCAAAACTCATAAGTAATGCAAAGTAGAACAGACAAGAAAGGAAAATTATAGATCAATTTCAATGAATACAGACCATTTCAATGAAAAATCTTAAATAAAATATTAATAAATTCAGCTACACATAAAAACATAATACATCATAATCTAGTTGAATTTGTCCCAGGAACACTAATTTGGCTCAATGTAAAAAAAACTGATTAATGTAATTGACCACGTTAATGAATTAAAGGAAGCAGAACAAATATTTAATGATATTCAATAATAAGTCAAGCTTAAAAAAAAGCTCTTGGCAACACAGGAAAAGGAAAATTGTTTAACCAATAAAGGGTATATTAAAATCATTCTTGGCTGGCGCAGTGGCTCATGCCTGTAATCCCAGCACTTTGGGAGGCCGAGGCTGGTGGATCACCTGAGGTCAGGAGTTTGAGACCAGCCTGGCCAACGTGGTGAAACCCCATCTCTACCAAAAATACAAAAAATTAGCTGGGCGTGGTGACGCCTGTAATCCCAGCAATTTGGGAGGCTGAAGCAGGAGAATCACTTGAACCCAGGAGGTGGAGATTGCAATGAACCGAGATTGCGCTAGTGCACTCCAGCCTGGGCAACAAGAGTGAAACTTCGTCCCAAAAAAAAAAAAATCATTCTTAATGGGGAACCTTTTGAAGCACTCTCTTTGCAATCAGGAACAAGCTGAGGAAGTCCACAATGATGACTCAGCAAAACAGAGGGCATAACCAGCAGAGTTAAGATAAGAAAAAATTAACAAAAGGCATGAAGATTGGAAAAGAAATGCAACTATCATTACTTGCTGCTGATATGACCATCTCTACAGAAAAAAACAGAAATGAAATGACAGTTTAGAGGCTGAGTGCTTTTTTTTTTGAGACGGGGTCTGGCTCTGTCATCCAGGCTGGAGTGCAGCAGCAGGATTGTGGCTCACTGCAAACTCTGCCTCCCAGGACCGAGCAATCCTCCCACCTTGGCCTCCGGAGTAGCTGGGACCACAGACATGGGCTACCATGCTCCACTAATTTTTCTGTATTTTTTATGGAGAAAGGGTCTCACCATGTTGCCCAGGCTGGATCTGAACTCCTGGACTCAAACAATCTGCTCACCTTGGCCTCCCAAAGTGCTGGGATTATAGGCATGAGCCCATACACCACACCAAAAAAAAAAAAAAAATTATTTATTTAGAGACAGGGTCATTAGCAGGGTGTGGTGGGCTCCTGTAGTCCCAGCTACTCAGGAGGCTGAGGCAGGAGGATCACTTGAGCCCTGAAGACAGAGGTTGTTGTTAGCCAAGATCACACCACTGCACTCCAGCCTAGGCGATACAGCGAGACTCTGTCTCAAAAAATAAAATAAAATAAAAAATAAAAATAAATAAATAAACATAAAAAATAAAATAAAAAGAGACCATATCTCGGTATCTCTAAAATATATACATATATACTTCTTTTAGCGCGCACACACACACACACACACACACACACATATATGAATGATACATACACTGATTTGCCTCATTCAACATAAAATATCTTTTGAAACTTTGGGCTAATCTAACTTATTTTAATTGAATAACATTTTAAATATTTAACTTTAGCAGCAAATTAATGTCTTTTGGTAAAGTAAGTATCTCCATTTTGAGATCAAATACAGATATTGAGAACACTCCCCTGCTCCTGAGATGGGGTCTCGTTATGTTGCCCAGTCTGGACTCCTGGGCTCAAGCAATCCTCTTGCTTCAGTCTCCTAAGTAGCTGAGTCTAGGGGTATGTGCCACAGCACCTGGCAAGAATATGTATTTTAATATATTTAATAATTTTAGAGAAAGGCATACTAATATTAACGTATACCTAGTCTTTAAGCAAGGAATTTGGCAGAATTTGGCAAATAATAGTTCACACCATTTCCCAACTAAACTCAACTCTAACTGATCTGTCAAAAGCTCAACAAATCTATAAAAACTCAGTGCTTTCACCCACATACAGCATGAAGCTATGAATGCCCAAACAACCATGGGCATCATGAATGAGTCCTTGTTATGTAAAAGCCTAATTTTGTTTACATTGTATTGATGACTTTAATAAAAATAAAATTCAGCTTCTAGGGAAAAAACGCATATTGAGCCACAATGAGAAACAGTATACACTTTATAATATTTCTAGTTGGCAATACAAGTCCATTTAGAGAAAAGCTTTTGAGAGGACTGAAATATGCAAGGCTTCAACTACAACCTCACTGTTATCAACCAGGAGGAATCAATTAGAAGTCAGGCAAGCAGTGAGACTATTGCTCTAAAGGAACCATTATAAGCAGCCAAGCTCTTCCAGATGGCCCTGTCCTGTCTCCTCCGGCTCTCAAGAAATTGACTTTCTCTTTGAAAAGCCATTAAGAGCCACAACCTTCTGGAACGTTGTTCCCAGACTGTTCATAGTCTAAGTCTCCACTTTATCACCCTGGTGACTCAACAGATAAAACGTCTCAAATTCTAACACCGAAGATTCCCCACACTTGAGCTTCTGGTCCCCACAATGGTTGACACAAAATGAAAATGATTCCCCATGTAGCGCCTTTTGTGGCTACATTAGAAATGAGAACTTGGGGATGGGTGGTCGGTGATGAACACTCACAGGGGAAATGAAAGACACACTTGAGCTTTCTTTTGTCTTTTTTTTTTTTTGGCGATAGTTTCGCTCTTGTTACCCAGGCTGGAGTGCAGTGGCGTGATCTTGGCTCACTGCAGCCAACGCCTCCTGGGCTCAAGCGATTCTCCTGCCTCAGCCTCCCTAGTAGTTGGGATTATAGGTGCCTGCCACTGCACTCAGCTAATTTTTGTGTTTTTCGTAGAGATGGGGTTTCACCATCTTGGCCAGGCTGGTCTCGAACTCCTGGCCTCAGGTGATCCGCTCACCTCAGCCTCCCAAAGTGCTGGGATTACAGGCGTGAGCCACCGTGCCCGGCCCACACTTGAGCTTTCACCTCACCTTTTCAACATCCGCTTTTGTGACATTGATGTCAGCGTCCATTTTCTCAAAGTACTGCTGCGCCCTGTCCGCCTCTTTGCAATCGCGTTCAAATCGCCTTTTACTCTAAAATCAGAGGAAAATAATTATGAAACCATAAGAGTCCTACGAGAAGATGTAATTTTATCTAAAGCTCCCAAAGAGCATTGTTCTTTTTCTTTTTTTTTTCTTCAGTCAGGGTCTCACTTTGTCACCCAGGCTGGAGTGCAGTGGCGCCATCTTGGCTCACTGCAGCTTTGACCTTCCCGGCTCAGGTGATCCTCCCACCTCAGCCTCACTAGCTGCTGTGACTACAGGCATGCACCACCATGCCCAGCTAATTTTTGCATTTTTTTGTAGAGACTAGGTTTTGTCATGTTGCCCATGCTGGTCTTGAGCTTCTGAGCTCAAGCAATCCTCCCGCCTCTGCCTCCCAAATTGCTGGGATTACAGGCGTGAGCCAATGTGTCTGGCCCAAGAATACTCTTCTCTGAATTGATTTCTTATATGTCATAATTTCTAGAAGTTATTTTAAAATCTGCATTTATTTCCATCAAAACTGTCTAATCTTTATTATTTCCACGTGACTTTTAGAAAAATACTCAACTTGAGCTCTTTTGGCTCAACTTTAGATAATGGTTCTAGAAACAAATTAAATGAGAAAAATCTATAAAGATGTTTCATTAGTGTTTTTATGTGCATGTTTTTTACTTTCTGATTGACTCAAGCTTAAATTAAATTGAAACTGGAAAATCTATAAAGACATTTCCTAGGCTGGGTGCAGTGGCTCACGCCTGTAATCCCAGAACTTTGGGAGGCCGAGGTGGGCGAATCACTTCAGGGCAGGAGTTCAAGACCACCCTGGCCAACATGGCAAAACCCCATCTCTACCAAAAATACAAAAATTAGCCGGGCATGGTGACGTGTGCCTGTAATCTTAGCTACTTGGGAGGCTGAGGCAGGAGAATCACTTGAACCTGGGAAGCAGAGGTTACAGTGAGCCGAGATCGCACCATTGCACTCCAACCTGGGCAACAGAGGGAGCCTCCGTCTCAAAAAAAAAGAAAAAAAAATCTATAAAGCCGTTTCTTTTGCTGTGCATTGTTCACTTACAGATTCAAGCTGCTTCCAGCAAGTCTCGATGTGCTGCTGTGCTTTACGGCCATCGTGAAAGTTCTGCAAAGGGGAAAACACACTGGTGATTAGTACCCTCTGCTTCTCTTATGAACCCAGGAGGAAACATTTTCATCCACTTAAACAACATCTAAATATTGAACCTCTAGTATGTATGCTCCAAAGAAATTTAAGAGTTGAAAGGGGTAGCCGGGTGCGGTGGCTCACATCTGTAATCCCAGAACCCTGGGAGGCTGAGGAAGAAGAATCGCTTGAGCCAAGGAGTTCAAGACAGCCTGGGCAACACAGTGAGACCCCCCACTCTACAAAAAAATAGAAAAATTAGCTGGATGTGGTGGCACACACTGATAGTCCCAGCTACTCTGGAGGCTGAGGTGGGAGGATCACCTAAGTCCAGGGAGGTTGACACTGCCACATTGAGCTGTGATTGCACCACTGCACTCCAGCCTGGATGACACAGTGAAACTCTGCCTCAAAAAAAAAAAAAAAAAAAAAAGGAAAAGGGAATAAAAAGCTTAATGTGGAAACGAAAACAAGAATAGTCATCACAGATGAAACAAGTTTCACTTGGGGGGAAAAAAAGCAGTCACAGAGTTCCCTTTACAGCTTTAGGTACAACTGTATAAAATTTGAAGACAGGCCAGGCATGGTGGTGAGCACACCTGTAGTCAGTTACTTGGGAGGCTGAGGTTGGAAGCTCACCTAAGCCTGGGAGGTTGAGGCCGCAGTGAGCCGTGATCGTGCCACTGCACTCCAGCCTGAGTGACAGAATGAGACCCCATCTCAAAAAAATAAAATAGGCTGGACGGTGGCTCACACCTGTAATCCCAGCACTTTGGGAGGCTGAAGTGGGTGGATCATGAGGTCAGGAGTTCAAGACCAGCCTGGCCAATATGGTGAAACCCCATCTCTACTAAAAAGACAAAAATCAGCCAGGCGTGGTGGTGCGTGCCTGTAATCCCAGCTACTTGGGAGGCTGAGGCAGGAGAATTGCTTGAACCTGGGAGGCAGAGGTTGCAGTGAGCTGAGATCGTGCTAATGCACTCCAGCTCTGGGCAACAGAGCAAGACTCGGTCTCAAAAAATAAAAAAATAAAATAAAATTTGAAGACATATATGCCACTTGGAAAAACGACAGGAATGTTTTAAGACAGCGATCGCTTCATCTTTTTTAACTGCTTTGAGATATGATTCAGATATGATCTGATTTACCATTTAAACTAAGCAATTCACAAAACTGTACAACCATCACCACGACCAATTTTAGAATATTTTTATCACCCCTAAAAGAAACCTGTACCCACTAGCCGTCACCCTCCATCTTCCTCAGCCCTAGGGAGCCTGTTTCTGTCTGTGGATTTGTTTATTCTGGCTGTTTCCTATGAATGGAGACATGGTCTGAGGCCTTTGGTAACTGGGATGTGTTCATTATCTCCTCATATCCACTTCGCATGATTTCAAGGTCGACATTGTCACATGTATCAGTACTCCATTCTTTTTTATTGCCAAATGATTATTCCATCATGTGGCTATCCCACATTTTGTTTATCCATTCAACAGTTGATAGACATCAGAGTTGTTTCTAGGTTTGGGCTATTATGAAAAATGCGGCCAGGCCAGCACTTTGGGAGGCAGAGGTGGGCGGATCACGAGGTCAGGAGTTTGAGACTAGCCTGGCCAACATGGTGAAACCCTGTCTCTACTAAAAATACAAAAACTGGCCGGGCGTGGTGGCGTGGACCTGTAATCTCAGCTACTCCGGAGGCTTAGGCAGGATAATTGCTTAAAACCTAGGGGGCTGGAGGTTGCACTGCACTGAGCCGAGATCGCGCTGCTGTACTCCAGCCTGGGTGACAGATCAAGACTCCATCTCAAAAAAAAAAAAAAAAAAAAGAAAAAGAAAAAGAAAAAGAAAAAGAAAATTGCTGCTATAAACACTTGAGTAAGAGTTTTGAGTGTTTTGTGTGCATGGCTGTTTTCATTATTAGATTATTTTAAATATAAAGATAAATTTCCCTCCTGGCCATCTGCAAAGGCCCTGAGGCAGGCTCTGGTGTGGTGTTAACCTGGCGGCCAGATCTGGAGGAGCCTCGGGGAGAATATCATATGAGGTCAGAGAAGAAAGAGGGAGTTGTATAGGGTCTTGTAGGCTTTTTTGCCTGAATGAACCAGAGTCGATGAGTAACTCTAAGATGTTGTGAAGGAAAGATTTCAGATGGTGGGAGGCTTTTGTAACAATCCTGGAGATTACTGCAACTTGGACAGGTTGTAGGTAGCGAGCAGTGCAGGTGGTGAGAGGGGTCAGGTTTTGGGCACCTTTTGATCACCCAAACTTCCAGGATTTTCTGGGAGATAAGATGAGATGTGCAATAATGAGCTGCCCAGGGTGACTCCGAGGTTGTCAGTCTGAGCTTTAGGAGAAGGAAGACTGAGAGAAGTGGGTCTGAGGAGGAAGATCATACACGTAGTTTCACATGTGTTAAGGCTGATATTTCTATGAGACTCCCAAGTAGAGAGACTAGCCGAGCGTGGTGGCTCATGCCTGTAATCCCATCACTTTGGGAGGCCAAGGTGGGCGAACCACCAAAGGTCAGGAGTTCTAGACCAGCCTGGGCAACATGGTGAAACCCCGTCTCTACTAAAAATACAAAAAGTAGCCAGGCATGGTGGCGCATGCCTGTAATCCCAGCTACTCGGGAGGCTGAGGCAGGAGAATCACTTGAACTGGGAGGCGGAGGTTGCGGTGAGCCGAGATAGTACCATTGTACTCCAGCCTGGGTGACAGATAGAGACTCCATCTCAAAAAAACCCCCGAAAAACAAACAAACAAACAAGTAGAGAGACTAATATGTACTTGGACTTGTGGATCTGAGCTTAGGGAGCGGTCTGTACTAAAGACCAGTTTGGGAGTCTTCAGTATAAAGTGGATAGTTAAAGCCAGGAGACCAAAGAAGACAAAGATCCCAAGGAAGGAAGTGCTAGAAATATGCAGAAATGTTAAGAGAATGGTGTCTTTTTTTTGTTCAGTGACCTAAAATCACCAGTTCCCTAAATCCTTTATATATTTTATTTTTTGAGACGGAGTCTTGTTCCGTTGCCCAGGCTGGAGGACAGTGGCGTGATCTCGGTTCACTGAGACCTCTGCCTCCCTGTGACCTCTGCCTCCCGGGTTCAAGTGATTCTCCTGCCTCAGCCTCCCTGGTAGCTGGGAATACAGGTGCGACCCACCACGCCCAGCTAATTTTTTGTATTTTTAGTAGAGACAGGGTTTCACCATGTTGGCCAGGCTGGTCTCGAACTCCCGGCCTCAAGTGATCCGCTTGCCTCGGCCTCCCAAAGTGCTGGGATTACAGGCGTGAGCCACCGTGCCCGGCCCCTAAATCTTTTAGTATCCTTCCACACTGTACCATCGCTGACTTGGTCAATGTCCTGCAAATTTCCCAGGTGCATTCTCCACCCTGTCTGGGTCCCCAGAGACTGACATGCAGGGATCTCATGAACCCTTGCCCTCTGGTTCTGATGAGATTTGCCACAAGGATGTTCTGAGTGATCAGAGGGCAGGAAACTGTACCTGCAGCTTCTCCTCACTGAGATGATACAGGTTGGCTGGGTCCTTGGACCAAAGGGCACAGCTCCAGTCAGGCAGTGCCCCGCATGCAGCTAACCTCAGAAGTTCCTCATCTGTGAAATTCCTGGAAGGCTCCTCCAGCCCTGTGAGGCCTGGGGGCAACATCAGCTCCCCACTGTGACTTGCTCCAGGGTACTGAACCATCCTCACTGCTTTTCCTAAACTCTATCCGCCACGTTGTAAATGCTCCTTTTAATAACCGACCTTCCTTCAATTACTGAGTTTGAATGTGCTGTCTGTTTTCTGGCTCACAAGGTAAGCATTGGTGTTAGGGGTGCACTGCAGAGAAGGTCAGGTGAAGGAAGGATAAAAACAAAGAGGTCCACTAGGTAGAGCCTCGGAGCTTTTCCCGTACCTCGTCAGAACCTAGGATTTAGCGGAGTCAGAAAATGGAGCTGACAACTGGAAAGGCTGGGAAGGCAGAGACAACATCAGATTTAGAACAGTGCTCCTTTATAAGGGAATGTTTTCTTGTCTCTCTTTTGAGGTCGAGTTTCACTGTTTTAAGCGCCTCTTTGCAGTCAGTTTTATCTATCCAGCAATTTTTTGGTCTCTGCAAACCCAGGGGGAGCCCCTTGGGGCTTCGTTTTTCAGCTCTTGTAATGGACATAAGGATAGAACAGAAAAGAAGGGATCCAGGCTGTGGGAGAATTAAGAAGTAGAGCCAAGGACAGGGTTAGGGAAACTCTGGACCTTAGTGGAGAACGTATAGAAAATACAAGCGGGTTTTCTGAAAGCCACGCTTTCAGGGAGGACCCCCCAGAGACCAGAGCGTCAATTTCAAACCATCTGGGCTCAACTGTGCCCTTTTTGGAAGGCACCTCTGGTCCTGAAAGTCTTTATCGGGTGACTTCTCTGCGAAGAGAAAGATCCCATTTCCTAAGCCGGAGCACCGAGTTACGCAGTTTGCTGAAGAGATGCAGCCGCTCCCAAAAGTTTTACTTTGAGATTCAAAGACAGGAACAAAAAGAGAAAACCCCAGCACCAATTCAGAGCTGTACTCGAGGTTGACGATCTATCTCTCCAGCACCTCTGAAAGTGAATGTTTTAACAAAGTGAAAGCTCCCTCCAGCTTGGGGCAATGCTGTGGGTGGAGACAGGAAATGCACAGAAGCCCAGCAGACAATGACAGGCATTGCCTGGGACATGTCACCTGACTTTCATATAAAATAAATCTCTGAAGACAAGAGTCTTAAAAAAAAAAGTCTTATTTTAAAAACACGAGGGATGATTTTGATTGAAAAATCCATAGAGTGGTTCCCTTGCCACTCCTTAGTGTAAATATATAATAAATATGCATTTGTGTTTAAGGCACGGTGTGCACCTTGAATTTACTGGTAAGTTATCTCTCATGAAGACTGCTCAGCCACACCTCTCCCCACATTATTAAACCACTACCTGAAAACTGCAATTATCATCGTACCATTTCATGGGGCTTAGGAGATTGTGGGTGATGCCCATCTTCCTTCCTTCCAGCCTTTTTTTTTTTTTTTTTTAAAAAAACAAGTCTCTGTCACCCATGCTGGAGTGCAGTGGCACAATCTCGGCTCACTGCAACTTCCGCCTCCTGGGTTCAAGCAATTCTCCTGCCTCAGCCTCCTGAGTAGCTGGGACTACAGGCATGCGCCACCACGCCCGGCTAATTTTTGTGTTTTTAGTAGAGACAGGGTTTCACCATGTTGGCCAGGCTATCCTCGAACCCCTGACCTCAAGTGATATGCCTGCCTCAGACTCCGAAAGTGCTGGGATTACAGGCATGAGCCACCATGCCCAGCCCCAGCCTTTTTCACAGTACCTGTCCCTCTATCATTTATTTGGCCATAACATACGAAAAACTATCCGTGCTGGGGGATCCTTCAGGAAATTAAGGGAGGGAACAAAAGCCCTCCTTTGTGCTCTGTGCCTACCATGACCTGAATAGCTGGGGTTTGTTTCTAGCTCTATCTTCGCTGCTTTCACCGGAAAAGCTATTTTAACAGTTACAAAGTTAAACAAATAAACCAGCTTTGCCAGATGTATTTGTTGTTTACCAACAATGGCCGAACATTTCTTTTCTGGACAGTGAGCAAGTGTGTGTCTAAAAAGTGTGCCTGCAAGCACTAAAGAAGGAGGAATTGTTCTCCGGACAAAGATAAAAAGTGCTTCTTTTGGAGCCATAGAATGAAGTCATCACAGCTCCTTTCTCTCCTATCAGAAAAGAGACAGGAAATGCCATCTCTAGAGACCCAGAGAAATGCTTCTTACTTTCTGCTGTCATAAGATGCTTTTAGTTTCTTTTAAAACATAATAATAAGCTAAAACAAACAAACAAACAAAAAAACCCAAACCCTAATAGTTTCTGGGGTGACAGCTACACTTACTTATTTCAACTTTTTAGTTGAAATAAAAGTCTACACAGATCAAATCACCCTTCAAATTTTTTAAAGAAATTTCCCAGTGAACAGAGGTGGCTGAGATTAAAAAAAAAAAAAAATCACAGAGAATCTAAAATAAGCAAGCATTAACTTTAAGAAAAACGACAATGGCAAAGCTTTTGAGACAATTTTACTGAACTGCAAGAAATCACAGACAGAACAGACAAACTCACACAAATGCTATGAGAATGTTTAGTATTCACACTGCAATTAGGTACAACAGCTGCTCATTTTTGCTATTTATATAGATATTAAACCATTAACAGTTAAAAGAGCAAAATATGGCACTGATGTGAGAACAGCCCTTTCAAAAAAAAAAAAGTAGAAAAAAACATAAGAATAAACACTCAACTGAGAACAGTCAACCATCTGGAATTTTAAATAAAACTCAGATTCCACAGATGCAAACAAAGAAACAAAAAGACTTGAAAAGGGCAAAGAAAGAGGGAGCTTCCAGCAAACATGCCTGTGACAAATCCTGTTTCCTCTAAACTCACAGCGTAGTAGTGGGTTTGAACAGGAGCAGCTTCCAAGTCTGAATCAGGACTCCCAGTTTTAATTGAGCTAGAACTCTAAGCGGCGTGGATATTTCTATGGACCATGTGGCGTAATGGCAAAACGCCTTAGTCCTGTTCAAGTGGGTATGTCGTACCCCACTTAAAACCCAAACCAGAAACCAGAAACGTTCACTAAGGGACACACATTCTATTTTTACTTAGCAAGGCTTATTTTTCCAAGTTTATCCATAGTAAAAATACCTTCTTAATGAACGTGTTCGAAGTTTTCTAAATGCCTACCTCTCAGAGGCATGCTCAGTTGCTTGACTTTACCCGTAACACTGAGCAGCATGAGGCAATGGGCCAGGGTCAGGCCTAAGCAGCAGCATTTTCCCTCCCTCCTTCTCTGGCTACTCCTCTGCTCACTGTTCCTCGGTTATTCTCACCCAGAAGGCTCCACATGCAGCAATGATCTTTTATCTGTTTTTCAAAGCAATCCTGTCTTCACATTCCTTGAAATTCGCATCCCTAGGCCGCAATCCCAGTACTTTGAGAGGCCGAGGCAGGGGGATCGCTTGAGGCCAGGAGTTTGAGACCAGCCTGGGTAACATGGTGAAACCCCATCTCTCTTAAAACACACACACACACGCGCGCGCGCGCACACACACACACACATAGAAAGAAAAAGAAAAGAAGAAAGGGAAGGAAGTGAAGGAAGGGAGGGAAGGGAGGGAAGGAGGGAGGGAGGGGGGAAGGAGGGAGGGAGGGAGGAAGGAAGGAAGGAAGGAAGGAAGGAAGGAAGGAAGGAAATCAATCAAGAAATCTTAATTCCTCTCATGGAATGGCTCATTTTCTTGCCTGATCCCTTCTGAGGATATAAAGCTGTTACTTGCAGCATCTGATACAGAGAATCTCCCATCAATAAGATTTTTAGATAGAGTGCCAGGGTGATCATCCCATGCTCACTGACATGCCCACTTGTGAACAGGGCTGCTCCAGGCACGAGGAAAGCTGTGTAAACAAAACAAAGTCCCCTGTCCCAGTGAAACTGAGTGGATCCAGAAGTAAGACAAACAGGGTAAAGGAATAAGGAGGGATGGGTGTAGGTGAAGGTAGCTATTTTAGACAAGGGCAGTCTGGGATGACATTTGAGTAGAGACTTGCATAAAACGTGGGAGTGAACTTACAAGGGTCTGAGGAATACCCTCCAAGCCGCAGGCAGAGCAAGTGCAGATGCTCTGAGTGTGAAGGGGCTTGCCCTGTTTGAGGAACAGCTGGATGCCAGTGCCACTAGACCAAGGTAAAGGGCACAGGGACGGAGGGCAGGCAGGGGCTTGACCATGGACAGCCTCACCAGCCACGGTAAGCATGTTGGAAGATTTAAGAAAGGAAGTGACAGCCGGATGCAGTGGCTCACGCCTGTAATCCCAGCACTTTGGGAGGTCGAGATGGGCGGATCATTTGAGGTCAGGAGTTCGAGACCAGCCTGGCCAACATGATGAAATGCCGTCTCTACTAAAAATACAAAAAAAATTAGCTGGGCATAGTGGCACACACCTGTAATCCCAGCTACTTGGGAGGCTGAGGCAGGAGAATTGCTTGAACCTGGGTGACGGAGGTTGCAGTGAGCTGAGATCGCACCACTGCATTCCAAGTCTGGGTGATGGAGCGAGACTCCGTCTAAACAACAACAACAACAACAACAACAACAACAAAAGAAAGGAAGTGACATGGCCTGATCTACATTATTTCAATGTCAAGCTGGCTGCTGCAGGGGGAGGCTGTTACACTTGCACTCTCTCTAAGGGAGAGCTGGTGGTGGCTCTGACATGGAGATGGACAGTTGGACCACTGGCCACAGGGTAAGCATGGAAGCAGAGAAATGAATTAGGAGGCTCAGCAGAGTCCTCTAGATGAGAGATAATGAGGCACAGGACTGGGGTAGATGTGGAAGAGGGGTGAGAAGTGCTTGGACTCAGAACATTTACTGAAGGCAGAGCCAGCTAGACTTGTTAACAGATAAGAGATGGTGTGTAAGAGAAAAGAGAAAAGCTCTGGGTGACTATGTGTTTGGCCAGAGCACCTGAGTGTAAGAAAAGGTGTCCCATTTATTGAGAACTGGAGGGAGTGCAGACTGGAATGGAACATGGATAAGGACTTTGGGGGATCAGAAGTTGGTTTTGGGGCCGGGAGCGGTGGCTCACGCCTGTGATCCCAGCACTATGGGAGGCAAAGGCAGGCAGATCAGCTGAGGACAGGACTCCGGGATCAGCCTGGCCAATATGGCAAAATCCCGTCTCTATTAAAAATACAAAAATTAGCCAGGCGTGGTGGCGGGTGCCTGTAATCCCAGCTACTTGGGAGGCTGAGGCAGGAGAATGGCTTGAACCGGGAGGCGGAACTTGCAGAGAGCCGAGATAGCGCCACTGCACTCCAGACTGGTGACAGAGTGAGACTCCGTCTCAGAAAAAAAAAAAGTTTGTTTTGGGGTGGGCTAACAGGGTCACTGCACTACACCACTCTGGAGCCATCATTCACACTTGCTGGACTCCAGTCCTCTGCTGACAAAGGTGCAATGGTGATGCTGTATTAGGCATCTAAGGAGAGATGTCAAACAGGTGGCCGAACAAGAATCATGTGAGATACGAAATGTGAGTCAAGTAATTCTCACAATTCCCAGAAGAAAAGGAAATCATTAATTCTAGCTTGCAAAGGAGAAACACAAAATCCAAGATCACATTTCAAGCCCATGAAATGAAGAAAAGAATTTGAGTGTCCTGTTTACTAAGTATGTTATCCCATGAATGATAAAATTTAAAAAGAAATTTTTTTTTGAGATTGGGGGGTGGATCTCACTATGTTGTCCAGGCTGGTCTTGAACTCCCCGGCCCTGAGCAATCTTCCTGCCTCAGCCTTTCAGGTAGCTGGAAAACTTTTTTTTTTTTTTTGGCGGGGGGGTCACCAGACCAGTGGTTTTGCAGGTGAAACAACCACAGTGGTGAAAGGGCCCACTTTTAATGAACAGAATGCCACTTTTACATGTTCTTTCAAAACAAAGAAGATGGCTGGGCATGGTGGCTCATGCCTGTAATCCCAGCACTTTGGGAGGCCGAGGCAGGCAGATCACCTGAGGTCAGGAGTTTGAGACCAGCCTAGTCAACATGGTGAAACCTCGTCTGTACTAAAAATACAAAAATTAGCTAGGTGTGGTGGCAGGCGCCTGTAATCCCAGCTATGGGGGAGGCTGAGGCAGGAAAATTGCTTGACCCTGGGAGGCAGAGGTTGCAGTGAGCCGAGATTGCACCATTGCACTCCAGCCTGGGCAACAAGAGCAAAACTCCGTCTCAAAAAAAAAAAAAAAAAAAAAATCAGAAATGGACTTGTAAGTAGCTAGATTATATACATAAACTCCTTTTAGTTTTTGCTTTCCTTCATGCTAAGCTTTACCTATTTGCTGTCATCTCTTATAACAACATTTTGTTTTCCTAAATGTATTGGAGTCAGTCCATGCTGCAGAACTGGCTTATAGGAAATTAAGCCCCTTCATAAGATCCATAAATAGGACCTATTGAATATCTAACTTTGAAAAGAATGTTATAGGTTTTAGTGCAGTATCCATTTTCAAACATTTCAGAAACCTCGCGAGTAGTTTTAAATGGTCAATTCTAAGTAATGTGGAGTCTGTAAGCATACAGGTCTGAGGTTTATAAACATTTTAGTGAGTCACTGAAAGTATTGTATAATTGTTTCCTCTAGAACTCTTCAGATAACTGCTGCCAAAAAGTGATTCTGCTTCTGGCCAACACTTTGTGAGTAATGAACCATATTTTCCACCTGCAGGGAGAAGTTTTCTTGGAATTCCAGAAAATGTTGGCAAGAACCTCCTGGTTCTCCTTCTGGAGCTATAAATCTTCACAAATTTCTCATATATGATTAGTGGTAATCGCTGTGGAAAAGCCCAGACGTACTCAAAGGCTGCAGCTACACCAAACAACCTCTAAAACTCTTTTCTTCAATAACTTGACTCAATGTTCAAAAGTTGCTGATAAGAGTACATTTACAGTAGTTCTTATGGAGGAATATATGTGTTATCAACTCTGAATTACCCACATCTCAGATAAGCTAATTCCACACCCATGTTGATCATTTCAGTGACATTTGGAAATCTATCTATAAGTCTGTAAATCTATTGATAATTCTATCTGTAATTCTACTATAATTATCTGAACATAAATTATCAGAGTTTTATCAAGAACCATAAATCATGTATGTTTAATCATGTATGCTTTGACCTCACAGTCTCACTTCTGGGAATTTAGTTTGGGGAAGTAATCTCAGCCCACACACAATGCAAACAGCTTTGGAAGTAAAGAGTTTACTGCTGTATTGTTTACACAACTAACTAAGTAAATGAGTCAAAAACTGGTAATACCCTATAAATCAAACAATACACAATTAGGCAAATTATAACTTTGTTAGAACAATGCACAGCTACTAAAATTCCAAATATTTTTCTTTCTTTTTTAATATCTCTTCCAATAACTTTGAAAAAATTCCAATTATTTAAACTACACTTTTGGCCAGGCACAACGGCTCACTCCTATAATCCCAGCACTTTGAAAGGCCGACGCGGGAAGATTGCTTGAGCCCAGGAGTTCAAGACCAGCCTGGGCAACATAGCCAGCCCTATCCCTAAAAAAAATTAAAAAAAAATTTTTTTTTAAATCTAAAAACAAAAACGTATACTTTTTGAGGTAGAAACATGGAAAATGCTTACAATATTAAATGGAGAATCAAGAAGAATATAAATTATAGCTATAGTAGGATTAATATTCCTAACTTTTTTTTTTTTTTTTTGAGGTGGAGTCTCACTCTGTGGCCCAGGCTGGAGTGCAGTGGCGCGATCTCGGCTCCTTGCAAGTTCCGCTTCCCAGGTTCACGCCATTCTCCTGCCTCAGCCTCCTGAGTAGCTGGGACTACAGGCACCTCCCACCACGCCTGGCTAAGTTTTTGGGTTTGTTTTTTTTTTGTATTTTTAGTAGAGACAGGGTTTCACCATATTAGCTAAGATGGTCTCGATCTCCCGACCTCATGATCCCCCTACCTCGGCCTCCCAAAGTGCTAGGATTACAGGCGTGAGCCACTGCGCCTGGCCTTTTATTTTATTATTTTTTTTAGACTGAGTCCTGTCTGTCACCCAGGCTGGAGTGCAGTGGCGCGTTCTCGGCTCACTGCAACCTCTGCCTCCTGCATTCAAGCAATTCTCCTGCCTCAGCCTCCCGAGTAGCTGGGATTGCAGACATGCACAACCAAGCCCAGCTAATTTTTGTATTTTTAGTGGAGACGGGGTTTCACCATGTTGGCCAGGCTGGTCTCAAACTCGCCACCTCAAGCAATCCACCCGCCTTGGCCTCCCAAAGTGCTGGGATTACAGGCATAAGACACTGCGCCCAGCCAATATTCTTAAATGTTATACATATCTGCAAATGATATCAGGAAGAAAGCTTTGAAAAATGAGGATTTTTGATTTATAAGGGATTGTGAGATTTTGTCCTTTAATTCCGTTTTAGTAATATTCTTTTTATATGCACCCCAAGGACTGGCCACTGATTCCATTATGTCTAAAGAGATGGCGAACATCTCACTGAAAATGCAATTGCCCTAAGTGGAACCCACTAGGTGAAGAAGCTATAGGACCTCCTTGTCCAGGGCTTCCAGGACTGCTCATGTTTTCCTAAAGAGACAGATGCAGGCTCAGATGTCAGGCAAGGAAGAACCTAAACTGCTAAGTTCTTGCAGGGGAGAAAGGTTCTCTTTTTAGTGAATCTGCTTTTTGTTTTGTTTTGTTTTGTTTTGAGATGGAGTCTCACTCTGTCACCTACGCTTGAGTGCAGTGGTGCAATCTTGGCTCACTGCAACCTCCGCCTCCAGGTTCAAGCAATTCTCCTGCCTCAGCCTCCTGAGTAGCTGGGATTACAGGCGCACACCACCACACCCAGCTAATTTTTTTTTTTTCTATTTTTAGTAGAGACAGGGTTTCACCACGTTGGTCAGGCTGGTCTGGAACTCCTGACCTTTTGATATGCCCACCTCCGCCTCCCAAAGTTCTGGGATTACAGGTGTGAGCCACCGCGCCTGGCCGTGAATCTGCATTTTTTAAAAACCAACATTTTCACCAAAATGAGCCTACAGTTTTGTTCATCAGGAAAAACAATGGATATTCATAACATTAAAATGAACTGCGTTGTGATACAAAAATACAGTATATGTGCAGAATAAAAAGCATCTTTTCTCCTAGATACTTAAGTAGAAGTAGTAATCCTATTTTACAGTTAGATTTTTGTTTTTTGTTTTTTTTTAAGACAGAGTCTCACTCTGTCACTCAGGCTGGAGTGCAGTGGTGCGATCTCAGCTCACTGCAACTTCTGCCTTTTGGAATCAAATGATTCTCCTGCCTCAGCCTCCAGAGTAGCTGGGACTACAGGCACATGCCACCACGCCTGGTTAATTTTTGTATTTTTAGCAGAGACAGGGTTTCACCATGTCGGCCAGGCTGGTCTCAAACTCCTGACCTCAGGTGATCCACCTGCCTTGGCCTCCCAAAGTGCTGGGATTACAGGCGTGAGCCACTGTGCCCATCCTACAGTTAGATTTGAAGACTTAAAGATCAAACAGCTGGTAGGGCTACAAAGGCAAGAATGCCGTACAACAAAAAGGAAGGAAACATCGTCTTTGCACAGAGAGCCATTTTTCATCACGCTTACCCTTGTCAGAGATTCATCCATTTAAACACAGCAAAATGTAGATAAAAAGTAATTTTCAACCAGTATTGTCCACTGAACTTGGACATTCTTTCTATATGCAGTAATGAGATCCAGCACTAATCCTGTAAATTCAAAATCATCCCTTTGGGCAGCCAGGATTCTGCCGCTGTATCAAATGGCCCAATCTGTACTGTGCTGATGGTTAAGGATGGTACTTAAGTAAGGCATTATTTCTAGTCAGCCACGAAAAATAGTAGCTGGGTCTAAAATGTTAAAAGCAGCTTCTTGTTTCCTATGCCATCAACCAATTCCACATTTTATTTATTTATTTATTTTTCGAGATGGAGTCTTGCTCGGTCGCCCAGGCTAGAGTGCAGTGGCACAATCTCAGCTCACTGCAACCTCTGCCTCCCGGGTTCAAGCGATTCTCCTGCCTCAGCCTCCCAAGTAGCTGGGATTCCAGGTGCCTGCCACCACGCCCAGCTAATTTTTATATTTTTAGTAAAGATGGGGTTTCCCCATGTTGGCCAGGCTGGTTTCGAACTCCTGGTCTCAAGTGATCCACTCGCCTCGGCCTCCCAGAGTGCTGGGATTACCACTTCAAGTGAGCCACTGTGCCTGGCCCAATTACACATTTTTAGAAAGGTCATTTTAAAATCACTGAACAACTACCGTATGACACCTGCTCACAGAAGGCCTAAACATGCTCCGTTTTCTTTTTCTTTTTTTTTTTTTTGAGATGGAGTCTCACTCTGTCACCCAGGCTAAAGTGCAATGGCATGATCTCCGCTCACAGCAACCTCTGCCTCCCAGGTTCAAGTGATTCTCCTGCCTCAGCTTCCCGAGTAGCTAGGATTACAGGCACGCGCCACTGTGCCTGGATAGTTTTTGTATTTTTAGTAGAGACAGGGTTTCGCCATGTTGGCAAGGCTGGTCTTCAACTCCTGGCCTCAGGTGATCTGCCCACCTTGGCCTCCCAATGTGCTGGGATTATAGGTGCTCCGTTTTCTGTAACAAGCCCTGATCGAGAAGCTCTGGGATGGAAATGAGATTCTGCATTAAGTAACAGAATGATTACAGCAAGAGAAACTGGATATGCAGCATCTATTTATCAGTATACTGGAACGTTGTGCTGGGAGGTTCATATTTGTCTTCTCATAATTGTCCCCACAACTTCCTAAGGTGGCTATAATCAGCCTCAGCTTACAGATTCCTAAGTGTATGCTCATAGAGTTTTCATAACCTGCCTAGGGCAGGGCTGCCAGGAATCCTGAGCAGGGTTGTTGGCTGGAAAGCTTGCATCCTTTCCTCTCGCTGCCCACCACCAAGCAGGGGGCTCCAGCTCTGTGAACACAGAACTTATGTGGCCTCTCCCTGTCTTTTAAGACAGACCTGAAGCATGCTGTCAGCCCCTCATCACAGCATAGTGGGAAGGCGACTGAGTCTGGCCTCAGAAAACCTGGATTTGAGCTCTAACTCTGTTATGCTGTGTGCGCCAATAATTAACCTCACCAGAAGACAGAAATGATAGCATTCCACTGTTGTTTTAAGAATCATCCTTACAATAAAATAGTGTTTACTAAGTCAAGTCAGGGTAGCCAAAAGTAAAAGCTCTAAAGGAGAAATGTTGGTTATTACGAGAAGGTCTTAAATAGCTCCTTTTCTTCTTTTCTTTTCTGTTTTTTGTTTGTTTGTTTGTTTTTTTGAGACGGAGTCTCACTCTGTCGCCCAGGCTGGAGTGCAGTGGCGCGATCTCGGCTCACTGCAAGCTCCGCCTCCTGGGTTCACGCCATTCTCCTGCCTCAGCCTCCCAAGTAGCTGGGACTACAGGCGCCCGCCACCATGCCCGGCTAATTTTTTTTTTTTTTTTTTAGTAGAGACGGGTTTCACCATGTTGGCCAGGATGGTCTCGATCTCCTGACCTCATGATCCGCCTGCCTTGGCCTCCCAAAGTGCTGGGATTACAGGCATGAGCCACCGCGCCTGGCCTCTTCTTTTTTTTTCTTTTTTTTTTTGAGACAGGGTCTCACTCTGTCACCCAGGCTAGAGTGCAGTGGTGCCATCTCAGCTCACTGCAACCTCCGCCTCCCAGGTTCGAGCAATTCTTGTACCTCAGCCTCCTGAGTAGCTGGGATTACAGGCATGCACCATCATGCCCAGCTAATTTTTTAAAATGTATTTTATATTTTTAGTAGAGAAGGGGTTTCATCACGTTGCCAGGCTGGTCTCGAACTTCTGACCTCAAGTGATCTGCCCGCCTCAGCCTCCCAATTGCTGGGATTACAGGCGTGAGTCACCGCGCCCAGCCAAACAGCTCTTTTTCTAAGACTAGCTGCAGATGAGGATGTTCATACTGTTTACTCCAGCATCCTTGAAGGTATGTCGAAAAAAACTCACTGGAAAAAAAACCATGCCTACAAACACGCACTGCCCCGAGAGGGAAGCAGCCTGGGGACCCCCCAGCTCTGCAACAGAGCAACACACCCAGCTCACTGCACCTTCCTGTGCTCCAGGGTCCATATCTTGGGTAAAATCTGGAGAACCAGCAGTCCCCATTGAGGTTAGCTATTATAATCTATAGCAAGCATGAGGCTAAACACTCGGCCTCCCGAAGTGCTGGGACTACAGGCGTGAGCCACCACGCCAGGCCTCCAATATTATTGGAATCATTTTTTAAATTACAGTGGTTAGTATACCATAATGCTAATTCATCATTTACTCATTCAAAATAATGGCAACGATTATGTAGAGAAAAGAAAAAACAGGCCAGGCATGGGGGTTTATGCCTATAATCCCAGCACTTTGGGAGGCTGAGGTGAGAAAATCGCCTGAACCCAGGAGTTTGAGACCAGACTGGGCAACACAGCAAGACCTTGTCTCTACAAAATTTTTAAAAACTGGCTGAGCATGGTGGCATATGCCTGTGGTCCCAGCTACTTGGGAAGCTAAGATAGGAGGATCATTTGACTTCAGGAGGTTGAAGCTACAGTGAGCCATGATCGCACCACTGCACTCCAGCCTAGGCAACAGAATGAGACCCTGAAGAAAAAAAAAAAAGAAAGAAAGAAAAAAGGAAAAAGAAAAAAAATGCTCATGAAGCATTATATTAAAATAGTACAAACAGGTCAGGTGCAGTGGCTCACGCCTGTAATCCCAGCACTTTGGGAGGTCAAGGCAGGCGGATCACCTGAGCTCAGGATTTCGAGACCAGCCTGGCCAACATGATGAAACTCCATCTCTACTAAAAATACAAAAATCAGCCGGGCATGGTAGGGGGTACCTGTAATCCCAGATACTCAGGAGGCTGAGGCAGGAGAATCACTGGAACCCAGAAGGCGGAGGCTGCAGTAAGCCGAGTTTGTGCAACTGCACTCCAGCCCGGGCAACAGAGCGAGACTCCGTCTCAAACAAAATTAAATAAATAAATTAAATAGCACAAATACACACATTTGCTTACTGATATTTGTTCTAATATTTCAAAAGGTTTCATGATTTTCTAAAATGTCATTTTAATTTAATAACAGAATGTTTCAAAAGAGCATGATGTTTACAGCTCCTCCCAACAGAACATCTGACTCAGAAACCTGTACTTGCAGTTCTTCTTAAAATAAAAGGAACACTATGTATTGCAAGATATTTAATGTGTATCTGTACCACCTATAATTTATTCCATAAATTACTGTAATTTTTGATTAACAAAAGGAACTAAATCCGAAATACAGATATGACAGACTATAAAAAAGTCATCATTAACAGTGAGTAAATAAAATATAAAACAACTTGACCATAACACAGCAAAGGAATACGAGGGGGCACGGTGGCTCACGCTTGTAATCCCAGCAGTTTGGGAGGCCAAGACGGGTGGATCATTTGAGGTCAGGAGTGCGAGACCAGCCTGGCCAACATGGTGAAACCCTATCTCTACCAAAAATATAAAAAATTAGCCGGATATAGTGGCATGTGCCTGTAATCCCAGCTACTTGGGAGGCTGAGGCAGGAGAATCGCTTGAACCTGGGAGGTGGAGGTTGTGGTTAGGCGAGATCGTGCCACTGCACTCCAGTCTGGGCAACACAGTGAGACTCCATCTTAAAAAAAAAAAAAAAAAAAAAAGGAGAGAGACAAAGCATTGACAAAAGAAACAACCAGGAAAAAAATATAAACCTTTGCAAGGTCAAGGGAAGTTCAGGGTCCAGGGAAGCAGTCCAGGATCATGTTAAGATTTCTGGTATTTATTTTATTATATTAGATATTTGTACTTCATTCTGAACCTTAGTATTCTGTTTCACTGCATCCTTTCTGTCACTAAAGAAATCTTTAATGAATGGTCCAGCAGAAACTGTCATCTAATTTAGGGCTCCAGTGCAGGGTTTCTCACTCTCAGCACTATAGACATTTTGGGCCAGGTCATTCTTCGTTGGGGAGCTGTCCTGTATATTGTAGGAGGCTTAGCTGCCTCCCTGGCCTCTTCTCTCTAGATACCAGTAGCAACCCCTTAGCCACAATCCCTGAGACAACCAAAAGTGTCTCCAGACACTGATAAATGTGGCTGGAGTAGGGAGTAAAACTGTCCCTAGTTGAGAACCACTGTGCTAATGTCAACAGATGAAGATTCATCTCAGTTTATTGGCATATTGTTGTTTTAAACCAATGGGTTGATCTTAAGGCATTTATCTCTTCCTAACTTTTAAACCTATCCAAGGCCATATGCTACACATTTATAGTTTAGAAAGAACTAAATTGAGACATTTTCAAACACCTTCCTGCCCAAGCGCCCTGGCTGCTCTCTATTGAATGCTTGTCCCAGGCAGGTCCTAATCATCCCTCAAGTCTTGTTAAGGCCTTAACTGCGAAGTCCCTTGGGAAGCTTCTTCCTGACCCCAGAGCATGAGCATATCAGAAATCCTATTATATGCTCTCATAGCACGTTCTACTCTTACTTTGTGGCAACTACCATAATTGCAATTAAATAATCACTTTTGTCATTATTACTTAATGTCTCCTCCATTTCAGCAGAAGCCATAGTAATCTTGTTGGCTCATGTATCCCCAGGGCATTAAAAGAACTGTTGTGGCTGGGCTCGGTGGCTCACGCCTGTAATCCCAGCACTTTGGGAGGCCAAGGCGGGTAGATCACGGTGGTCTGAGGAGTTTGAGACCAGCCCGACCAATATGGTGAAACCCCATCTCTACGAAAAATACAAAAAATTAGCTGGGCATGGTGGCGGGCACCTGTAATCTCAGCTACTGAGGGAGGAGAATCGCTTGAACCCGGGGGGCGGAGGTTTCAGGGAGTCGAGATCGCACCACTTCACTCGGGCCTGGACCAAAGGGTGAAACTCCGTCTCAAAAAAAAAAAAAATGTTATCACTGGCCAACGTGATTACTTTATTACTAGTAACAAATTTTTCCGCACTTCACATGCAATCGAAGTACAATGATACAGACCATGGCTTAAAGATAAATCCCTTAAGGCAAAATCATGACTAAGAATAGACTTTGAGCATCCATTTTTCTCTTTGGTTACCAACAAAACCTATTTATGAAAAGACGATAATGGTGGCAAGAGGAACAATAAGGTTTGCTTCATTAGATAGCAATGAATGAGCTGAGGAAAAGAATGGATGTAACTGGGGACATCTTTCCATTTTTTTGACCTACTTACAAGCACTAATTTTTTTTTTTTTTTTTTCTTTTTGAGGTGGAGTTTTGCTCTTGTCACCCAGGCTGGAGTGCAATGGCGAGATCTCGGCTCACTGCAACCTCCACCTCCTGGGTTCAAGCAATTCTCGTGCTTCAGACCCCCAAGTAGCTGGGGTTATGGGTACCCGTCACCACGCCCAGCTAGTTTTTATATTTTTAGTAGAGAAGGGGTTTCACCATGTTGACCAGCCTGATCGCGAACTCCTTAGCTCAGGTGATCCATCTGCCTAGGCTTCCCAAAGTGCTGGGATTACAGGCGTGAGCCACCATGCCCGACTGATAAGTACTAATTTTAATACCATTTATTCCACAGAGCATACACCATATTATATTACTTACTTGTTTTTTAAATGTCTGATACCCTGAAATATATTTAAATTCCTCAAAGGGATGCATATTCCTTTGAATATGGGTCCACAGATGAGTTTCAGAGTGTCTGAAGGACCCTTGACATTTTACGTAGAGACCTAGAAACACTTTCTAGGAACAGGGTCTGTAACTTTTTTTCTTTTTTTTTTTCTTTTTGAGACGGAGTCTTGCTCTGTCGCCCAGGTTGGAGCACAGGTGCAAAATCTCGGCTCACTGCAACCTCCGCCTCCCAGGTTCAAGCGTTTCTCCTGCCTCAGCCTCCTGAGTAGCTGGGATTACAGCCACATGCCACCACGCCTGGCTAATTTTTGTATTTTTAGTAGAGATGGGGTTTCGCCATGTTGGTCAGGCTGGTCTCAAACTCCTCACTTTGTGATCCGCCTGCCTCGGCCTCCCAAAGTCCTGGGATTACAGGCATGAGCCACCGTGCCCAGCTGGGGTCCATAACTTTTATATGATTCTCAAAGGTATGAGTTTAAGACCCATAGTCTTATATGGTTTTATTTAATTTTAATCTTCTAGGGATATTCCCACTGTGTTTGGTCCATCTTTTAGGAAGAAAAAGAATAAAGTTTTGCTTACTGATTTCCTCTCCTGTTTCAGTTCCTGAACATAGCGTGCCAAGTCCACAATGATCTGTGATGCCATGTTCTCGGAGATAACTTCATGCTGCCCTGCGTAATCATTCATTTCGTTCAGGTTGGAAATGAAAGCTTTACATGACGTATACCTATGGAACAGAACACACGCCACTCTGTTTCACACAAGGCCACATTCATTCATATTCTGCTTTACACCAAGAAAATATTAATTAAAATCAGGTTAATTGGCATCCACCTCCCATAGGATCCTGAGTATTCATTACACATCAAGTGTTCTCAACAAAATGGCTCAGAATTAATTACAATTGAAACACTTTTCATTTTGCAAAACTGAACCGCTCCGCATAATGTAATATTTGGCTTCATTGATACTTAGTCAAGATATAATCCAAAATTCATATACATGCTATATGTACTAATGTAAAGGATATTTAGATATACATTAGAGATGTAATATTTGAGTGGTCTGTGTTAAGATGCCTTAATTGCTGACTGAAATTGACATATTTCTTGGATGAATGACTAGCATGACAGGGACTCCTGACAGTGCCAAACCAAATCAACTCTAGAATGCAGATTCCATACTTCCTGTTTTTGCTTAATTACATTCTAAAGTTTTCCTAATTACTTTAATTGAAACAATCTGGCATAGGTCCAGTGACTCCATATAAGAAAAGTTAATTATGTTTTTATTGTTCTCTCCTCCAATTTAAAAACTGACACAAAATGAATGGGAAATGCAACTTATTTTTATAGACATGTATTTCTCCTTTCCGTGTGTAGTCATCAATGGCATGTGTCTATTACAAGACAATTTTCAATGGTAAACATACTTGTATTCTTCTTCCTCCTTCGAGTTCTTTTTAGGTTGGTACTTCTTTGAAAGATTCCTGAAATAAAAATGCAGACATGTCAGCTTTATATAGAAAGAGAATTAAGAAATCAGGAATGAAAGATAACATTAGTGCTTTTGTTACAAGTTTAAAACAAACAAAAAAAGTCCACAGCTGAAATCCATTTCCTTCAATCTTTCAACATGTGTGATGAAGCTACTGTTATTAAGAACGTGCACAGCTTTTCATCTTTTGTCTCAAAGCAGAGCAAATAAGAACAGAATTATTTAATTGGAGAGGACAGACCATGTGTAAATATGCAGTGGCTTTCTTTTTTTTTGAGACGGAGTCTCATTCTGTTGCCCAGGCTGGAATGCGGTAGCGTGATCTCAGCTCATTGCAACTTCTGCCTCCCGGGTTCAAGCGATTCTCCTGCCTCAGCCTCCCAAGTAGCTGGGACTACAGGTGCACGCCACCACATCTGGCTAATTTTTTTTGTATTTTTAGTAGAGATGGGGTGTCATCATGTTGGTCAGGCTAGTCTCGAACTCCAGACCTCAAATGATCTGCCTGCCTTGGCCTCCCAAAGTGCTGGGATCACAGGTGTGAGCCACGGTGCCCGGCTGTGCAGTGGCTTTCATTTGTAGCACTGAGCTGTTTTTCTTCTCAGGCCACCATTCTCTCGTGGTCATCCTGAGTTGGGGCATTATTTCTTCAAATCCAAGGAAAACTGTGTCCAAATGTTTAAAAATCAGAGTGCCGGCCGGGCACAGTGGCTCACGCCTGTAATCCCAGTACTTTGGAGGCCGTGGCAGACAGATCACCTGAGGTTGGAAGTTCGAGACTGGCCTGACCAACATGGAGAAACCCCGTCCCTACTAAAAAATACAAAATTAGCTGGGCATGGTGGCGCATGCCTGTAATCCCAGCTACTCAGGAGGCTGAGGCAGAAGAATCGCTTGAACCCGGGAGGAGGAGGTTTCGGTGAGCCGAGATCGCACCATTGCACTCCAGCCTGGGCAACAAGAGCGAAACTCCATCTCCAAAAAAAAAAAAAAAATCAGAGTGCCAAGGGCATGTTTCTAAGGCTGTGTGGCTGCTCTACCAGCGAGCGCATGAAAACCACCTGTGAATAAATCTTCTTGAAGGAAGTCAAGACAATATTTTGGGGGTGTTGATGCTAAGACATTTAACTAGAAAAACTTTTAACCTGCCTAGCAGGTTTGCATTGAACACATTCAGATTAGCCAAAATCATCCTAGTTTCCCTTCCTAATCTCATCTCCATGTTAAGAATCTAAATATTTTTCTTTATATTCACAAATAGACACAAAAACTAAGAGGTAATCACAGAAAAAAAAAAAAAAAAAAACCCTCACTAACACTGGTTCTACTGACTGATTTCTCCTGGGTCCTGACTTTAGGTGACTATAGTTAGAGAAATAGCCATAGCAGCCAGGCACGGTGGCTCATGCCTGTAATCCCAGCACTTTGGGAGGCTGAGGCGGGTGGATCACGAGGTCAGGAGATCGAGACCATCCTGGCTAACATGGTGAAACCCCGTCTCTACTAAAAATACAAAAAATTAGCTGGGCATGGTGGCAGGCGCCTGTAGTCCCAGCTACTCGGGAGGCTGAGGTAGGAGAATGGCATGAATCCAGGAGGCGGAGCTTGCAGTGAGCTGAGATCGCGCCACTGCACTCCAGCCTGGGCAACAGAGCGAGACTCCGTCTCAAAAAAAAAAAAAAAAAGAGAAATAGCCATAGCATGTTTTCTTGTTTGTTTGTTTGAGACAGAGTTTCACTCTTGTTTCCCAGGCTGGAGTGCAGTGGCATGATCTTGGCTCACTACAACCTCCACCTCCTGGGTTCAAGTGATTCTCCTGCCTCGCCTCCCGAGTACCTGGGATTGCAGGCATACACCACCACGCCCAGATAATTTTTGTGCTTTTTAGTAGAGACGGGGTTTCACCACGTTGGCCAGGCTGGCCTCAAACTCCTGAGCTCAGGTGATCTGCCCGCCTCGGCCCCCCAAAGTGCCACTGCACCCGGCCAAGAAATAGCGAGAGCATGCTGAGCAGTAATCCACAGTAGGAACTCCATGTGTCAGCATCTCAGTCCTCACTTCCTTGTTAATTCCCTGTTGCTATTCCTCTTTATTATTTCACATGTTACTTTTATTTCTTCTACTTCCCCCAAATCTACAGATGTGCCTAGAAAAATATGTGATAATCAATTTACAATTTTGATCATGGTATGTTTTGCATACCAAGTGACATGTGGTTTCATCTGTAACAAATGCTACTAGATGACGGGAGAGGCCACCGGCTTCAGTACAAAGGGCATTGCTCTGGGAATCAAGAGACCATGTGCCCGGACAGCATGACCTCAGCAAATGAGCCAGTCTGTGCTTCCCATTCCTAATGTGTACGTCAGCAGGGGTTGGACGACATGACCTCCATTGTCCTTCTTGTTTTGAAATTCTGTGGGACTAGATAACATCCAGTAGAATATTAACTGCTGCAATTATTCAAAAAATGGAGGCATGTATATATAATAGTTTAAAAGTTATAATTAGACCGACTGATGAAAGAATGTAGTTAATTCAAAACTGAGATCATGTTGGCATACACGTCAACATATCAACTATGACATGCTTTCTCTGCTGATACTGAGGATACATAGCAGAGTTTAATAATTCTAGATGCAAAATAATGTGAAAAAGCAATTATTTCCTTAAAGAATGTCCCTTGTAGAAAAAACAATGCAAAAAAGAGAAATATTTTATGTTAAAAGCACAGTACAGGTCTTTGAGTTGGATTATGATCACAATCACTTCTTAAAAACACCATCACAAGGATCAAGAATGAAAGGGGGCCGGGCGCGGTGGCTCATGCCTGTAATCCCAGCACTTTGGGAGGCCAAGGTGGGCAGATCACAAGGTCAGGAGTTCGAGACCAGCCTGACCAACATGGTGAAATCCTGTCTCTACTAAAAATACAAAAATTAGCTGGGCATGGTGGCGCATGCCTGTAATCCAAACTACTTGGGAGGCTGGGGCAGGGGAATGGCTTGAACCTGGGAGGCAGAGGTTGCAGTGAGCTGAGACTGTGCCACTGCACTCCAGCCTGGGCAACAGAGCGAGACTCCATCTCAAAAAAAGAAAAAAGAAAGAAAGAAAAAAAGAAAGGGAAATGTGCGCAAAACAGATGACTACATAATCAATGGGTTATTTTCCAAATATATTGAGAGCAGCACATATGGGTGATTAGAGTATTGGAAAAACGTAGTGGCTGCATGTGAGATATTTCTAGTGCGTGGTTTATTTTACAATTCATTTTTATTTTTTATTTTAATTTTTTTAGAGACAGGGTCTTGTTCTGTCACCCGGACTAGAGTGCAGTGGCATGATCATGGCTCACTGCAAGCCTCGAACTCCTGGGCCCCAGGGATCTTCCCACCTTAGCCTCCCAAGTAGCTAGGACTACAGGTGCACACCACCATGCCCAGCTCATTTTTATTATTTTCTGTAGAGACAGAGTCTTGCCATGTTGCTGAGGCTGGTCACAAACTCCTAGCCTCAAGCAGTCCTCTCACCTCAGCCTCCCAAAGTGCTGGAATTACAGGCATGAGCCACTGTGCCCAGACTACTGCATGATTTTAAATATTAATCATTTCTTCTGTTACCTGTAACTTACAAATTGAAAATACCACTTCTAAATTCACACCTCATATAAAAATTATTCCAAAATGTTAAATCCACATTTTCTTTGTAGCCTCCTTTCAGTCCTTAGCAGCCATAAAAATCATGTAAGTTTTATATCTAGTTGAAGGAAGCCTTACGTGACTCTGAATCTATTGATCCAGGTAAACCAGTATTCTTTATAGTTCTCTTTTACCAGTCAAATACTAAACAGGATTAAATTAGATCCCTTGTAGGTGATATACTGAAAAGACCATCGAGTTCTGATGAATGGGAATCACTTTGACAATACTGGCATATATAGCATTCAAAATGCTTCTTAAAAGCACTAATAAATAATTCACTCTATAAATACCAGCATAAACCAAGAAGCTAAAGAGATCTCAAAGTGAACTTCATTTCAAAGGATATTTATCTCAAGAACTGCTACAAAAAAAAGATCAACTTTCCATTGCTGTTCTCTTGGGACAAGGTTTTTGCCCTATTTGTATTACCGTTATTTAAAAAATGAACACGGTTCGTTCAGGCGCGGTGGCTCATGCCTGTAATCCCAGCACTTTGGGAGGCCGAGGCAGGTGGATCGGGAGTTCGAGACCAGCCTGGCCAACATGGTGAAACCCCATCTCTACTAAAAATGCAAAAATTAGCTGGGAGTGGTGGCACATACCTGAAGCCCCAGCTACTTGGGAGGGTGAGGCAGGAGAATCGCTTAAACCTGGGAGGCGGAGGTTGCAGTGAGCCGAGATCATGCCACTGCACTCCAGCCTGGGTGACAGAGCAAGACTTCGTCTCAAAACAAAACAATCAAATAAAAAAACCCACAACAACAACAACAAAAATGAACAAGCAAATAAACCACTTAAAAAAACTTTTGATTTATGGGGTCTTTCTGAGAAATCTGATGTGTTTTCAGGTAGAAAATCTCGACTTGTTTTTCAGGTAGCCTGACTAAAAGGTAAAAGAAAAAATAAACATTCTTTTATAAGGATGGTGGATTTAGACCTGGCTGATTTGAAGAACCACAGGAAGGCTTTAAAAATGACTTACTCGGCCCTATTCCAGAGCCTCTGCAACAGAAGGTCTAGGGTGGGGCCCAAGAATGTTTTGTGTTTTTTTCACTCTTATTTTTTTAAAGCTCACCACAAGATTTCTGGATCAAGATGGCAGAATAAAATCCAGCCAGAGAATTGTGCTTTCCCAACAACAAAAGGTGAAAAAATAAAAGCCAGGGAAAATTTTAACAGCAGAAAATAAAAAAAATAAAAAAAATGAAGAAAGGAGTCTAATCTCAGTCCATACACTTTAGAAAATGATGACCAAGAAGAGCAACAGAAAATTCTGGGACAGCTTAGAATGGGTGCTGACTCCTTCCTCCCCATCACAGGAAGGGAAATACGTCCACAAACCCTGAAAATCAGCCCAGACAGAAGTAAACTGGGAGGCAAGCGCTCAGGGAATAGTGACAGAAAAATTCTGAGAGGAAGACATCTATGCTGACCACCCAAGGCCTTGGGCAGGAGCCGGGGCTCACCCCCCGGAGGTCCACTTTCCAGACCTCCAGGCTGAGTGCCCTGGGGGTTCGCCCCAAACCCAGGGATTCCACAGGATTAGGGATGTGGGTTCGCTGTGTCCCCACCCAAATCTCAACTTGAATTGTATCTCCCAGAATTCCCACATGCAGTGGAAGGGACCCAGGGGGAAGTAATTGAATCATGGGGGGGGCCGGTCTTTCCCGTGCTATTCTCGTGATAGTGAATAAGTCTCACAAGATCTGACAGGTTTATCAGGGGTTTCCGATTTTGCTTCTTCCTCATTTTCCCTTGCCGCTGCCATGTAAGAAGTGCCTTTCACCCCCAGCCATGATTCTGAGGCCTCCCCAGCCATGTGGAACTGTAAGTCAAATTAAACTTCTTTTTCTTCCCAGTCTCGGGTATGTCTTTATCAGCAGCGTGAAAATGGACTAATACAATTAGGGCAATCTTTGACCTAATGGCGTAAACCCCATAACAGAACCTCTAACAAAGTTTCAGAAGAAATGACAGAGCTCAGAGTCTCGAAGCCAGGCCCTTTCGCGACCCTGACTCTATAAACACCTGTCCTCGGCCTTCAGCAAACCAAGCAGAACATATAATACCCCAGCCTCAAGTGGAACTCAAAGGGAAAGACCAATGGTACCAGAAATGGAACGAAGTGTGGCAAGGAACACTCACCTACACTCCATCAGAGCAGACAGGGCACTGGTGCGGCTCACGTTAGAAACAAACACACGCCAGGTGTTGGCCTAAGACCTTTATGCTCTTTATTACCTTATTAAGCCCACTCAGCAACCTTATAAGGTGAGAATGATGATGATGATGATGATTCACACTTTACAGATGAAAATCATGAAACAAGGAGAGTAATTTAACTCAATTCATATGGCTGTTAAGTGGAAGAACCAGGATTACATCCCAGGCATTGGGACTCTTGAGTCTGAACTCAACCACTTCACTAAACTGCCCCTATTAAATATAAGCAACATGGCCAGGGGTGGTGGCCTGTAATCTCAGCAGTTTGGGAGGCCGAGGTGGGCAGGTCAACTGGGGTCAGGAGTTTGAGACAAGCCTGGCCAACATGGCAAGACCCTGTCTCTACTAAAAATACAAAAGCTAGCCAGCCGTGGGCCAGGTGTGGTGGCTCATGCCTATAATCCCAGCACTCTGGGAGGCCGAGGCAGGTGGATCAACTGAGGTTAAGGAGTTTGAGACCAGCCTGACCAACATGGTGAAACCCCGTCTCTACTAAAAATACAAAATCAGCCAGGTGTGGTGGCACATGCCTGTAATCCCAGCTGCTCGGAAGTCTGAGGCAGGAGAATCGCTTCAACCCAGGAGGCGGTGTTGCAGTGAGCCAAGATCATGCCATTGCACTCCAGCCTGGGCAACAAGAACAAAGCTCCATCTCAAAAAAAAAAAAAAAAAAAAAAAAATTCGCCAGGTGTGGTGGTGTGTGCCTGTAATCCCAGCTACTTGGGAGGCTGAGGCAGGAGAATTGCTTGAACCCGGGAGGCTGAGGTTGCAGTGAGCTGAGATCGTGCCACTGCATTCCAGCCTGGGCAACAGAGTGAGACTTTGTCTTAAAAAAAAATTAAATAATAAATATAAGCAAAGTGAAAGATATGACAGGTAATACAGAAGCAAAAGAAAAATCCAAAATCCAGTCTGCAAGAAAACATATAAGGAAAATAAGCAAAAATCACCCTCCTTCAGATTATTTATACTATAGACAAACTTAGTAAAAACACAAAGGCAATAAATCAAGAATCCCAATACTATGGGATAAAATAAAATGGAATGAGAAGGAAGACACAAAGCTGAGGAAATGAACTAAGGACTAAAATATACCACTATAGAACCCATCAATAAATGAGGGTGGATATCAAATTTAATAGAGGAAAGGTCTGAAATAACCATAATGTGAAAACAATCAGAAAAAAAAAGGATCTAAAGATAGGCCGGGCGTGGTGGCTCACGCCTGTAATCCCAGCACTTTGGGAGGCCGAGGTGGGCGGATCACAAGGTCAAGAGATCGAGACCATCCTGGCCAACATGGTGAAACCCCGTCTCTATTAAAAGTGTAAAAATCAGCTGGGCGTGGTGGCGGGCGCCTGTAGTCCCAGCTACTCGGGAGGCTGAGGCAGGAGAACCGCTTGAACCTGGGAGGTGGAGCTTGCAGTGAGCTGAGATCACGCCATTGCACTCCAGCCTGGGTGACAGAGCGAGATGCCGTCTCAAGAAAAAAAATTTTAAAAATAAAAAAATAAAAATAAGAATAAGATGAAACATAAGGATAACTCATATCTCTGAAGTATATGACCCAGTAAGTAGAATAGAAAAAACATTCAGACATAATCAAAGAACTTTCTCCTGAAATAAATGAAGCATAGAATTTACACAGGAAAGAGCACTAAGAAAAACTATCTGATAAAGGATGATCAACTCCAAGGCATTGCTTAGTGAAGTTATCAGACTGCTAAGATGAACTAAAATTATTCATATTTTTACTCAGAAACAGCCATGTTGCCTACAGAGAGAAACATCTGGCTGGCCCCAGACTTTTCCTCCAAAAGACGATGCAGCCACATGGAGAGAGAAAGTGTGACCAGAGACAACCAAGTCAAAGTGCCGTAAAGTATGGTGGCATTTTCAAGCAAGAAAGAACGCAGGGAACACGTCCCAAGCTCTAACGAGGGGGAGAATATTCTTCCTTAATGCCAAGAGTCAAGGAGAGAGGCTGTTGTAGAGAGAAGTGCTGAGATGACTCTACGTTCAAATATAGAACCACGACAAATCAACTGAGGGCCTCGGGTTTCAGAACCCAGTCATATAACTCAACTAGAAGAAGGAGCAAAACATGTATATATTATTTTCCTAATCTTTTATAGCAGTGAGTCAATTGAGCCTGTTTAGAATTTCAACATGGAAGTACACACACACAATAATGACATCCTGTAAGTTTTTCATAATCTTTTTGATAAATTTTACCAAAGTTTAATATTTATTTTTTTGAGACAGAGTCTGTCACCCAGGCTGGAGTGCAGTGGCGTCATCTTGGCTCACTGCAACCTCTGCCTCCTGAGTAGCTGGGATGACAGGAGCGCCCGGCTAATTTTTGTGATTTTAGTAGAGAGACGGGGTTTCACCATGTTGGCCAGGCTGGTCTCAAACTCCCAACATCAGGTCATCTGCCCACCTCGGCCTCCCAAAATGCTGGGATTACAGGTATGAGCCACCGTGCCTGGCCTAAGAGTTTAATATTTAAAGCTTAGCGCATCCCTCAGTTTCACTTTACTGTCGTTTGTACTGTTAAATTTAAATTCATTTCTTTATATATATGATATATACGATATGCAATTTGTTGTATAATATGATTTCTACCTAGTTACCCTCTATATACAATGAGCTCCAATTAAAAACAGACCAAGACTTGAATGGTTCATTTTTTAAAACCATAAATGGCTCAAATGTATCAAAAGATGTTCAACCCCCATGCATACTAAGAGAAATGCAATTTAAGACCTAGATGTACCAGTTGTTAAGTAGCAAATTGACAAAGATCGGTTTGGAAACAGAAAGCAGCAGTGAGGGTGAGGTTGAGCAGGCCCTGTTACTCTGCTAATGGAGTGTCATGGGCCATAGTTTCTGGAAAGGGACTGGAGATCATGCCACTGCACTCCAGCCTGGGTGACAGAAACTGTCTCAAAAATAAATAAAATTAGGTTGTTCAGACTCAGAAAAAAAAATTATATTAGGAATTTCAACCTATACTACCTTGAATAGATAGTGACCTCAGGGGTTGGCAAACTTTTTCTGTAAAGGACCAGAAAGTAAATATTTCAGGGCCAGGTGCGGTGGCTCATGCCTGTAATCCCAGCACTTTGGGAGGCCGAGGCAGGTGGATCACAAGGTCAGGAGTCTAGGACCAGCCTGGCCAATATGGTGAAATCCTGTCTCTACTAAAAATACAAAAATTAGCCAGGCATGGTGGTGTGCGCCTGTAGTCCCAGCTGTTCAGGAGGCTGAGGCAGGAGAATCGCTTGAACCCTGGAGGTGGAGGTTGCAGTGAGCTGAGATTGTACCACTGCACTTCAGCCTGGGTGACAGAGCGAGACTCCATCTCGAAGAGAAAAAAAAAATTCAGACTTGCAGGTAAATGCATCTCTTTTGCAACTACTCAATTGCCAATTGTTTGCAAAAGTGGCCATAGACAATACACATGGGCACGGCAACATTCCAACAAATCTTTATTTACAAAACCAAGTAGTGGATGGATTTGGCCCATGCTAAGACCTGACCTACAGGAATCAAAGTCTCACGTTTATGTCTAAAATAAGTTAGCATTCTCCCCTGCAATGCAGAAAAAAAATATTTAATGATAGTTATCTCTCCCAAAGGCCACAATGATTTTTCAACATCATATTACTATTTCAACCAAGTATCTGTTGAATATTCTGTAGCCACACTGGCCTTTCTATTCCTTCTACATGTTCCCGTCTCAGGACCTTTGCACTCTCTCCCCCCACATCCTTACATGTCTGGCTTCTTTTTGTAATTCACTTCTCAAGTGATGGGTTTTCCCTGACCAGCCTAGCTCAGTAACCACCCCCACTTCAATCTCTATCACATCACTGCGTTTACATATTTGGAGTCATACATGCTATCTTTAAATGCTCGAATTCTTTGCTAATTTGCATGCAGTTCTGTTTTCTGCTGTGAAAGGTGAGCACTCCAGGTTCAGGCACTTCCTGTGTCTCGTTCATTCAAGCATCCCTAGTGATTGAAACTCGGCTGGCACCTTGTTGTTCTACTTTTTGTTGTTAAAATCTCATCAGCTCTCACAGGCCGGTGCAAACACATAATTCCCCATAAAGCAAAGCTGGCTAAATATCTTAGGCCTGTACCCTACCGATTCACTCACAATCTACAAATATTTACTGGGCACCTACTATGTGCCAGGCACTGTTCTGCACTATGACACATTAGTGAGCACAACCCAAAGATCTCCACCCTTAAGGGGCTTGCATTCTAGCTGAGAGGCTGCAGGAGACAATGCGCAGTAAATATAATACCCAGATTTCTCTGGGAAGGTTTGGGGAGATGTTATTCAAATGAGGCAAAATTGTAGGAGAAATAAGTTCAAGAGATCTATTGTACAACATTGTGTCTCCAGTTAATAACAATGTATTGTATACTTGAAAATTGCCAGGCCGGGTGCTCACACCTGTAATCCCAGCACTTTGGGAGGCCTCGGTCAGAGGATCGCTTGAACCTAGAAGTTCAAGACCAGCATGGGCAACATGGTGAAATTCTGTCTCTGCAAAAGATACAAAAATTAGCCGGGTGTGGCAGCGCATTCCTGTGGTCCCAGCTACTTGGGAGGCTGTGGTGGGAGGTTCACTTGAGCCCGGGAGGTGAGCCAAGATCGTGCCACTGCACTCCACCCAGGGTGACAGAGTGAGACCCTGTCTCAAGAAAGAGGGAAGGGGAGGGGAGGGGAGGGGTTGCTAAATTGCTAGAAGAGTAGATTTTAATGTTCTTCCCACAAAAAAAATATTAAGTTTGAGTAGTAATGCATATGTTAATTAGCCTGATTTGGGCATTCTGCAGCGTATACATATTTCAAGACATCATGTATACCATAAATATATACAATTTTATATACAAATAATATAGAAATACATATTTTGTCAATTTTCAAAACTAAACAAGAAAACTATATAAAATGGTAGAAAGTTACCAGTAATATAGGAAAACTGAAAAAGCAAAGCAGGCTAAGTGGGCTAAGGGACGAGGTGGGCCTCACTGAGCAGAAACTGGAAGCAGGAGAGGGAGTCAGCCACTTGGAGCCTGGGGAAGAACACATAGGTGATATCTACATGGAAGGGCTAGCGCAATAGCTCTCGGGTGAGGGGATGCCTGGCATGTACAAAAAACAGGAAGGAGGCCTCTGTATGGTTACAGCAGAGAGGAGGAGGAAGAGAGTTAAAACAGATGATGTCAGAAAGGTGTGGGAACCAGATTATACAAGGTTTTGGAGGACTTTCACCGTAAGGTTTTTGGATTTACTCTGAATGAAATGGGGACGCACTGGAATTTTGAACAGAGGAATACTGTAATCTGGCTGCTCTGTAGAAATCAGGGAATAGGGGATAGAGGTAGAATAAGGGAAACTAGTTAGTAGACTCATCATAACCAGGCAAAAGATCATGGACCACGTAGGCCATGTGACATGGACCACAGTGGCAGCAGTGGAGGTGATAACAAGTGTCAGATCCTGGATAAATCTGTAGAGAAGTCAAGATTTCCTGATGGCTTGAGCTGGGGAGTGTGAGTGTGTGAGAAAAGAAGGCAGACAGAGATGATGATGACACCAGGGTTTTTTTTTTTTTTTTTTTGAGATGGAGTCTTGCTCTGTCACCCAGGCTGGAGTGCAGTGGCACAATCTCAGCTTACTGCAACTTCTGCCTCCTGGGTTCAAGGGATTCTCCTGCCTTAGCCTCCTGAGTAGGTAGGATTACAGGCGCCCACCACCACGCCTGGCTAATGTTTTTGTATTTTTAGTAGAGACAGGGTTTCACCATGTTAGTCAGCTGGTCTTGAACTCTTGACCTCCAGTGATCCCCCTGCACCTGGGTGATGCTAGGGTTTTTGACCTAAACCAGGAAGGATGCAGCTACCCTCAGGTGAGTGGAGGAAAATCTAGGTCGTGGAAATGCAGATTTTTTTTTTTTTTGAGATAGGGTCTTGCTCTGTTGCCCAGGCTGGAGTGCAGTAGTGCAATCATGGCTCACTGCAGCCCCAGCGTCTTGGGCTCAAGCATCCGCCCTCCTCAGCCTCTCAAGTAGCTGGGACTACAGGTGTGCGCCACCATGCCTGGCTAATTTTTTAAAATTCTTTTTAGAGGCAGGGTCTCGCTATGTTGCTCAGGCTGGCCTCCAACTCCTGGGCTCAAGTACCCACCTCGGCCTCCTGAAGTGCTAAGATTTTAGGTGTGAGCCACTTCACTTGGCCTAGACATGTGGATTTTTAAGTTGGGGAGATCCGGAGTTCAGTTTCAGACATGTTACATTTCAGATCATTTCAGATGGTTTTTAGACATTTCCTTTTTTTTTTTTTTCTTTGAGATGGCGTCTCACTCTGTCGCCCAGGCTGGAGTGCAGTGGTGTGATCTTGGCTCACGGCAAGCTCTGCCTTCTGGGTTCATGCCATTCTCCTGCCTCAGCCTCCCAAGTAGCTGGGACTACAGGCGCCCGCCACCATTTCCAGCTAATTTTTTGTATTTTTAGTACAGATGGGGTTTCACCGTGTTAGCCAGGATGGTCTCGATCTCCTGACTTCGTGATCCGCCCGCCTCAGCCTCCCAAAGTGCTGGGATTACAGGCATAAGCCACCGCGCCCAGCCAAGTTTTTAGACATTTCTAAGTGGAGACTTTGAGCAAGCTGTTTCTGGAATTCAGGAGAGAGGTCTGGCTTAGAGATCCATATCTGTGAGTCATTGCCATATGGATTATACCTAAAGCCATGAGACAGTTGAGGTCACCAGGAGAGTACAGACTGGGAAGGGAGAAGGACTGAGAAGCAGATGCTGGGCACAGCAATGTGAAGAGGCAGGGGAAGAGCAGGGGCCAGCAAGGGAGACTGTCGTGGGAAGAATACCAGTAGCCCGCTTGAGAGCTCGCACGTAGCCCATTTTCACATGAAAGACAACATTGCATGACTAATAGTGCAGCATTCAAATAATCAACGTGAAACAGACCATGTTCTATTCCTACTTTCAGTTCGAAAAGCCCCTGACGTGTTGACGAGACTGATATGCACACAGGGCACTAGAAACTGATCTGGATTCTCCACTTATAAAAATTATTTCATTGTGTGATGTTTTACATGTTATTCACTCAATAAAAACAAAATCTGGGGCCAGGCACAGTGGCTCACACCTGTAATCCCAGCTTGCTGAAACAACAACAGAAACCCTTATAAGAACACATAGCTCTTTTTTTTTTTTTTTTTTTTTTGAGATGGAGTCTTGCTCTGTTGCCCAGGCTGGAGTGCAGTGGCGCGATCTTGGCTCATTGCAACCTCTGCCTCCTGGGCTCAAGCGATTCTCCTGCCTCAGCCTCCTGAATAGCTGGGATTACAGGCACCCGCCACCATGCCTGGCTCATTTTTGTATTTTTAGTGGAGACGGGGTTTCACCATCTTGACCAGGCTGGTCTCAAACTCCTGACCTCGTGATCCACCTGCCTTGGCCTCCCAAAGTGCTGGGATTACAGGTATGAGCCACTGCGCCCAGCCAAGAACACATATCTTTTATGCAGATGCTCTTTGGATTAAAACTCAATGGTGAGGGAGCTTGAAGAAAATTAAAAAAAAAAAAAAAGAAAAAAGGGCTGGGCACGGTGGCTCACGCCTGTAATCCCAGCACTTTGGGAGACCGAGGCAGGCGGATCACTTGAGGTCAGGAGTTCAAGACCAGCCTGGCCAACATGGTGAAACACTCTCTCTACTAAAAATACAAAAATTAGCCAGGCATGGTGGCACAAGCCTGTAATCCCAGCTACTTGGAAGGCTGAGGCAGGAGAATCACTTGAACCTGGGAGGCGGAGATTGCAGTGAGCTGAGATTGTACCACTGCACTCCAGCCTGGGCGACAGAGTGAGACTGTCTCAAAAAAAAAAAAAAAATTAAAGAAAAAGGAAAGTAAATGTTTCTAAATCAAAATCATCTAGCTCTTTAACAGGCCTTAAAACAATATCCACAAACCAATTCAACTACAACTATACAACATGAAATCATTAAGGACTTTGCATGCCACTTCAAGTTCAAGCTTAGTTCTACCAAGAACTTTTAAATATATTCTATAAAAACACAAATTTCTTGGATAATCTCATCATTAAAAGATGTAAGGAGATCCAAAGTACTTAAAAAAAAAAAAAAAACAGAGACAGGGGGCTCACTATGTTGCCCAGGCTGGTCTTGAAGTCTCTGGGCTCACACTATCCTCCCTCATCAGCCTCCCAAAGTGCTGGGATTGCAGGCATGAGCCACCACACCTGGCCCCAAAGCACTTTTTTTTTTTTTTTTTTGAGAAGGAGTCTTACTCTGTCACCCAGGCTAGAGTGCAGTGGCACAATCTCAGCTCACTGCAACCTCCACCTCCCGGGTTCAAGCAGTTCTCATGTCTCACCCTCCCAAGTAGCTGGGATTACAGGCGCCTGCCACCATGCCCCACTAATTTTTGTATTTTTAGTAGAGGCGGGGTTTCACCATGTTGGCCAGGCGGGTCTCGAACTCCTGACCTCAGGCAATCCGCCCACCTTTGCCTCCCAAAGTGCTGGGATTACAGGCGTGAGCCACTGCGCCCGGCCCGAAGTACTTTTAAAATACTATTCCACATGACCCCTCAACACATTACAGAAGGGAGTGTGAATTAGTACAAGCACACTGGAAATGGCTGAACCCTATCCACCAAAGCTAAGCATATGAGTAGCCTGTGACCTTGCAATTAGATGCCTACGTAGATCCTAGGAAATGTGTTCAGATACACACAAAAAGCCTTGTACAATAATGCTCGTTGGAGCGCTACTCATTATAGCTTAAATTAGAAACAACCAATCACCTAGTCAGAACGGATGAGTTCTGGTGCATTCACAGACCAAAACACTCAACAGCAATGAAAATAAGCAGATCCCACCACATGCTACCACATGGTCAATCTCACAAACGTAATATAGAACAAAAGAAGCCAGATACACAAGAATGCATACCAAATGATTACACTCATGTAAAGTTCAAAAGTGGGCACTACTAATCCACGCGGTTAGAAGTCAGGAGAGTGGTTACCGCTGGGGGGAGAGTGGGGAGCTGGAGGGGGCCAGGGGGCCTGCCAGGCTGGTCTTTCTGTTTCTTGACCTGGGTGCCCGGTTACATGAGTGTGTTCACACTGTCAAAATTCATGGAGCTGCACACTTATGATTTGTGTACTTCTCTGTACATATGTTATTAATATATTTCAATAAAAAGTTTACTGAGAAACAAGCTGCTCCAAAACTCAGCAAATATCTTGTTGAAAAAAAAAACTGGGCCTTAAAGCAGTAATTTAGTTTTTATTTTTAATGTTCTATGAAAATTAATTTTCTGTATGAAAAACAATCACTTCTATTGAAATATTACCTTACATAAAAGGAAAAATATTTAAAATATACATTTATACTGTAAAATGAGAATATACGTTATCCTTACATCATTTTGCAGTTAACAAATAACCTTTTTCAATATCAACTTACCTGAGTTGCTTTGCATAGCTGAGTTCAATCTCTGTCCTTTCTTTCACAAACTTGATATATTTCTCAAGAATATCAATTCCCCACTGTGTGTGTTTTTCTAAGTTGTCAAACTGATCCTGTTGAAACAAACCAAGAGAGAAGTTATGGTCTTTCCCTGTGATTAACATAATTTCAATGAATAATTCTCTTAACAACATATTACTACATACAAAGTAGTACTAATATTTTCCATGATTATACTTGGGGTGCTTTTTTGTTGAGCCATTTTAAATCAACATTACCAAATTTGGTTTGAAAACCGCCTGGAGTACTGAACTCTGACCTATTCATTCATATTTCCTATTCCTTTTAGAAACATAGTTTTCAGATATAACTGATGTCTCAGTGCAAGGAAAAATGTCATTCCCAGACGCCAAAAACCGACAGGTGAAACATACACACAAACACAGCCACACACGGTTTGCACCTTAACTGTTATCTCTGGGTAATCATTCAAAACAGCTGATTGAATCTGAGCCGAGGAACGGGGGGAAGTGTTACAAAATTTTGCTTTCTTCAAATGATTAAAATAAAACACATGGATTTTATTCTTCCAAACATACACCAAACCCACACTGTGAGCCAGGAACAGTGCCTGGAGCTGGGGAACCAAAATGAACAAAAATACAGCCTGAGTTTGCATTGTGCCTTGGGGTTTCTGGTCTGGAAGAACAAGAGGGAGCCTGGGTAACACAGAACCCATCTCTACAAAAACAATTTTTTTAAATTAGCTGGGCATGGTGTTGTACCACTGCACTCCAGCCTGGGTATAAGAGCATGACTCTGTCCCCCCAAATAAAGAATGAGAGGGGACAGGTATGCTAGCAACAGCTAATGCAAAGACATGGAGATATCCAGGAATCAAGTGAATTTGTCTTTGAGTGCAAGGTGGAGGTGGGTGGGGCAGAAGGGAAGTGGAGTTGGCGAGTGATGAAACTAGAGACAGCTCAGAGCTAGATCACCCAAGGCCTTGAAGGACGAGCTTAGGAGTTTAGACTCTCCAGCAGGCACAAGAGGACTTGGAAGAGAAAGCCAGGAAATGGCTCCAACAGTCTAGATGAGACAAAATAGGCACAGAAGGGAAGAATTCTAGGGACATTTAACAAACACAATCAACTAGTGTGTGAGTGGCCGGTTGGACGTGGAGGCTGGCAAGGGTATGAGGGGGAGGGAGGATTCCAGAGTGACTTTCAGGTTCTGCTTCCCGGAATTAAACAGAAGATCCAGATAAGAAAGAGCTACAGTTTGGGGTGAAAATTAAATGTTGTTTTGACATGTTGAATGAGGGACTGGCCTGTCCAGAAGAGAGCTGGAAACACAGAAGGATTTAGAACTCAAGAAGGGCATCAAGTGAGTAGGTGGATCTCAAGCAACAGCCGAGGATCAGAACACCAAAGACGACAGCAAGGATACACAGAATTAGCAAAGAGGGCCTGGCCCAGGAAGCAGAGCCCAGAAAGGACTAAGGGGGCGAGCCAGAGGGGGCATGAGCACATCACAGGGAAGAGAGAATTCCAGTGGAAATGGAATTCTCCATGGAAAATTTGCTGCCTCCTGAGAGGTAACAGTCATAAATGAGGGTTCTAGCCCCAGCAAAGGGATTTCACAGAGACAGGCCCCCAAATGTTTCAAGTTTTAGTCATTTGCCTGTAAGACGCAGCTATAATCTAATTTCCTAATTTCACAAATCAGTCATGAGGATCATGCGAAATGGGGAAGTGCCAACTCAAATATAAAAATATAAAGCTAGTGTTTAATCCTACGCTTGTGCAATCTAACAGTATACATTCAGTGTCTTACTTCAGACTGTTTTTTGTTTGTTGGTTGGTTTGTTTTGAGACAGAGTCGTGCTCTTTCCCCCAGGCTGGAGTGCAGTAGTGCAATCTCAGCTTGCTGCTGCCTCCCAGACTCAAGTGATCCTCCCACTTCAGCCTCCTGAGTAACTGGGACTATTGGCACCCGCCACCATGCCTTCACTAATTTTTGTATTTTTTGCAGAGAGGAGGTCTCACTATGATGCCCAGGCTGGTCTTGAATTCCTGGGCTCAAGTGATCCTCCCGCCTTGGCATCCCAAAGTGCTGGGATTACAAGTGTGAGCCACTGCCTCCGGCCGGCCTGTTTTTTTTTAAAACCACTTTATTAAGGTATGACTGAGATTTTGGCCAGGTGAGGTGGCTCACGCCTGTAATCCCAGCATTTTGGGAAGCCAAGGCGGGTGGATCACTTGAAGCCAGGAGTTCGAGACCAGCCTGGACAACATGGTGAAATCCCATCTCTACTAAAAATACAAAAGTAGCCGGGCGTCATGGCAGGCACCTGTAATCCCAGCTACTCGGGAGTCTGAGGGAGGCAGGAGAATTGTTTGAACCCAGGAGGCAGAGGTTGCAGTGAGTCAAGATCACACCATTGCACTCCAGCATGGGTGACAGAATGAGACTATGTCTCAAAAAATTAAATACAAAATTATAAAACAAAAGTGCAAAATGTTTGTCTTTATGACTAATAATTTTTAATATTTAAAGTTGATTCTTGGTCCTCAATAATATATATTCCACAAACCCCTAGATTTCAGTTTAAGAAACACTAGATTATGTTATTTATAAAGTCAAGGGTCATCAAGTAAGCTAATAGTGTAAACGAGACTGAAGATCACCTTAAACTACTTGAGAGAACAAATATACACACAACTCAAGCTATGACTACAAATCATTCTTACAAATTGAGAGCACGACTTCGTCAAAGCCCTCTGCTTATCAGTAACCCTTTGTGGATCTAGTTTCACAGTAATCATATTTATTTTTAAAATGATTAACAATTATCAGGGCATCATGGCACACATGCCTGTAGCCCCAGCTACTAGGGAGGCTGAAGCAGGAGGATCACTTGAGCCCAGGACTTCAAGGCTGCAGTGAGTCATGATCAGGCTACTGCACTCCAGCCTGAGCATCAAAGCAAGACCCTGTCTCAAAAAACAAAAACCAAAAACATAAACACCCTTTCCTTTATTTAAAAGCCCTCTCCCAGCTGGGCGCGGTGGCTCACATCCAAAATTCCAGCACTTTGGGAGGCCATGGTGGGCGGATCACTTGAGGTCAGGAGTTTGAGACTAGCCTGGCCAACACAGTCATCTTTACTAAACCTCATCTCTACTAAAAATACAAAAATTTGCCAGGCATGGTGGCATGCACCTGTAATCCAAGCTACTCAGGAGGCTGAGGCAGGAGAATCCACTGAACTCAGGAGACAGAGGTTGCAGTGAGCCGAGATTGTACCACTGCACTCCAGTCTGGGCGAAAGACAGAGACTCTGTCTCGAAAAAAAAAAAAAAAGAAAAAAAATGGCCGGGCGCGGTGGCTCACACCTGTAATCCCAGCACTTTGGGAGGCTGAGGCGGGAGGATCAGGAGTTTGAGACCTGAGGTCAGGAGTCTGAGACTAGCCTGGCCAACATGGTAAAACCCTGTCTCTACTAAAAATACAAAATTAGCTGGGCCTGGTGGCGCACGCCTATAATCACAGCTACTTGGGAGGCTGAGGCAGGAGAATCGCTCAAGCCCAGGAGGTGGAGGTTGCAGTGAGCCAAGACGGGGCCATTGCACTCCAGCCTGGTCAAAACGAGCAAAACTCCACCTCAAAAAAAAAAAAACAAAAAAGCCCTCTCCCTGTATGATTTCCCATAATCTCCAAAGCCTTGATTGTTTTCAGCAGTCATAGGTGCCACCTTGAAAACTTGCCCAGAGGATATGCTCTTAGGTTTCATTCTTGGCCTATTAACAACCTGACTACAGATTTCCCCCCACCATATCACTTTGCATTCAAACTGATGTATACTATACAAAGCAACAGCTTTCGATACCAAAGCCCTTGAAAACAACAGAAAAAGCCCATCTACATTTGAACTGAGTCCACCTTAAAAATTACTGGCCTCAATCCAACAATATGTTTTCCATAAAGTTATCTCTATTCAGGACCATTCTACAAGCTATAATAAAGCGTTTACCAAGATGACAGAGCCCAAATAAGATAGAAGATCTTAATAATAAAAACCTTACTCAGTAACAAATGAGCTGGTGCTTGTTTGTGACTATAGCAGAGTTCTTTTGATGCTCTGTGAAACCTGAGGATGCCCCCACGCTCTCACTATCACATGAACTGCTGCAGCACTGACTTGACAGCAGCTAGAAGAAAATTCAAGACAGATGAAAAACGAATCAACCCACTTACATTCTTGACTAAAATGTGGAAAAGTTAATGGAAAAAAAAATCCAAATCTTAAAAGGACTCCTTTGTGAACAAATATTATAAACGGCTCTTTAAAAACAGCCTTTGCTACTTTGGGGATGGTGTCATCAAAAATGCATCCCTTCCTGCCTGATGTCACATCACGGTGGTTCTGGGGGCCCCTTTGCCCTCCTAAAAATCCTTGAGAACCAGCCAGCCACAGTGGCTCATGCCTATAATCCCAGCATTTTGCGAGGCCGAGGTAGGTGGATCACTTGAGAACAGGAGTTCAAGACCAGCCTGGCCAACATGGTGAAACCTCATCTCTACAAAAGAAAAACAAAAAGTAGCCAGGCATGGTGGCACACACCTGTAGTCCCAGCTACTCGGGAGGCTGAGGCATGAGAATCACTTGAACCTGGGAGGGAGAGGTTGCAGTGAGTGGAAATCGCACCACTGCACTCCAGCCTGGGGCGACAGAGTGAGACTCTGTCTCAAAAAAAAAAAAAATCATTGAGAATTCCGAAGAGCTTTTGTGTGAGTTACATCTATCAATATTTACTCAATCAGAAATTTAAAATGGAGAGATTTTTAAAGGTATTTATTCATTTAAAAAGAAAACAAACCCATTACCATTACATGTTAATGGAAAGAGCATGTTTTTATTTTTTAAAACTGTACTTTCCAAAACAAAACAGTAAGAAGAATGGCACCGTGTTACATTTTTGCAAATCTCTTTAATGTCTAGCTTAATAGAAGACAGCTGGATTATCATAGAGACTTCTGCATTCAATCTATTACGATTCTTTACTTTGGCTGAAATATGTGAAAAAAACACAACTTCACACAGATACGTAGCTAGAAAACAAAGGACACTTCAAGGCCCTTTTTAGATCAGTGCAGACATTCTCCTTTGATACCACACCAAAACTTGACAAATCATAGCTTCTCAAAGGCTAGTTGCAATATGAAATCTGAAACCATAGAGATGCAGTTTCCAACTCAGCTACAGTAAGATCCACTGGTCCACCTTACATTTTGAATGGATCTTTTACCTGTATATGATCATGTAAATTATTCATTGATCATTTAGAAAATATTATCTCAGCCGGGCATGGTGGCCCACACCTGTAATCCCAGCACTTCGGGAGGCAGAAGCAGGCGGGTCGTCTGAGGTTAGGAGTTGGAGACCAGCCTGGCTAACATGGTGAAACCCCGTCTTTACTAAAAATACAAAAATTAGCTGGGTGTGGTGGTGGTCACCTGTAATCCCAGCTACTCGGGAGGCTGAGGCAGGAGAATTGATTGAACCTGGGAAGGGGAGGTTGCTGATCTCGGCTGAGCTGAGATTACGCCACAGCACTCTAGCCTGGGTGATGGAGCGAGACTCCATGTCAAAAACAAAAGAAAAAAGAAAAAAAGAAAATATTATATCATAGATATATGCAGATCTTCCAACTGTTGAAACATTTCTTGTAAAATATTTTTTTTGAATCACATTTGTTTATATCAGTACCAATCTCATCTTTTCTGATGAGTCTTTAATATTTGGAAGCTGTCAAACTCACAGTGGAAAAACAATTTCCCCAAGTTCTAATTTTCACTTTAAAGCTAGAATTTTATCATTGGCAACAAACATTGCCAGCTGTTTCCCTGAAGTGACAGGCTCACTTCATTTATTTTTGAGAAAATGTTTGCCAGATACTCAAAAGTTTGTCTGTCGCTCATTCTTTGAAGTAAAAATGGTGTTCATGAAAAAAGCAGCTAGTTCAACTTACAACTCAGGATCATGTATTTTAGTCTGCACTAAAGAGCTTCTCATCTTACTATACACACTATTAAAAAGATGTATCTTCAAGGGTTTGAGATTTAGTAAAATGAATAATCTTCACTGTTTCATTAAGAACATTTTCAAGTAAAACTGAAATTTTTTAAAACAGCTAATGGTGGGCTGGGCATGGTGGCTCACGCCTGTAATCCAGCACTTTGGGAGGCCGAGGCAGGCGGATGACAAGGTCAGGAGCTCGAGACCAGCCTGGCCAACGTGGTGAAACCCCATCTCTACTAAAAATACAAAAAATTAGCCGGGTGTGGTGGCGGTCGCCTGTAATAACAGTTACTCGGGAGACTGAGATGGGAGAATTGCTTGAACCCGGGAGGCGGAGGTTGCAATGAGTCCAGCCCAGGTGACAGTGCAAGACTCCATCTCAAAAAAACAAAACAAAACAAAAAAAAACAGCTAATGGTGAAGAATATAGTAGTTACCAGTGCAATTTGGAGCCACAGCCTTGATTTAACTGATACTAAAGCATCAGCTTTACCCACCATTTCCTTTGTAACGTTGGTGCAAATGTCAACACGGTTAAAAAGACAATCCTTAATAAAATAGTTTTGACCTTGTAAACTCCATGAGAAGGTTTCAGGAAACTCCAGAGGTCCAGGGACTGCACTTTGAGAACCACTATCATATAACATATATGCTAAAATTTCTATTTCAGGTTGGGTGTGGTGGCTCAGGCCTGTAATCCCAGCACTTTGGGAGGCTGAGGCAGGTGGCTCACCTGAGGTCAGGAGTTCGAGACCAGCCTGGCCAACATGGTGAAACCCCATCTCTACTAAAAATACAAAAATTTCTTCCTAGCCGGGCATGGTGGCTCACGGCTATAATCCCAGCACTTTGGGAGGCCAAGGCAGGCAGATCACCTGAGGTCAGGAGTTCAAGGCCAGCCTGGCCAACATGGTGAAACCCCATCTCTACAAAAATACAAAAAAAAAATTAGCCAGGCATGATGGTGGGCGCCTGTAATCCCAGCTACTCAGGAGGCTGAGGCAGGAGAATCATCTGAACCTTGGAGGCAGAGGTTGCAATGAACTGAGATCGCGCCACTGCACTCCAGCCTGGGCAACAGAGTAAGACTTCTGCCTCAAAAAAAAAAAAAAAAAAAGCCGGGCATGGAGACCCATGCCTGTAATCCTAGCTACTCGGGAGGCTGAGGCAGGAGAATCGCTTGAACCTGCGGAGGTTGCAGTGAGCCGAGATCGCGCCATTGCACTCCAGCCTAGGCAACAAAGCAAGACTCCATCTAAAAAAATAAATAAAATAAAATTTATATTTCAAAGTTGCACATTCTAAACATTAAGAAACTTAGGTAATAAACAACCTAATAGAAAATAATGTTTATTTTATAGGTGCATACTGTGTATACATACTGCTATAGTTTGGATGTCTGTCCCCCTCAAACTTCATGTTGAAATTTGATTCCCAATGTCAGAGGTGGGGCCTAATGGGAGGCCTTGGGTCATGGCGGCAGATCCTTCATGAATACCTTGGTGCCGTCCTTGACGTAATGGGTGAGTTCTTGCTCTATGAGTCCTGGCCAGAGCTGGTTGTTAGAAAGAGCCCAGCACCTCCCCCCTCTCTATTGTGCCCTCTCTGGCCACGTGACCTCTGCCATGCAGGCTCCTCTTTACTTTCTACTATGAATGGAGCAACCTGTGGCCCTTTCTGGATGCAGGTGCCTTATCTTGAACTTTTCCAGACATCAGAATTATAAGCCAAACAAAGATTTTTTTCTTTATTAATTACCTAGCCTCGGACACTCCTGTGTAAGCACCACTGAACAGACTATAACCCATACTTTCAACTATTCACTCTAAGATTGCCAAGAGGACTACAAATGGATGTTTCCAAGCTGTTGGTTACAACCTGATGGTACCTTTCAGGAACCTCGCTGAACCACTCACCCAACATCACACTTCACCTTGACCTTACACTCCCCCTTGACCTTGACCTCACACTGCTCCTTGAATTCAAACCAACCAAAGGTGTGTGCCAGGTGCTGTTAGTTATGAGACGCTGAATAAACTGAAGAGTTGAATGAAGAAAGTGTTATTGTGTTAATCAATATGCAATTGCTACTTTTTACAATTATTTTCAGGTCTGGTTTTAGGTACTATATTCTGATTAAGTTACAATAAGCATGGGCTATGGCATTGGTTTGGGTCATTATATCTTCATTAAGTTCAAAAAAAAAATCTTGCCCTCACAAATCTGTAATAAAAACCCAAAAATTGGCTGGGCACACGTGGCTCACACCTGTAATCCCAGTACTTTGGGAGGTCGAGGCAGGCGGATCATGAGGTCAGGAGTTCAAGACCAGCCTGGCCAACATAGTGAAACCCTGTCTCTACTAAAACTACAAAAATTAGCTGGGTATGGTGGCACGCACCTGTAGTCTCAGCAGTAATCTCAGCAGTTAGGGAGGCTGAAGCCAGCGGATCACTTTAGGTCAGAAGTTTGAGACCTGCCTGGCCAATATGACGAAACCCTGTCTCTATTAAAACTACAAAAAAAATGAGCCAGGAGTGGAGGTACATACCTGTAATCCCAGCTACTCGGGAGGCTGAGGCAGGAGAATAACTTCAACCTGGGAGGTGGAGGCTGCAGTGAGCCGAGATTTCATTACTGCACTCCAGCCTGGGCAACAGAGCGAGACTCTGTCTCAAAAAACAAACAAAAACTAACAAAAAAGTAGTCTTGGCCAGGCACGGTGGCTCACGCCTGTAATTCCAGCACTTTGGGAGGCCGAGAAGGGCAGATCACAGGGCCAGGAGATCAAGACCATCCTGGCTAACACGGTGAAACCCCGGCTCTACTAAAAATACAAAAAATTAGCTGGGCATGGAGGCAGGTGCCTGTAGTCCCCAGCTACTCGGGAGGCTGAGGCAGGAGAATGGCGTGAACCCGGGAGGCAGAGCTTGCAGTGAGCTGAGATCGCACCTCTGCACTCCAGCCTGGGCGACAGAGCGAGACTCCGCCTCAAAAAAAAAAAGTAGTCTTCTGTAACCTATTTTTTGCTCAAATTATGCAGAAGAGTTGTCACAGGAACTACATTCAGAAAAGCTATTTACTTTGAGATGAGGAGACCCAAGTCATCCACAAGGAAGTTTTCCTCCAAAGTCTAGGTCAACTTTAATATGGTGTTTTCCTGTAATTAAAAAGTGTACTAAACCGGCTGGGCGCGGTGGCTCACACCTGTAATCTCAACTACTCTGGAGGCTGAGGCAGGAGAATCGCTTGAACCTGGGACGTAGATGTTGCAGTGAGCCAAGATCGCGCCACTGTACTCCAGCCTGGGTGATAGGGCAAGACTCCATCTCGAAAAAAAAAAAAAGTGTACTAAACCAACATTAATTCAAAATCCCTGGAATAAGCCAATCTAGTAAGAGACTAAGTTGCTAAAATTACCTATGTAAGTGGCACAGACTCCAGGAAAGGGGGTCCTGAGGCCAGTCCCCCTCTGCAAGCAAATCTCTCCTGCAGTGAATTATTCACCCAGTGAAGGGAATGATCTCCTCCACACTACTGAGACTACTTTGGTCTGTGCTATCTAGACTGCTATTTCTGTATACTCCAGTTTTTGATAAATTCACCTTCCTGAGGACTTGGGCATTTTAAGAAGCAGGACTTAAATGGCTCTGTTTAAACAGAATCCCTTAGGATTATGTTACTAGCATTAGCTTCCTCAAACTGTGGAGGAAAATGTGTCAGAGGGTATAGATTTACTCAAAGAGTAACTGTAAGAAAATATCCATTTAAAATGTTTTAAAAAATCAATTTGGTTCTGAATATTAAAGAAGCTGCACTTACAGAAACGTAGAAAGTTTTATAAAACTTTACAGGCCGGGCGTGGTGGCTCACGCCTGTAATCCCAGCACTTTGGGAGGCTGAGGTGGGTGGATCACCTGAGATCAGGAGTTCAAGACCAGCCTGGCCAACATGGTGAAACCCTGTCTCTACTAAAAACACAAAAATTAGCCATGCATGGTGGCAGCTACCTGTAGTCCCAGCTACTTGGGAGGCTGAAGCAGGAGAATCGCTTGAACCCAGGAGGTGGAGGTTGCAGTGAGATGAGATGGCGCCATTGCACTCCAGCCTGGTGACAGAGCAAGACTGTCTCAAAAAAAAAAAAAAAAAAAAAAAAAAGGCTGGGCATGATGGCTTGCACCTGTAATCCCAGCTACTCAGGAGGCTGAGGCAGGAGAATCACTTGAACCAGGGAGGTGGAGGTTGCAGTGAGCTGAGATCGCACCACTACACTCTAGCCTGGGTGACACAGCCAGACTCTGTCTCAAAAAAGAACTTTACAAACAAAAATGTGCCATCACAAATACCACCTGAAATTAACTTCTCGAGCTTTTAACAAAGATTTAAATTAATTTCCATAGACAAATTGAGATTTTTTTTTTTTTTTTTTGAGACGGAGTCTCGCTCTGTTGCACAGGCTGGAGTGCAGTGGTGCGATCTCAGCTCACTGCGACCTCCGCCTCTCGGGTTCAAGCGATTCTCCTGCCTCAGCCTCCCGAGTAGCTGGGACTACAGACGCCCGCCACCACACCCGGCTAATTTTTTGTATTTTTAGTAGAGATAGGATTTCACCATGTTAGCAAGGATGGTCTTGATCTCCCGACCTTGTGATCTGCCCACCTCAGCCTCCCAAAGTGCTGGGCTTACAGGCGTGAGCCACTGTGCCCTGCCAAATTGAGAATATTAAAAGCAGAAATACTCAAATATATTTTTCAACCTAAAAGTGATGAAAAAGGATTACCCAAAGTGACTTCATTGCTTGCCCACAAAAAGAATAAATTACATGTGAAAGGCAGAATTAGAAGGTTTATTTGTTTTTTCCTTTTGTTGTTTTTCTTCCAAACACTATGGTGACTTAGGAATAGAAGGTTTATTTCAAGGATCACAGATACCTTATGTTTTGACAATAGGAGTAGATGCAGATTCCACAAAATCATATATTCATCTGCTGTTTCTGAAACTGGTTTTTGAATTAGGGTGCTGTGCTCCCTGGGTTGAAAATGTCTCCTATAGCAGGAGCCTGTGAGGTAACTGACAAAAAGGGGCTCCAGCACCACAGTGCCCTAGTTGTACATTCAAGTTAATACAACAGATTTTAATTAGAAAGGAAAAGCACACAAAATGAAAGGTCTTACTGAATTCAAATCTCATTAAAATGCAATTCTAGAACTTGCCATTAAAAACAGGTACAGGCTGGGTATGGTGGCTCACACCTGTAATCCTAGCACTTTGGGAGGCCAAGGCGGGTGGATCACTTGAGGTCAGCAGTCTGAGACCAGCCTGGCCAATATGGTGAAACCCCGTCTCTACTAAAAATACAAAAAAATCCATCTTGACCAACATGGTGAAACCCCATCTCTACTAAAAATACAAAAATTAGCTGGGCATGGTGGCAAAGGCCTGTAGTCTCAGCTACTCTGGAGGCAGAGGCAGGAGAATCGCTTGAACCTGGGAGGCGGAGGTTGCAGTGAGCTGAGATTATGCCACTGCACTCCAGCCTGGTGACAGAGTGATACTCTGTCTCAAAAAGAAACAAAACAAAACAAAAAAACTAGCCAAGCATGGTGGCAGGCGCCTGTAATCCCAGCTACTTGGGAGGCTGAGGCAGGAGAATCGCTTGACCCCAGGAGGCGGAGGTTGCAGTGAGACATGATGGTGCCACTGCACTCCAGCCTGGGCGACAGAGGAAGACTTCGTCTCAAATAAGTAAATAAAATAAAAACAGGTACAAACTTAGGCTTAATTGTTATAATTAGTCATAAGTCTGTTTCTGTTGCAGAAATGAAAACACTAAGGAGTCTGTTTCTGTTGTAGAAATGAAAACACTACGTTCATGGCTCTTTGTAGTTGCATTCTGAACACGAGATAAGAATGTAAGCAAATATATGATAAAAATATATGTGTGGGTTAAAAAAATAAAACTTAGCTGAAGTTTAGGAGGCAGCTGCATATGGATGAAGTTAGTGATATAAAGAATGTGGAGGCCGGGTGCGGCGGCTCATGCCTATAATCCCAGCACTTTGGGAGGCTGAGGAAGGAGGATCATTTGGGCCCAGGAGTTTGAGACCAGCCTCGGCAACATAGCAAGACCCTCATCTCTACAAAAAAAAAAAATACACAAAGTTAGCTGGGTGTGGTGGCGCACGCCTATAGTCTCAGCTACCCAGGAGGCTGAGGTGGAAGGATCACTTGAGCCTGGGAGGTCAAGGCTACAGACAGCTGTGATCACACCACTGCATTCCAGCCTGGGCAACAGAGTGAGATCCTGTCAAAAAAAAAAAAAAAAAAGAAAAAAAAAAAGAATGCAGAAAGACACATAGAGTACAAAAAGTTGCATTTTCATATTTTTATAACAATAATTATATTGTGTAAAAGGGCATTAAGGAGGCTGTTGTTGGATGTGCAACAAATGGAAGGGCTCAGAAAGTAGAAGCCTCAGGACTAATGAATGCAGCGGTGCTCTGAGCCAAATGTGTTCTGAAATGAAGAGAAAGGGGAAAATCACAACCTGTAGAAAAAGTGCCAGAATTTTGACTGTGCTAGAGTCTGAGCAGATGAGATTAGGAGGGGAAACTGCTATGGAATGTATCCCTTTAAAAAGCAGCAATAAACTTCTAGCCTATTTTGACGTTCTTAGAACACCTTAGTCACTTTCAGTTCCTCTCTTGTTTCTACGGATGCGGTAAAAGCAACAAACAAAAACAAACATCTCTAACTGCCCCAAAGATGCGGAGTGAAAGACACTGTAAAAAAATAAGATTTTAAGGCCGGCGTGGTGGCTCACGCCTGTAATCCCAACACTTTGGGAGGCCCAGGTGGCTGGATCACCTGAGGTCAGGAGTTCAAGACCAGCCTGGCCAAAATGGCAAAACCCCGTCTCTACTAAAAATACAAAAATTAGCTGGGTATGGTGGCGAGCGCCTGTAATCCCAGCTATTCAGGAACTTGAACCTGGGAGGTGGAGGTTGCAGTGAGCCAAGATCGCACCACTGCACTCCAGCTTGGGTGACAGAGTGAGACTCTGTCTCAAAAAAAAAAAAAAAAATTAAACTGCTTACTTTTTTTCATTAAAAAAAAAAAAACACCTAATTTCTGCTGGGCGTCATGGCTCAATGACTATAATCCCAGCACTTGGGGAGGCTGAATGGGAGGATCACTTGAGCCCAGGAGTTCGAGACCAGCCTGAGCAACATGGCGAGACCCACTCTGCACAAAAAATAAAAATAAAAATTAGCTGGGTGTGGTGTCATGCGCCTGTGGGTCCCACTACTTGGGAGGCTGAGGTGGGAGGATGACCTGGGCCTGGGGAGGTCGAGGCTGCAGTGAGCCAGATTGTGCCATTGCACTCCAGCCTGGGCAACAGAGTGAGACTCTGTCTCAAAAAACAAACCGAAAAAACCACCTAATTTTTTAAATAGTTTAAAAATTACTCCTCCAGATAGGTATGGTATTGTCAAATAACTTGAAGAGGAAAAGTATTAGGGATAATGAAGTTATAAAATTAGTCTTAGAAGGATGGATATAACTTGTAACTGTGTTTGGCTGCATCAACACTGATGAAAGATCGACGCTAATCTCAGAAAGCAAAATCTTGCTCTTTATAATTTAAAAAATGCTCCATTTTATTGTAAGCAAGAGGAGCTTAGTCAAGCCCCTCAGTGTCTGGCTTCAACCTGAAAACGGAATCTTCTGGTTCATTTCCTGATTTCTATGCAGAGATTGGACCACGAAAGCTGTCTAAATATGAATTGGTCTCTTTCCCAAGCTTGATCAATCAGCAGGTGCAAAGGTTCAACCAGCTTCCCCGCCTCTAGCTGTCCTGCATTCTTCTCAGCCCTGGAAAACCAACTGTGCCTCTCAAACATCCCACACTAGTCTCCATAGGTGATTCTCTCCCCCAGAAAACAAGTTCAAGACCGACCCAGGAAAGGAAGAAAAGAGGGTGATAGAGAGAGAAAGAAATCTCACTCTAAATACCAGGGAGAACTTTGAATGCAATCCAAAGACTAAAGAAGAAAGAAGTATACAAGCTAAATTATTAATGAGAAGAAAAAGCCAGATTTTTAAAGTCCTGACTTATTTCTAAACTCTAAATATTTCCAAGTTGGAGGGGGCAGTGGTAGAGTGGGTGCAAAATATTACAAAAATATTACAGGAAAAAAATGTTTAAGGCCCTGGCATCTGAAACTTAGTTAACACCAAGGAAAAAGATTTTCCACTAAAACGCTTGCCAATTCATTCACTTCCCACTTTAAGATGGCTCTGCAAACACATAGGTGATGTCCCTTTCTAAGAGAAGGGATCCCACTTCTCAACCCCACTGCCATAGTTGAGCATCTGACTCAAGGACTTGCATGAAAAACTCTATGGGAATAGGTGCTAGAGCTAAAAGGTAAAAATTGCTAAGAGGGGCTGGACGCAGTGGCTCACGCCTATAATCCTGGCACTTTGGGAGGCCGAGGCAAGCGGATCACTTGAGGTCAGGAGTTTGAGACCAGCCTGGCCAACATGGGCATCTCTACTAAACCTCATTTCTACTAAAAAAAAAAATGGCTGGGCACAATGACTCACGCCTGTAATTCCAGCACTTCAGGAGACCAAGGCGGGCGGATCACAAGGTCAAGAGATTGAGACTATCCTGGCCAACATGGTGAAACCCCCAACTCTACTAAAAATACAAAAATTAGCTGGGTGTGGTGGCATGGGCCTGTAGTCTCATCTACTCGGGAGGCTGAGGCAGGATAATTGCTTGAACCCGGGAGGTGGAGGCTGCAGTCAGCCGAGATCGTGCCACTGCACTCCAGCCTGGTAACAGAGCAAGACTCCGTCTCATAACAAAAACAAAAAACAAAAATTAGCCTGGCATGGCGGCACGCACCTGCACCTGTAATCCCAGCTACTCAGGAGGCTGAGGCAAGAGAATCCATTGAATTTAAGAGGAGGAGGTTGCAATGAGCCGAGATTGTGCCACTGTACTCCAGCCTGGGTGACAGAGCAAGACCCAGTCTCAAAAAAAAAAAAAAAAAAAAATCGCTAAGAGGCAATTTTTGTCCATGTGCATGCCAAATTAGTGGAAAAAACGCTAATCTGCAGAGATGAAGAGGAAAGCAAACACAAGACATTATTACCCCCATATGTTCAAAATGTACCTGTGGACTTTCCACTGGCCAATTTAAGTCCCTTGTGAGACTGGCCTGTTCATCCAGCCACTGGTTCTGTGAGATATCCCTTGCAACAGACACTTTTGTCTGAGCATCTTGGCTGACAATCTAGCAGCTATCCCCCATCCATCCCATCTTCCCTTTGGCAGAGCACCTGTCTTATTACAGGATCACTTTCTCCATCTCTCTTGCAACACAGACATGGGCATGTGACATTACCCTGGCTAACCAGATGTAGCAGATATCTACTAAACACGTACTGAGAAAGGTTTCCTCCCAAAAAAACCCGGATACTTTTTGTATTTTTAGTAGAGATGGGGTTTCACCATGTTGGAAAGGCTGGTCTCCAACTCTTAACCTAAAGTGATCTGCCTGCCTCGGCCTCCCAAAGTGCTGGAATTGCAGGCATGAGCCACTGCACCCGGCTCCCTCCTCTTCTTTACTTGACGTGGTCATAGCTACCTGTGATGCTTGAAATGGCAGAGCCAGAGATGGAAAGCACCTGGCTTTTTGATGACAATTTCTCAGCTATTACTGAACTGAGACACCAACCTGGAATTTCCCTGCCTCTGGACTCTTTGTCATGTGAGATAGAAAATGTGCCCTTGTTGTCTAAGCCACTTTTCTTTGGGTCTTTTTTTTTTTTTTGTCTCCTTCCAAAATGTTGCTATAATTCAACCATTCTTATTGAGAGCTCACTCTCAGCCAAGCTCTGTACTGGCACTGGAATGAGAGTAGGGAACAGTAGAGTGCTAATGAGCACTCTAGGCTAAAAGAGCAGTAGAAACATAGACTTGCAGGGCTCAAGATAGACATGGGATTAGGGAAGGCCTTTCAGAGGGAGGGATTTCTAAGAGGAAATGAGAAGAATAAGTAAAAATCAGCCAAGCCAAACAGACAGCAGAGATGGAAGGAAGGTGGAAAAGCAAGAGACAGTTAGGTGGGCGTGGTGGCAGGCACCTGTAGTCCCAGCTACTCGGGAGGCTGAGGCGGGAGAACAGCGTGAACCCAGGAGGCGGAGCTTGCAGTGAGCTGAGATGGTGCCATTGCACTCCAGCCTGGGTGACAGAGTGAGACTCCATCTCAAAAAAAAAAAAAAAAAAAAAAAAAAAAATATATATATATATATATATATATAAAATATATATAACATTATTACTTATAACAGCATGAAGAATTACAAGTAGACAGAAACAAACATAATAAAAGGTGTGCAAGAACATAATAGAGCAAAGTATAAAACTTTATTAAAATGCATTTGCTAAGGTTTTAATGAATGTATCCTCCAAAAGTCATGCTGGAACTTAACCTCCAAGGTGACAGTACTAAGAGCTGGTGCCTATGGGAACTGATTAGGCTATGAAGGCTCCACCCTCATGGATGGGATTAATGCCCATATGAAAGATGCTTCAGAGAGCTGCTGTTGCTCTTCCATCCCTTCCCCATGTGGCAACACCAACACCTAGATAGCACCATCTGAGGAATGGGCCTTCACCAGTCACTGAACCTGCTGGCACCTTGATCTTGAACTTCCCAGCCTCCAAAACTGTGAGAAATAAATTTCTGTTGTTTATAAATTATCCACTCTCAGGTATTTTGTTATAGCAGCACAAATGGACTAAGACAACATTAAAGAAAAACAGAATAAATATAGAAATATACCATGTTCATGGATTGGAAGGCCATATATTATAGATATATCAATCCTCCCCTAGATTATCTACAGATTCAATGCAGTTCAATTAAAACCCCAACAAGTTTTCTGGAGAACAAAATTCTAAGATTTAAATCAAGATGCAAAGGTCAATTAATAGCCAAAACACTCTTGAAGAACAACAAGGTAGGAATAGTAGCCACACCAGATACTGACTTATTCTAAAGTTAATTAAGAGGCTTTGTGCTATTGGCCAGGGACAAAGACATAGACAAATACAAAGAATTGAAAGGCCAGGAACAGGTCCATGCAAAAATGACTTTTGATTTAGGATAGATGTAGCCATGTAGAAAAGATGCAGAGCCTAATGGCTAAGAATCTGGATTCTGGAACTAGAATAAATTGGTTTGAATGCTGGCTCTTTGACTACTAGGTATGCCACATGAAGCAAGTATTTAACTTCTGTGTTGCTGTTTCTCAACTCAAAAGAGGATAGAAGCAGGACCTACTCACTGAGTTACTAAAAGGATTAGTAAATTACCTCATGCTTAGCATATGCCTGGCACATGGTAAGCCCTCAGTAAGTGTTAATGCTATCATTTTCATCATCATCATCATCATTGTCATCAACCAGTGGGGAAAGAACAAGCTGTTCAATAAGAGGTACGGGGATAATTGCATATCTATCGGGAAAAATGAGATAAAACCTCTACTTTTAAAAATATACAAAAACTTATTCCAGGTGGATTAAGAATTAAGAACCTAAATGTAAAAGGCTAGGCTATAAAACTTTTAGGAGACAATATAGGATAATATCTTTTGGATCCTGAGGTAGGAAATTTGTTTTGTTTTGTTTTGTTTTGTTTTTTAATTGAGATGGAGTCTCGCTCTGTCGCCCAGGCTGGAGTGCAGTGGTGCGATCTCGGCTCACTGCAACCTCCATCTCCTGGGTTCAAGCGATTCTCCTACCTCAGCCTCCCAAGTAGCTGAGAATACAGGCGCGTGCCACCACACCAGGCTAATTTTTTGTATTTTTAGTGGAGACAGGGTTTCACCATGTTAGCCAGGATGGTCTTGATCTTCTGACCTCGTGATCTGCCCACCTCAGCCTCCCAAAGTGCTGGGAGTAGAGGCGTGAGCCACCACGCCCAGCCAGAAATGATTTTTAAACAAGACATCAAAAAGTGTACACCATAATGAAAAAAGTCAATAAAACTAAAAAACTAAAAAATTCCGTTCACGAAAAGATAGCATTGAGGAAAGTGAACATAAAAAATACAAACTGGGAGAAGATATTTGTAACACATATGATCAACAGAGAATTGGTATCTAGAATATAGATAGCACTCCTTCAATTGTTCTATTTTTTATGTTTTTAAGAGACAGGATATCACTATGTTGCCCAGGCTGGTCTTGAATACCTGGGCTCAAGCAATCCCCCTGCCTCGGCCTCCCAAAGTGCTGGGATTACAGGCATGAGCTACTGTGCCTGGCTCCAACTGTTCTAAAAAGAGTCAAATAACTTAACAGGAAAAGGGGCAAAAATAAATAAATAAGAATTTTAAGCAATAAATATATTTAGCTTAATTAGTAATCAGGGAAATGCATATTAAAACCACAATGAAATACCATTTCATATCCATCAGTCTGGTAAAAATTTAAAGTCAGAGAGCACCAAGTGTAAACAAGGACGTGGTGTAATGGCAACATTCACACACTGCTGGGGACCTCGGAAAACAGGTTGGTTTTACCTAGTAAAGGTGAACCTGTGCCTCTGTATGACATCTCTAGGTATATATCTTAAGGTTTAGGAGCTAGACAATAACTCTTGCTCATGTGCACCAAGAGACATGCATATGAATGTTTATAGCAGCATAATTCATGCTAAAAAAAATATTGGCAACAACCTGCTTTGTTGTCAATGTGTTCCCCAAAGTTCATGTGTCAGAAACTTAATGGGAAATGGGGCCAAATAAAAGATGGCAGAGCCCTCCTGAATGGTTTAATATCATTATCAAAGGAGTGGATTAGTTATTTCAAGAGTGGGCTTGTTACAAAAGGGAGTTTGATGCCCTCTTGCTCTCTTGCCCTAAGTGGCAAAAGGCCTTCAACTGGTGCCAGCACCATATTCTTGGACTTTCCAACCTCTAGATTCATGAGCCAAATAATTTTCTACTGTTTATAAATTACCCAGGTTGTGGTATTCTGCTATAGCAACACAAAATAGACTAAGACAAACCCACCTGTCCATCTGATTCTACTTGAAGTCCAAAAATAGGCAAAACTAAACAATGTATTTTACTGGTATATTCATACAGGATGAAACTGTAAAAATAACAGAATATGTTCAATGCAAAATTCTGAACACTCAAATAGGGTGGCAGAGGCTTAGAAAGGGATGTGATCAGGGAGGGGCCAGCAGGAGATTCTGGAATAATGTTCTATTTCTTATTTCTTTCTTTCTTTTTTTTTTTTTTTTCTTTTTGAGACGGAGTCTTGCTGTGCCGCCCAGGCTGGAGTGCAATGGCGCAATCTCGGTTCACGGCAACCTCTGCCTCCGAGGTTCAAGCAACCCTCCTGCCTCAGCCTCCCAAGTAGCTGGGAATACAGGTGCACGCCACCACGCCTGGCTAATTTTTGTATTTTTAGTAGAGATGGGGTTTTGCCATATTGGCCAGGCTGGTCTCAAACTCCTGACCTCAAGCGATCCACCTGCCTCGGCCCCCCAAAGTGCTGGGATTACAGGCATGAGCCACCGTGCCCAGCCTAATGTTCTATTTCTTAGGCTGGGTGGCATGTACATGGATGTGCATTTTACTGCTATTTTTGTACATATTATTCTATACATACATATTTTCATACATTCTTTTGTAATATGCCATAATTATTTATTAGTTTACAATTTGGTTGATAGGAAAATCTTCAGGATAAGAGATACTTAAGGTCACTTGAGCCTCTGCCAATTAGAGATCAAAAATGAAGGTAAAACATTTATGAAGGAAAAACTTAAGTGAATAGAAAAAGCTATTACATAAAGTATTGAACTATTACTTTTTCCTTGATTGATGTTCCTCTGTTTTCTTCCCTTAAAAAAAAAAACATTTTTCAGAAAATGGGCATCATTTAGTACCCAACTATGGATTGATGATTGATTGCAAAAAAGACTTCACCCTTGGGGGAAAAACTTCTTAAAAAAAAAAAAAATCCCGGACGATTACTGTCTAAAGGCCAAAAATATTTTTCATATACCACCACAGTAATATTAATATAATAAATACTGTCAAATAAAATGTTCTTAAAAGAGAACACAAAACATTACAGTAAGCAACATATGCTGTTTCTACTGTATGCCCAAAACACATACACCCATCCATTCTTCCAACAAATATTTTATTGAGCACTTACTATGCCAAATACTATTCTAGAAACTGAGGGCCTAGCAGGTAAAAGAAGACACAACTTCTCTATTCTCATGGAGCTCACATACTAGTAGGTCTTTACAGTACAGAGCTATGAAGAAATATCAGAAAGATTAATTCAAAATTTATTTACATTCCCATGAGGAAAACCAATAGGTCTCTGTATATGAACATTTTAAAGTGTCTTGATACCTTCTAGCAGGAATGATAATAAAACTATTTAACAATCCATTATCAATAGACTCCCTGTCCAATCAGAAGAGGCCAGCAGTACCAAGCATCCTGGCTAAAAATCCAGCCTCGACTACTGCCCAGGTCTTTACTAGAAAAGGTGAACCAATTACACACTCACCAACAGTATACAAGGATCCCTAACTTGCTGAACCCTGACTAGGACTGAATACTACCATTTGCAAAACAAAAAAACTACCTTATTTGGTAGGCAAATTGCTTTTTTTGCATTTATTTCTTTTGTTTTGTTTTGTTTTGGAGATAGGGTCTCACTCTGTTGCCTGGACTGGAATGCATTGGCACAATTTCGGCTCGCTGTAACCTCAACCTCCTGGGCTCAGGTGATCCTCCCACCTCAGCCTCCTGAGTAGCTGGGACTACAGGCGCAAGCCACCATGCCTGGCTAATTTTTGTATCTTTTGTAGAGATGGGGTTTTGCCATATTGCCCAGGCTGGTCTTGAACTCCTGGGCTCAAGCAATGCACCTGCCTCGGTCTCCCAAAGTGCATTTATTTAATTATTCATGAAATTAATGTTTTAGACATTTTCATTTGGAATTTGGAATTCCTTTTGTAACTGTTCTCTTCTTAATCTTTGTTCATTCATCTATTAGAAATTTTGTATTTATTGTTTTGCATAAACTTCTTATATATTAAGGTAACTGTCTTATTTTGAATAAATGTTTATCTAGTTTGATTTAAAATTTTATATATTATTGTTACAGACTGAATGTTTATGCCTCCCTTTCCCAATTCATATGTTGAAACCTAATCCCCAGTGCAGTGGTACCTGGAGGTGGGCCCTTTGGGAGGTGATTAGGTCATGAGGGTGGGCCCCTTGTGAATGGGATTAGTGCCCTTTTAATACTCCTTTTGTGAAACTCCACTTACCAGGAGGTGCTCTTGGCATTGTTCAGGTAGTTCTAACATGAGTTTCTTCTTCACAATACCTGATTCATCACATCCCCCACTATCAGTCAAGACATACTGCACTACCAATCTAGATGTCCTTTGAAAATATTTGCTGAGGCCGGGCATGGGGGCTCACACCTGTAATCCCAGCACTTTGGGAGGCCGAGGCTGGCGGATCACCTGAGGCTGGGAGTTCAACACCAGCCTGACCAACATGGAGAAACCCTGTCTCTACTAAAAACACAAAATTAGCTGGGCGTGGTGGTGCACGCCTGTAATTAGAGCTACTCAGGAGGCTGAGGCAGGAGAATCGCTTGAACCTGGGAGGAGGAGGTTGCGGTGAGCCAAGATCTCGCCATTGCACTCTAGCCTGGACAACAAGAGCAAAACTCTGTCTCAAAAAAAGAAAAGAAAAGAAAATATTTGCTTAATGCATGAATGAGTCAATGGAAACTTCTACTGAATTCTTTCTAGCCTGTGGTCAGAGTTGGTTTTGTTCACATACGTAGTTTATTATGTTGGGTTTCAGGAATGTGCCAGTGACTCTGCAAGGTGCTGGGGATGTAACTGTGAACAGAAGAGTCCCCTGATCTCATGGAGCTGTTAAAAATGTCATTTGGCAGAGCAGGGTGGCTCATGTCTATAATGACAACACTTTGGTAGGCTGAGGTGGGAGAATCACTTGAGCACAGGAGATTGAGACCAGCCTCAGCAACATAGCAAGACCCCATCTCTTTTAAAAAAAAGGTAATTTATGAAGAGCATGCAATAACGTGAGAATTTTACCTATTAAAAAATAATTCAATCATACCATAAGGAGTTCTTCAAGTCCCTGAGATCAGCTGCAAAAAAAAGCTAAAAGTCTCTAGTACATGGCTGCCTTCCCTAAGCTGTTGCCAAAGAATGTGAGATATCTAAGTGTTTATATACCTATAAACCTAGCACAAGTGTTTTCTTTTCATTAATTATACACGGGTAGTTGGTTCTACTTAATAACTGAACAGTATTCAGCTTTAAAAAATAAACATTAACAGATATTTCAAAGAAATCCCACCATGTTTGGCTCTATTTTTAAGTGGCTTTAAATTATTTGTTGCTTCATCTCATTTCAATGTTTTGAGCTCCTATTTCTGTTACAAATTTCTTCTAGGCAAATGTGAATGTAATTAACACACTAATATCATGTTTTAAAAACAAATCCAGGCTGGGTGCGGTAGCTCACGCCTGTAATCTCAGCACTTTGGGAGGCCAAGGCAGGAGGATCACTTGAGGTTGGGAGTTCAAGACCAGCCTGGCCAACATCGCGAAACCCAGTCTCTACTAAAAATACAAAAATTACCCAGGTATGGTGGTGGGTGCCTGTAGTCCCAGCTACTCTGGAGGCTAAGGCAGGAGAATCACTTGAACCCGGAAGGCAGAGGTTGCAGTGAGCTAAGATCGCACTACTGCACTCCAGCCCGGGTGACAGAGTGAGACTCCATCAAAAAAATAAAAAACAATGGACATCATGGTCTGGTCTAACGTGGTTTTTTTTTTTTTTTTTTTTTACCTCCCCAATACAACACTCTTCTTTTTTTTTTTTTTTTGAGACAGAGTTTCACTCTGTCGCCCAGGCTGGAGTGCAGCGGTGCAATCTCGGCTCACTGCAAGCTCTGCCTCCTGGGTTCATGCCCTTCTCCTGCCTCAGCCTCCCAAGTAGCTGGGACTACAGGCACCTGCCACCACGCCTGGCTAATTTTTTAATATTTTTAGTAGAGACAGAGTTTCACTGTGTTAGCCAGGATGGTCTCGATCTCCTGACCTTGTGATCCACCCACCTCGGCCTCCCAAAGTGCTGGGATTACAGGCCTGAGCCACTGGGCCCGGCTAATACTCTTCCCTTTTGTTTAAAAAAAAAAGTGTGTTTAAAGTGTGTGTGTGTGTGTATGTGTATATATATATCATACAATTTGCCATGTTAATCATTTTTAAGTGAATAGTTCTGTTGCATTAAGTACAATACTATTATTATTTCCATTTACCGATGAGGAAACTAACATAGCAGTGAAGTGACTTCACCCCTACTAGTAAGACAGAAACCCTGTGACAGGCATGCAGGCAGCCAGCTCTAGCGTCTCAGGCTGTAGAGCCTACAAACCTCCCTCTTCCTTGCAATAAAAGACTTGGTGTGACCAATAGTGCTGTAAATTTTTAGTTTACTCATTTGGGTATTTATTTATTTATTTATTTATTTATTTAGAGACAGTCTCACTCTGTCACCCAGGCTGGAGTGCACTGGTGCGTGATCTCAGCTCACTATGCTGCCCAGGCTGGTCTCGAACTCCTGACCTCAAGTCACCCGCCCATCTCTGCCTCCCAAAGTGCTGAGATTGCAGACATGAGCCACCATGTCCAGCCAAGATAGTCTACTTTTAAGTACAGTTGCTTATCACATAAAAAATAAGAATATAGTGTAGCTAAATTGTACAAGGAGAATTTCTACAAACTGTAAATTCTTGTTCCCTGAAAACCTGAAGTGGGGACTTTATTTTAAGCAAGCAAGAATCATCTTTTGCTAGCTAGAAACAGTAAAATAATATATCAAAAAAGATGATTAGGGCTGGGCACAGAGACTCACGCCTGTAATCCCAGCACTTTGGGAAGCCGAGGCAAGTGGATCGCCTGAGCTCATAAGTTCAAGACCAGCTTGGGCAATATGGTGAAACCCTGTCTCTACCAAAAATACAAAAAAATTAGCCGGGCATGGTGGCCTGCATCTGTGGTCCCAGCTACTCAGGAGGCCGAGGTGGGAGGATCGCTTGAGTCTGGGAGGCAGAGGTTGCAGTCAGCCAAGACTGCGTCAAGGCACTCCACTCCCGCCTGGATGAGAGTTAGACTTCCAGGAGACGGAGGTTGCAGTGAGCCGAGATCGCGCCACTGCACTCCAGCCTAGCGACACAGCAAGACTCTGTCTCAAAAAAAAAAAAAAAAAGATCAAATTGTTATATTTCTCCCCCAGATAAAAATGATCATAAGCCAGCCAAATGATTTTTTTTGGATTAAACTAACAATTAGATTGCATAGGTTTCATAAAAAGTCTTTATAGGTTCAATAGTGATGTCAGATGAAAGATACAACTTTGGAGTGATTTAAGAAAATATTTTGGAATATCAATTTTGTAACTTGCTGAAGTTTACAAAAATCAATGAGTGAACTTCCAAAAGCAGATCATCATGACTGCTCCATCTGGAACCAAAATCTGCCATATAAATTCAAATTTGGCAATAGTTAACTGGAAAGAAATAAATGATAACCACTCTTGCTTGTTTTGTTGTTTGTTTTGATCTTTGGAGTAATGGCTAGCCAGAGAGAAACCTCATTTTTTTCAAGTGGTCAAATGCATAATGCTTATTTTATTTACTTATTTATTATTTTTTATTTTCATTTTTTTGAAACGGAGTCTCGCTTCATCACCCAGGTTGGAGTGCCTCCCAAAGTGCTGGGATTACAGGCGTGAGCCACCGCGCCCGGCCCACAATGCTTATTTTATCTATGCAAACACTGGGCTATTTTCACAGGACCTCATTAGATTAAAAACAAAACAAAACAAAAAAGGCTACAGAACTTGAGAGTGGCTGCCATGGTCCCTTTTAAAGCTGTTCTAGCTGCTGATTTGCCTTTTAGGCAACAGAATGATGTTTAATCACATTTCTCAATGTGAATACTAAGAAGGAAATTCCTGTTGGCTGTCAAAACGCTACCATGATACAAATAGCATCAAAAGCAGTGACTCTGCCTAGGAAACAATGTGAATGATGTTCATTTTCATACCAACGACATAGATCTCATTTCATCAGAGGACTCCAGAATGGTCTTTTGACTTTTCTTTTTCGTTTCTTTTGAGATGGAGTCTAGCTTTGTAGCCCAGGCTGGAGTGCTGTAGCGCGACCTTGGCTCACTGCTTACCTCTGCCTCCAGGTTTCAAGTGATTCTTGTTGCCTCAGCCTCCCAAGTAGCTGGGATTACAGGCGCCCGCCACCACGCCCGGCTAATTTTTGTATTTTTAGTAGAGACAGGGTTTCACCATGTTGGTCAGGCTGGTCTCGAACTCCTGGTCTCAAGTGATCCACCCGCCTTGGCCTCCTAAAGTGCTGGGATTACAGGAGTGAGCCAGCGTGCCCAGCTTATTAGGCAATTTTTTTTCTTTTTGTTTTACTAAGTGCTGCCTATTTGAGAAAAGCAATACCATAACTTTAAAGCCACTGTTTCTGTAACACTTAAACTACTTCGCATCAACATAAAACCAAAAGGTACTAAGAATTTAGCAACAACAAAAGTTACCAATAGAAATAGAAAATTAATATGCTACGCCAACTCAGCGGAGACACAGTCCAATTCAAACCTTAAGTTTCTTGCACTGTGCTCTGAATGCCTTAACAGATTCAAGGGAGGTTAACATTCGAGAACTTTGAAAAGCTGCCATTTTTCTCATGTGGCAGGCAGCTTTCAGGCCTTCGTTCCCATTGCAGGAACAACGGGGAATGTAAAATGAGATGGCCCCGTTAGGTTGTGGTACTTAGACTTAGTGCCAACATCCTCTATCACTGAAACGAACTGAAATCCCTATGAAATACTCAGATCCCTGCCTCTGATTTTTAAAAAAACAAAACATCACTGCTGCTTGCTTGGTTGGTGAAAAACAGAAGAGAATAAAACATTTCTCCAAAACGTCAAATTGCTGGTTATTTTTTTCCAAGTACTTCTGATATAGGATAACAAAAAAAGTGGTCATTCAGAACAGGTGAGTTGTAGGCAATGACACATTAGTAGAGCAGTATCTAGAAATCTCATGCCTATTAAACTTAAGGACAGTTGTCAAGCCATTTCTTATCTATTTTTTGTGGCACCTAAATCAGTGCCTGGCACAATACATGTTTGTGGAAATGAATCACAACACAGGGAAACTGAATGATGTTTATAGTCCATCTAACTATAGTGGTTTAAAAAAAGAACCAAATAGTTATTTTCAGCCACATGCTGTAATTACTGTAAAGTATTTTTAAAAGTTCGCCTTGAACACTCACTGCAAATACCATTTTCTGCTACTTCAGCTTACTTCTCCCACGTGCCATGAGAAGTCTACCATTAGCCAACTTGACTAAAAGCCACTAAATACTGGTTTTAGTAGATAGCTTAATGACTGATTTGGTGGAAATTACTTTGCAGAAATAACAATTTCCAATTAATTATTTGAATTTAGTTTAATGTTGTGGGTGTATTTTAAAATAGCACCTAATATACTCTCATTACCTGTTTTGCAACAGGGAGTAAGTACACAGACAATCATTAAGGAGACTTCAAAAAAAAACACAGCAATCTTTCATTACTCAGGAGAAAATTTATAGATCCCGCTGAACCGTTAAAGATCAATTGTTTTATACAGCATTTGCATTGGCTTTTAAATTTCCAAACACCAAGGAGTGTCCATCCCAAATTAGCCCTTTGTCGTCTAAGAGATAGCTAAGATGCCCAGTACTAACCTGTTGTTTTTTCCTGAAACAAGGTCTTGCTCTGTTGCCCAGGCTGGAGTGTAGTGGTGCTATCTTGGCTCACTACAGCCTTGACCTCCTGGGCTCAGGTGATCCTCCCACCTAAGCCTCCCAAGTAGCTGGGACCACAGGTGCAGGCTACCATGCCTGGCTAACTTGTATTTTTGTAGAGACAAGGTCTCACCATGTTGGCCAGGCTGGTCTCAAACTCCTGGGCTCAAGTGATCCACCCGCCTCAGCCTCCCAAAGTGCTAGGATTACAGGCGTGAGCCATTGCACCCAGCCTCTTTCTCTTCTTTTTAATTTGAGGTGAAATTCATCTAACATAAAATTAACTTTTTTTTTTTTTTGAGACGGAGTCTCACTCTATCACCAGGCTGGAGTGTAGTGGCGCGATCTCAGCTCACTGCAATGTCTGCCTCCTGGGTTCAAGCAATTCTCCTGCCTCAGCCTCCTGAGTAGCTGGGATTACAGGCACGCGCCAAGATGCCCGGTTAATTTTTTTGTATTTTTAGTAGAGATAGGGTTTCACCATGTTGGCCAGGCTGGTCTTGAACTCCTGACCTCAGGTGATCCACCCACCTCGGCCTTCCGAAGTGCTGGGATTACAGGGGTAAGCCACCGTGCCCGACCTTAAGAATACAGTTAAGAATACTGTTTGGTATACTAAGCAGGCATATTTTACATAGTTACAAGTAGAAAATGAGTTACAAAGCTTTGGGTTCAAAGTATAGAACATCAACACTTTGTCTTAATATCCTCAATAAAAATTTCACACAAATACCAACACTCGCTCTTTTTTTTTTTGAGACAGGGTTTCACTCTGTGGCCTGGTGTGCAGTATGCTGGTGTGCAGTGGCTCAATCACCGCTCACTGCCGCCTTGATCTCCTCAGGCTCGGGTGATCATCCCACCTCACCCTCCCAAGTACCTAGGACTACAGGTGTGCGTTAGCACGCCCAACTAATTTTTGTTTTTGTTTTGATAGAGACAGGGGTTGGCCGTGTTGCCCAGTGTAATCCCAGCACTTCAGGAGGCTGAGGCAGGAGGACTGCTTGAGGCCAGGAGTTTGAGACTAGCCTGGGCAACAAAGCAAGACCCTGTCAAAAAACAAAAACAAAAAACAGAAGAAGGATTAATAGTTACATTAAGAAGAATGAGGCGGCTAAGGAAAAGAAACCCCCACCAAGATATTATAAGTGGTAAAAGGTACCAAAAAGTGTGACTAGTATGCTAACATTTGTAAGGGAGGGGGGAATTTACTCATAAATGCTTGATAGCTCTCTGGAAGAATTCACAAGAAACCAGTTATGGTGGTTGCCTCCAGGGAAGAAAAAAAAAAATCCCCTAATGACTGGGGCAGTCACACACCAGGTGTGGCCTATTCAAAAATACATAAACAAGTAAGAAATAAATCATGCTTTTAAAATCTGGCTTTTCCCCCAATTCCCCTTCTTTAACAGAGTGTATTCAATCTTGGCTGAACCCTCAGAGCTCACTGGCGTGTGTAACTGACTTTAGAGAGAGCCAGGAGGTCGGGATTGCACACAATAGGGTTAGCTGAAGGTGAAGCACCTAGGGCTAGAGACTTCCCCGGCCAAGGGCAAGGCAGAGCTGGGATAAAGGAGTTCAAAGCCCTGAGGTGGAAGAAGGCTGGTGCATATAAAGAAGGAGAAGGCAGCCTGGCCGGAGGAGACTGTGTTGCAAGAGGGACCAGCAACATAAAAGGATTGTCTAAATTTAGCTTTACTTGGAGTTGGGAAGTCCTTGTTGGGTTTCTGCTCAGATCTGAGCCCCACTCACTCCATGTTAGGTGATCTGGGTTCCTAAGTGTTCTCCCAACAGTACCCTCTCGGTGATGCCTACAGGATCCCATGGAAACGTCATCCTTTTATCGTGAGCATTTGGCATCTTACTCAGTTTCCCTGGACTCAATCTTCCATCCACGTGAGTGTATCCTACATTTCCCTCTAGTCTTTTTTCCTTTCCTTTCTTTACTTTTGCCCCATGTCCCTAGGACTGGCCCACAATTCAGACTGGTTACCAAGTACCTAGTGTATAAAATAGTACCCTTTACTCTCCCTGTGAGCTGCCTTGCCTGATCTCGGCCACATCTGAAGAATCAACATACATATAACCTTTAGGTTGGCTTACATTTGCCGTCATTTAACCCCCAGGTCCCTCACCCCAAGCTTGTGAGCTGGGTGGGGTCCATACTACAAGCAAATATTATCTAAATAAACAGAACTTGGCCAGGCTCAGTGGCTCATGCCTGTAAGTAATCCCAACACTTTGGGAGGCTGAGGCAGGAGGATCACTTGAGGCCAGGAGTTCAAGGCTAGCCTGGGCAACATAGTGAGATCCTATCTCTACCCCCCCCAAAAAAACAGGAAATAATAATAAATAAGAAATTTACAAAATTAAAAAATTAGCTGGGCGTGGTAGTGTGCACCTGAGTCTTAGCTACTGGGGAGGCTGAAGTGGGAGGATGGCTTGAGGCCAGGAGGTTGAGGCTGCAGTGAGCTCTGACAGTGCCTGGGTGACAGAGCAAGACCCTGCCTGTCTCAGACTATTGCACATTGGTGACACGTAATTGAACACTGCTAATGGAGAGTATCTGTTGCCCACTCATGCAACTAACATTTTACATTTTCAATTTTTCTCTAACAATCCAATGCCAATTTCTAGATCTGCTTGAAGTTATCAGAAAGTCTTTATCCCACCCAACTACTTCCAACTTCTCTCTAGGGTTTTCTTCCATCTCTAATGACTGTTCATTCCGCTTTCTCAATTACTGGCATTTCATAATCCAAGGAAAGTGAGAAAGTGAAGGAAGAAGCCATCGTATCATCCTGTTTTTCATTTCCATCAGGTGGTTGAATCTTTTTGGCAAATAAAGCACTTGACTGCCTAAAATTTTTCTGCAATGACATTGTTTATCTACCTTACTCACTTGCTGATCTGCCAAACTGACAAAATAAACAATAAACCTTAGCCAAAAGGTTTCTGTTCAGCAAACTACTCCCTGATGCCAGGCGGCTCACGCTTGTAATCCCAGCACTTTGGGAGGCCGAGGTGGGTGAATCACCTGAGGTCAGGAGTTTGAGACCAGCCTGGCCAACATAGTGAAACCCTGTCTCTACTAAAAATACAAAAATTAGCCGGGCGTGGTGGTGCACACCTGTAATCCCAGCTACTCAGGAGACTGAGGCAGGAGAATTGCTTGAACCCAGAAGGTGGAGGTTGCAGTGAGTGGAGATCGCGCCACTGCACTCCAGCCTGGGTGACAGAACGAGACTCTATCTCAAAAAAAAAAATAGTCCCTGACATTTTTGCCTATGGAGTCACACCCAAGACATTCAATCTATGTACCGAGTGCCTCACAACTTAAGGAATGTGCCTGATGATTCTAGGTGTGTGTCACTTTTTGAATTGTTGAACCCTTTACAAACCTCCTGTTAACATTAGCATTTATTTGAGCTACAGTGTGGGACTCAACATAAAATTTCTAAGTAAAGTTTCTAACTTTAGAAATCGTCTATTGTAATTGGCATTGCCATGTTATCTGCTCATTATGAATCAGTACTCCTAGGATCACTATTTCAGTGTCAGTTGATCCTGGAACTCAGATTACCTTGAAACACTTGAGTTGAAGGGACTCGAGGTCACACAGTCTAGTTTATACCAAATTCATTGATCACGTCCACAATACCCCTAATAAAAAAGTGATCATTCAGTCTCGACATGGAATTCAAGATATCAATGGAAGGCCGGGCGCAGTGGCTCACGCCTATAATCCCAGCACTTTGGGAGGCCTAGGCGGGTGGATCACCTGAGGTCAGGAGTTCCAGACCAGCCTGGCCAACACGGTGAAACCCTGTCTCTACTAAAAATACAAAAATTAGCCGGGCGTGGTGGCACATGCCTGTAATCCCAGCTACTTGGGAGGCTGAGGCAGAAGAACTGCTTGAACCCAGGAGGTGGAGGTTGCAGTGAGCCAAGACCGTGCCACTGCACTCCAGCCTGGGTGACAGAGACAGACTCTATCTCAAAAAAAGAAAAAAAAGATATCAATGAAATATCATGACAACCAGCAACATGTGGAGGTGGATAATGATAGCCAACACTAGTAGAGTTTATTTCGCATATAATCTTATGGAGTAGGCACTATCATTATCTCCATTTTACAGATGAAGGAACTGAGGCTAAATGACTTGTCCAAAATCAATCAGTTAGTTAATGTCAGGATATGAACCAAGCAGTCTAGCTCCAGATCCACACTCTTGAACAATATGACACACTGACTAAATTGTAGAAATCTTTTAAGAATGAGAAAATTGGCCAGGCACGGTGGCTCATACCTGTAATCCCAGAACTTTGGGAGGCTGAGGTGGGTGATCATCTGAGGTCAGGAGTACGAGACCAGCCTGGCCAATGTGGCAAAACCCCGTTTCTACTAAAAATACCAAAATTAGCCAGGCAGGGTGGCATGCGCCTATAGTCCCAGCTACCTGGGAGGCTGAGGCAGGAGAATCGCTTGAACCTGGGAGGCGGAGGTTGCAGTGAGCAGAGATCATACTACTGCACTCCAGCGTGGGCAACACAGCGAGACTCTATCTCAAAAAAACAAACAAAAAAAAGATCTTAAAATAAATATTCTTTCAAGATTTGAGGAGTGAACACAATGAATAAGCAGCAGAGACAGAACTAGATCTGAGATGCCTAACTTTAGTCTGGCTGATTTACTGCCTCCAGAACAGTAATTCTATTTCACAACTAAAGCTATAGAAAGTTGTGGGTCAGGTGCAGTGGCTCACGCTTCTAATCTTAGCACTTTGGGAGGCCAAGGCGGGTGGATCACTTGAGCCCAGGAGTTTGAGACCAACCTGGGTAACATGGCAAAACCCTGTCTCTACCAAAAAACAAAAAACAAAACACAAAAATTAGATGGGCATGGTGCTCACACCTGTTAGTCCTAGCTACTTGTGAGGCTGAGGTGGAAAGATAGCTTGAGCCCAGGAGGTGGAGGTTAGAGTGAGCCAAGACTGCACCACTGCACTCCAGCCTGGGCAACAGAGCCAGACCCTGTCTCAAAAAAAAAAAAAAAAAAGTTTTGTCTTTTGTTTTATATTCCTCAAAACAACACTTCTGAAGTAGATTGGCATGGCTCATATTTCAAGGAAGAGGAAATGAAATTTGGGGGGGAAATGGCAAAACCATATCTTACTAAAGGAAATTGCAATGAAATGTCCCCTTTTGTGACTCAGTGGTTATGTGGTTATGACAATAATGTAAAAACCCTGAGATTTTATGAAAAATGACAGAATCACCATATTCAAAGTGTATGATCATGTGACAAGAACCTTAGAAAAAACTGTTTATGGAGTTTGCATTATGAAGACATTAAGCCATCATGAAGTCTTAATGTCTTCACATCAGAGCTTTTTGGTTTGCTATTTTCTCATTTTCAGATAAAAAAGTATAAAACTCTTTGAATGTTCCTCAACTTTTAAATTTCATATTCTAAGCATTTTTTCAAAGAGACAATGATTTCATTTTATCTTTAAACTAGAATAAAAGGATACATGGTAGCTTTGTCCTTGAATAAATGAAGAAGGGGTAGTGTTAATACTATCTATTACAACTTCTAAGGATATTGTTCCAGTTACTATTGTTGTATAATAAATCACTCCCAAAACTTGATGGGAAACAACCATTTTATCATGGGTCAGGAATTTGGACAGGGACAACTTTTCTCTGCTCCATCATTGCTGAGGCCTCAGCTGGGAAGGCTTACAGGCTGGGGGGACCCAACTGCTGGGCGTTAGAATCATCTGGAAGCCCTTCACTCATATGGCTGGCAGCTAAGTATGACTGTTGGTTGAGACCTCGACTGAGCTGTCAACAGGAACCTCTATGGTTGGCTTCTCCGTATGTCTCTCTATGTGTGCTGTTTGGGCTTCCTAACAATATGGTGACTGGGTTTTAAAAGTAAGTATCCTAAAAGCGCAAGAAAAAAACGCACGGCTATTTGTGATTCTGCTTCAGAAATCATTAAAAAAAAAAATAGGGTCTCATTGTGTTGCTCAGGGTAGTCTCAAACTCGTGTGTTCAAACAATCATCCCCCTCACCTCTACCCCCACCTGGGCCTCCCGGAAAAACCAGGATTCCAGGTATGGGCCACCATGCCTGGGGGCATCACTTTAACCATACTCTATTGGTCAAGGCTGTCACACAGATCTGCCTAGATTCAAATGAAAGTGGTATAAGTCCCTTCTCACCCACTCAGTGGGAGGAGTCTTGAGATCACATTGTAAGATGAGCAATGTGGGATGGGCAATATTGTTGTGGACATCTTTCCAAAATATAATCTGTCCCACATGTGAAGTATCTCTAAGAAAGATAAAGAGGAAAGTTAAACGATATCAGGTACAACAGAAATCTCAGTCAACAAGGTGTGAACTGAGTAATTCTAAACTTTCTCTTTTTATCTCCATGTCAAAATAAGCACATGGGCAGCTTTCAAAGGAAAAGCCTACACTATTAGTCTGTCTTCAAAAGCCTATTAGAATGATGTGTGATATTAACTTCTGATTACTACCAAAAATTGAATGCCCATCAGTGGACATTTTTTTTTTTCCACTTATGACTTGGTACATTAGTTCTACTTCTAAGCCTATCAGAACCTCCAGCTCCACTTATTATGTTGTTATAACAATTTGCAAACCAATAAACTCTTAACAGTCTATACCCCTCCCAGTCTAAAACACGGTTCACACAATGGTTCTCAGTGAGGTAAACACTTTGGCAAACAGAGTGCAGAGTTACTGTCCAAAAGGGCAACACGTTATGACAGCTATGCTAGGTAACAGAGTTCCAAAGTTAAATAAAGTGCTTGGAGGAATGCAACTCTGCCAAGAGCTTAGCATTTTACCAACTTAATTCTAGCTTTCTGGTTATCCAAATTTATATCTCCAGGCTGGATCTCTTCCCTGGGCTCCAGATGCATATACTAGGCTATCGACGCAATATTAGATAATTAGTTATATAACAGGCATCTTGTAAAATGTCCAGCACTACACTTCTTCTCCCCATCAAGCTCAATCCTACTGTTCTCCGTCTCATTCCCTTGTTTTTGTCCATAGCATTTATCATTATCTGACACACTGTAAATACAGATTACATATAAGCAAAACATTTTTTACTATTTGGTTAACTGCCATTTTCCCTTTGCCTAGAACAATGCTTGGCACATAAGTAGTTTAAAATATTGTTCTTTCTCTTTTCTTTTTTTTTTCTGAAACAGGGTCTTGCTCTGTCGCCCAGCCTGGAGTGCAGTGGTGCAGTCACTACTCACTGTAGCCTCAACTTCCTGAGCTCAAGCGATCCTCCCAACTCAGCCACCTCTGGCTAATTTTTTGTAGAGATGGAGTTTCACCATGTTGCTCAGGCTGGTGTCAAACTCCTGGGCTCAACCGATCCGCCCATCTTGGCCTCCCAAAGTGCTAAAATTAGAGGCATGAGCCAGCATGCTCAGCCCTATAATCTTTTTCAAATGAATTAATGAATGATGACTTATCTGGGTACCTGAATAAGTCATTACTAGAAAACCATAGAGAACAAAGAGTACCTTAAAATGATGATAATGTTTGTCAGTAGCTGACTGGGTAAGGAAGTAGAATATTGCTAGATTTTAGATTTGCTATAAAGAATAAAAATGAGCAAAAACTGAGAATGCATGAGAAGGAATCAAAATGTTAAACAGTGCTACCTAAGCCACATCAAAACTACCTAGAAGAGCTTTTAAAATGACAGATTCTTATAAACGGCCAAGTGCAGCGGCTCACACCTGTAATCCCAGCACTTTCGGAGGCCAAGGCAGGGGGATCGCTTGGACTCAGGAGTTCAAGACCAGCCTGGGTGACATAGCGAGACAACATCTCTACAAAAAATGCAAAAATCAGCCTGGTGTGGTGTTGCCGGCCTGTAGTCCCAGCTACTTGGGAAGTTGAGGTAGGAGGATTGCTTGAGCCCGGGAGGTCAAGGTTGCAGTGAGCCTTGATTGAGCCACTGTACTCCAGCCTGGGTGATGGAGTACAAACAAACAAAAATTACAGATTCTTACACATAAAAAAACTACAGATTTCTCAGACTTGCCAATTTGGGGAATGCTAGAAAGTGATGAGATAATAAATATCCAGCATTCAATCTGGGTACCTGAATATAATCGCAGGCATGAAAGATTGAATAGAGATTGGAATTAAAAAGACCTAAACAGGGCCAGGCACACTGGCTCATGCCTGTAATCCCAGCACTTTGGGAGGCCAAGGTGGGTGGATCACTTGAGGTCAGGGGTTCAAGACCAGCCTGGCTAACATGGTGAAACCCCACCTCTACTAAAAATACAAAAATTAGCTGGGCGTGGTGGGGCACACCTGTAATCCCAGCTACTCAGGAGGCTGAGGCAGGAGAATCTCTTGAAACTGGGAGCCGGAGGTTGCAGTGAGCCGAGATTGCACCATTGCACTCCAGCCTGGGTGACAGAGCAAGACTCCGTCTCCAAAAAAAAAAAAAAAAATCTAAACATAACTAACTGTGCTATAGTCTGCCTAAAGAAAGAATGGGTTAACAGGAAAGGAATCACCTACACAGCATCTATAAAACAGACTCTATTCTAACTGTAACGTAGACTGTCCTCCAGAGGAGGCAGAAGCCTAGGGCTCCCATTGTCATCAGCCATTACACTCATCCAATCCTATTTTCATTTTATGCTCTCCAAGAAATGCTATAAAGAATTTAGCTTTCCACCCAGATTAGCCTACAGGGCGAGAACGTACGGATCAGCCAACATGAATATTCAGTCTGCTTATGAATATACTTCTCACTATAAGTTTAAAATTCATTCTGGTTTATTCAACAGGCTTGGGAATTAGGTTAGTGTGAGTCACCTCCAGGCATATTGAAAATAAGAAATTTGCTAGCTTAAAAGAGCTGGGGAACAAACCCTGATAACCCTAACAAGGTTGTATCATCTGAGCAGAGACAGAGAGGACAAGAATAAAGTGCTGGTAGGTTTAGGTTTTGCACCCAGCTGGTGGAAAAAAGGACCTGTGGCCTATATTTGATTTACCCCACAAGCCAGAGCAGGGAACATGCCTCCCCCTTGAACATCTTGAAGTGGGAGGAGGCAGAGGGTGGCTCCTAGGCCTTCTTTGTTCACTACTAGGCCTTCCCTTGAATGTCCAAGGCTCCCCAGCAATCCATTTTAGCCTTATTCCACCCACATATAAACAGGTTGAGAAATGCAATAGATAGAAAGGCTCTCTACTGAAACCCACTCCAGTAATCCAGTCAGCCAATCGGCCCAGCGTGGCCTGAAGCTACCGAGCTCCTCTCCATCCTTCTCCACACTGAAAACTGGCACCATAGGTACCTGCTTTCAGCAGTTCAAGGGTATTTCCCATGCTCTCAAGGTGAGGTCATAGTCCTCACATGGTTTTTAGCTATAGTCTGCCTCTTCAGGCTCCTATTACAACTCCATCACCTGCTCATCATTTGAGAGCTCTGTGCCCTCCATGACCCTTTGGACATACCATTTCCTCCTTCTTTTCCCGGAAGGCTCTGTCCAGATCCCCTCCACCCTTCTGAACACCCCACTTCACCTGTAAAACTTACTAGTCCTTCAGGACTCCACTTGGATGCCATTTCCCCACCTGAGTTACACTCCTGTACACATTTCCATGGAGTTACCCTACCTTAGTCCTTATTACACAATAATTTCTTTCTTTCTTTCTTTCTTTTTTTTGACAGGGAGTCTCGCTCTGTTGCCCAGGCTGGAGTGCAGTGGCACAATCTCAGTTCACTGCAACATCCACCTCCTAGATTCAAGCGATTCTCCTGCCTCAGCCTCCCGAGTAGCTGGGATTACAGGCGAGCGCCATCATGCCTGGCTAAGTTTTTTGTATTTTTAATAGAGATGGGATTTCACCATGTTGGTCAGGCTGGTCTCAAACTCCTGACCTCATGATCTGCCCGACTCGGCCTTCCAAAGTGCTGGTATTACAGGAGTGAGCCACTGCGCCTGGCCTGATGAAATTTTTACAATTTTGTTTGGTTTCCTTTTATGTACAAAGTTATAAACACTGAGCACTACCACCACTACTCCTCTTGCCAAAAATGGCCGTAACAAGAACTAAACCTCTCCTAGAATGACAGGGAGACTTCACACGTACACCTTACTTTTGAAACTGAACAATGTAAATAGCCTATTTTTAAGGATAAGTTAAAATAAACTTTTTTTTTTTTTTTCCCAGACAAGGTCTTGCTCTGTCACCCAGGCTGGAGTGCAATGGCACAAATACAGCTCACTGCAGCCAGCCTCCAACTCCTGGTCTGAAGTGATCCTCCCATCTCAGCTTCCCAAGTAGCTGGGACTACAGGCATGCACCACTATGCCCAGGTAATTTTTTAATTTTTAGTAGAGATGGGATCTCAGTATGTTACCCAGGCTGGTCTTGAACGCCTGAGTTCAAGCTATCCTCTCGCCTTGGCCTCCCCAAATGCTGGGATTACAGGTATGAGCCACCGTGCCTGGCCAATAAGTAAAATGTAAATTTTAAAAGTCAGTCATGGTGAAGAATATATTTTACATACACATATACACTTATGAAATCTAAATGTCCTTGCCCAAACATTTCCAGAAATTTCCATATCTGTTCCAATGCAAATACTTCTAAACCTCTTCATTATCTCTGCCAAGAAGAAATCAATCCCAAACTAAGCTGATAGGCAGAATAATTCATTAGATGTTTCAAGCAGCAAATATCCAGCTTTTTAGGTGAGGAAATAATGTGACTTCAGTGGAACTTTTTTTTTTTTAAAGTGGTAATAATAGCCAAAGAAAATTAATTCCCCCTAGAAAAAACTTAAATCTTAAGAAGGCCCAAGTATACTGCTAAAAATTAGTATGATTAGTGTTTTGGAGTGGATTTTATTTTTCTTCAAGGAGGAAAAGATAAACATGCTATTAATATGACCTCCTGAAATCCAGATTTCCTGTCCAAAGCAACGATTTCCAGGCATTTTCCAAATATTAGGTTTATTGTATTGTTAACATGTACACCAAATTTTAAATCAGAAGGCTAGGACAGAAAATAGCTCATTTTTCATGAATCCTGCTTACCGCAGGAGAGTTCTACAGTTTGTTCCCAGGGACCAGAGTTTTTTTCATTAACCTTCCCCATGATTATAATAATTTGTGTTTACCTATCACCTTTCATCCAACAACCTCAAAGTACTTTACGAACAATCTCTCACCTTTATGCCTTCTTGTCAAGAGAAAGGCAAGCATCATACCATACTTTATAGATTGGGAAAGCGAGGAACAGAGATGCAAGGACTTGCCCGATACTAATAAATATTAGATTAGGTAAGCAAGGCAACCCAGGCTGAGCCCTCCAGCACTGCCTCACTCAACTGGGAGCACCCACACCGTTTGTCCCCAGAGCCTGTCTGGTCTTTAAATGGATTTCAGGAACCCGTTCTCAATTTTGGCTGTGCAAATAGAAGTACAAGGGGAGGAGATTCCTTTACAGGTCCCAAGTTTTCTTCTGCTATAGATAATAGAGAAAGTGTTTCGTTTCTTGTTCCTGAAGACTCAAAACTTTAAAACCCTGAATGTCGGCCAGGCATGGTGGCTCACGCCTGTAATCCCAGCACTTTGGGAGGCCGAGGCCGGTGATCACTTGAGGTCAAAAGTTCAAGTCCAGCCTGGGCAACACAGGAAGACCCCCCCACCTCTACAAAAAAAACTTTTTTAAAAAAGTTAGCCAGGCCGGGCTGGGCACGGTGGCTCACGCCTGTAATCACAGAATTTTGGGAGGCCGAGGCGGGCGGATCACGAGGTCAGGAGAGTGAGACCAGCCTGGCTAACACAGTGACTAACATGGTAACCCCGCCTCTACTAAAAATACAAAAAAAAAAAAAAAAAAAATTAGCCAGTCATGGTGGCGGGTGCCTGTAGTCCCAGCTACTCGGGAGGCTGAGGCAGGAGAATGGCATGAACCTGGGAGGCAGAGCTTGCAGTGAGCAGAGATTGCGCCACCGCACTCCAGCCTGGGTGACAGAACAAGACTCTGTCTCAAAAAAAAAAAAAAAAGTTAGACAGGCCAGCTGCGGTGGCTCACACCTGTAATCCCAGCACTTTGGGAGGCCAAGGCAGGTAGATCACGAGGTCAGGAGATCGAGACCATCCTGGCTAACACTGTGAAACCCCGTCTCTACTAAAAATACAAAAAATTAGCCGGGCAAACGCCTGTACTCCCAGCTACTCGGGAGGTTGAAGCAGGAGGATCGCTTGAACTCGGGAGGCGGAGATTGCAGTGAGCTGAGATCACACCACTGCACTCCAGCCTGGGCGACAGAGCAAGACTCCATCTCAAAAAAAAAAAAAAAAACAAGTTGGTCAGGCGTGGTAGTGTACACCTGTGGTCCCAGCTAATCAGGAGGCTGAGGCGAAAGGCTCATTTGGGCCCAGGAGATTGAGGCTGCAGCGAGCCATGTTTGTGCCACTGCACTCCAGCCTGGTCAACAGAGTGAGACTCTGTATTCCTCCTTGTTCTTTCTCAATTTCCTTAAAAATAGTTTTCGCCAAGACATACTTCTGTTGGGCAAATTCAGAAACTTGATACTACTCCTACTAATTAATATCCACACAAATTTATTTAAATTAGAAAAGAGAAACAATAACTGGCTTTGAAAGGATTAGGAGATTACTAGACATCTATGAAGCATCTGCTTGAGTACGAGCTTCATTCATGACTGTTTCTGCTGGCTCTGCAGCATTTAGTGGTGTGAGTCATTGATTCTCAGTGATTCTCAATATGAATAACATCAACTGTTTTATAAAGCAAAATCTACTGCAGTGATGGGGAAATATGAGTGAGTGGTGGGGATAAAGGGAACTGTGCACTACTAACACAGAAGATCCAGTTTTTGGCCAAGTGGCTAATGCCTGTAATCCCAGCTCTTTGGGAGGCCAAGGTGGAAGGATCACTTGAGCCCAGGAGTTCAAGGCCAGCCTGGGCAGCATAGAAAGACCCCGTCTCTACAAAAAAAATACAAAAATTAGCAGAGTGTGGTGACATGTGCCTGTAATCCCAGCTACTTGGGAGGCTGAGGCAGGAGAATCACTTGAACCTAAGAGGCAGAGGTTGCAGTGAGTCGAGATCGTGCCACTGCACCCCAGCCTGGGCAACATGGAGAAGTGGCAAAAAATGACTCGCTGCCCAGCTGCAAGGACTGTGGCTAGCATGCAGCCTCCTTTAGGGTCCACCTCATCTTTTGAGTCGAGGGCATCTCTTCTTGTAGCACCCCCAGCCAATGACTAAGCAAGCTGGCAGCCAAGGCCATCCTCTTCTTGGGACGACCTCTGGCCAATGATAAAGGAAGGCAGAGATACAGAGGCCGAGCCATTTCTGCCAGAGGATTCTTGTGTCTGCTCTGGAGCTCCCCATTGGCCTGGTGGGGACTCTGTCAGGTCTGCATCGTGATCTGATGGCTTCCACTCTTTCCCCTTCACAGGTGTTACTCCCCAGTAAAACTGTACTAATGACTCCATCTAAGCCTCTTCTTCCAGGATATTGGCACAAATGGTAGTTACCTTGCTGGATTCTTGTAACAAATAAACAAGATGATGGATGTAAACACTTTGTCCAGCACCTGGGGCATAGTAGGCACTCAATAAATGGCAGTAATGATAACAATCATTCGAGACTTTAAGATAATAGAGAGGTCAGGCACGGTGGCTCATGCCTGTAATCCCAGCACTTTGGGAGGCCAAGGCGGGTGGATCACCTGAGGTCAGGAGTTTGAGACCAGCCTGGCCAACATGGTGAAATCCCATTTCTACTAAAAACACAAAATTAGCCAGGCGTGGTGGCACACGCCTGTAATCCCAGCTACTCGGGAGGCTGAGGCAGGAGAATCGCTTGAACCCGGGAGGTGGAGGTTGCAGTGAGCTGAGATCGTGCCATTGCACTCCAGCCTGGGCGACAAGAGCGAAACTCCATCTCAAAAAACAAACAAACAAAAACTTACATACCCCCAAATTACTCTCTAATATAATACACATATTTGGCCTCATCATTAAAAAAAAAAGTTTTTTTAACTAAACACATTACTAGGCTCAAGCTAGTATGAGTGTACAAGTAAAACAGGAAACAAATATTCCTTTATAAACACTAATTCCAGAAGACTTCACACCCACATTCTAAAATCTAATTAGATTAATTTCCCAGGGCATTCATGTATTCTTAGTAGCTTTCAATTTTTAAGTGTCAAAATAAAGCCTTATTTTTAAATGTGGGTGGTGTTGATGAAACAAGTATGAGTAATACTTGCAGGAAACATAATATTAGCTTTAGCTGCTTAGTGGGTGATACTTGAATAGTCCTTCAAAGAAGCACTTTCCATGTCTCACCAATGTAAAGCATGAGTTGTAATGTGTTCACATAGTAAGTATAGACACTTATAAAACTCTTTTATGTGCTTAAAGTACAGTTTTGCCTACCAAAATGGCAATTTACACAAATTTTCAGGATTCTGTCTAATGTACAAAGTGAGGGCAACAAAACTGATATCTAAATATCAACTGCAAAATCTCCAGGCCTCCCACGGTTTGTTTTCTTTTAATATCCACTAAACAGAAAAGACATGTGCAAAATTTGTTCTCATGGAGAAGTAAGGATGGCAAAACTAAGTTGATTTTGTTTCTCTTCTGAAGCAGTTCTGCCCTACCCACCATGGTTCAGGGAGTATTATCTCCCCTGTTGGTCTTGCCATGTTCATCCCAAACAGAAATCTCTGAAGGGTTAAGAAAAAGGAGCAGTAGGCCGGGCGCAGTGGCTCACGCCTGTAATCCCAACACTTTGGGAGGCCGAGGCAGGCGGATCACAAGGTCAGGAGATCGAGACCATCCTGGCTAACAAGGTGAAACCCCATCTCTACTAAAAATACAAAAAATTAGCCGGGCGCGGTGGCAGGCGCCTGTAGTCCCAGCTACTCGGGAGGCTGAGGCGGGAGAATGGTGTGAACCTGGGAGGCCGAGCTTGCAGTGAGCCGAAATCACGCCACTGCACTCCAGCCTGGGCAACCCAGCGAGACTCCATCTCAAAAAAAAAAAAAGAAAAAGGAGCAGTAGAGGCCAGGCATGGTGGCTCACACCTGTAATCCCAGCACTTTGGAAGGCAGAGGCAGGCAGATCACTTGAGGTCAGGAGTTTGAGACCAGCCTGGTCAACGTGGTGAAACCCCATCTCTAGTATGAAAAATACAAAAATTGGCAGGGCATGGTGGTGGGGGCCTGCAGCTACTCAGGAGGCTGAGGCATGAGAATCACTTGAACCTGGGAGGCAGAAGTTGCAGTGAGCTGAGATCGCGCCACTGCACGCCAGCCTGGGTGACTGAGCAAAACTCCATCTCGAAAAAGAAAAAAGAAAAAAGAGCAGTAGAAGAGCTAGGGACGATTGTTAATAGGGTTCTCCAATTTAGCATTCAAGGGCAGTAAGAAGAGGTAATAATTATCCAATACCTGGAACTGTTAATAATTTGTTACTTTAAGATTAAAAAACTAGTTTAAAATTTCGACACACTAGGGAAAAAAATTCAACACACTATAAAGTGTTCTTATATAAAGATATGTACACATATCATGCCTAAGTAGAATGAACAACAGAGAAGGGATAATTTTTCAAACCCTACTTTAAAGGCAAAAAAGGTACTTAGACTGTGTGTATTTGGGGGCAGAAAGGATATGGAAAATCTCTGTACCTTCTCAATTTTGCTATGAACCGAAACTGCTCTAAAAAATAGTCTATTTTCCAAAAAGATACCTAAAATTATATATATATTTTACAACTGCCGAAGTGCAGAAAGGTGTTATAATTATCTTCCCATTATTTTTAAAAAGCAAATGTTAAAACAAAAGGAAAAAAAGGGATTTATTCATTTATCCAATAAATATTTATTGAACTCCTACACAGAGTCAGGCATTGTTCCCAGTACAGTTGGTAGACAATCCTCAAACGGCTGCCTCTTGAAAGTGCACACCACGATCAGGGTCAACATATTCAACAGATGAATGTATATTATATGCCTGGCATGGTTCTAAAAATCACAGGTAAAAAAAATTACATACAGTCGGCCGGGCGCGGTGGCTCACGCCTGTAATCCCAGCACTTTGGGAGGCCGACGTGGGCAGATCACGAGGTCAGGAAATCGAGACCATCCTGGCTAACACAGTGAAACCCTGTCTCTACTAAAAATACAAAAAAATTAGCCGGGCGTGGTGGCGGGCGCCTGTAGTCCCAGCTACTCCGGAGGCTGAGGCTGGAGAATGGCGTCAACCCGGGAGGCGGAGCTTGCAGTGAGCAGAGATCGTGCGACCCACTGCACTCCAGCCTGGGCGACAGAGTGAGACTCCGTCTCAAAAAAAAAAAAAAAAGACATACAATCAACACAGGTGGCTCTTTTTTTTTTTTTTTTTTGAGACAGAGTCGCTCTGTCGCCCAGGGCGGAGTGCAATGGCGCCATCTCGGCTCACTGCAACCTCCGCCTCCCGGGTTCAAGCGATTCTCCGCCTCAGCCTCCCGAGTAGCTGGGATTACCTGCGTGGACCACCACGCCCGGCTAATTTTTGTATTTTTAGTAGAGATGGGGTTTCACCATCTTGGTCCGGCTGGTCTCAAACTCCTGATGTCGTGATCTGCCCGCCTTGGCCTCCCAAAGTTCTGGGATTACAGGCGTCAGCCACCCACCGCGCCCAGCCCACATGTGGCTTCTTACTATGCTAACCAATATGCATTATTCAGGTTTCTCTGTTCTCTTTCTTGTACATACTTCATTTCTCATTAGCACCAGAGCAAATAAATAAAGACAGAGAGGATACTAGGAGGCAGCAAAACCAGGTTCTGTCACTGAATAATTTGTTAGCTGCAAAGAGAATAATTACGAGGAAGGCTTAATTTTCCAATGGATTTATTCATACTTCACACTAATAAGCAAGCTAATAAAAAGCTGAACTAACACTTCAGTAACCTGTCACTTCCCTCAGTAAGTAGGCAAGAAAAAAAAAACATTCAAATGTAAGCAACTCTTGCTTTGCCATTTCTCCAACAACCAGCCACAACTTCAACAAGTCAGTGAACATATTTACCTTACTAACACTGCCTTTTTAACAAGTCTTGAGTAAATGTATTTTGGTTAATTTTACATACAAACATTTTTCTTTTGACTCTGATGTTACAAGCTAGAGGTAAAACCTACTTTCTATGCTTCCACGTAGATATCTTTCAATGTATATAATGTAACTTACAACAGATTCAGACTGGTGTCTTGTGCACACCATAGTTGTTCAATAAAAATTTTGAAAATTGATTAAAAGGCAATGTTATGAAGAGCTATGTTATGAAGAGTTGTAAACTATTTTATTAGAACCCAATCACTTCAAAATGGCCATGTAAGCCTGGGCGAGGTAGCTCGCGCCTGTAATCCCAGCACTTTGGGAGGCCGAGGCGGGCAGATCACTTGAGGTCAGGAGTTCGAGACCAGCCTGGCCAACATGGTGAAACCCCATCTCTACTAAAAATAGAAAAAATTAGCCAGGTGTGATAATGCACACCTGTAGTCCCAGCTACTCAGGAGGCTAAGGCAAGAGAATCACTAGAACCTGGGAAGTGAAAGTTGCAGTGAGCCAAGATCGTGACAGTGCACTCCAGCCTGGGCAACAAGAGCGAAGCTTTGTCTCAAAAAAAAAAAAAAAAAGAAAGTTTATTTCTATGGAGGGGTTAAAGAAAAAGTAAAAAAGAAAGAGGAAGAGAAAGGTTTTACTCCCTCTACAAAGCAGGATGTGGCTTAGGAGCAGGTCTTCAGTGTAAAATGCACATTAGAAACCTGTAGTTTCTAAAAGCCTATATTGATTTTAACCTGAAGTCCTAAAATGTATGTAAAATCTGATAGTATTTGTGAAGGTCCCTGAAAGCTGCAACCACCTGTTACAAATAATTCATGGCCACCCAAACCATAGCTCTTTCTCCATCTAGAAGAATAATTCTGCCAAGTTTGGCTTGAGCGCCCCATCATTATCTCATTATACATGTGCATGATTCCAAAGCCACCATTCAAGGAAAACCCTTAATCACTGCCCTCCGCTGGGCTACCCAATGTACCGCACATCACCAAGTCTCTGACCACCGGAGAAACTGGGGTTTACTTTTCATAATCCTTCATTATTCTAGTTTTTTTAAATCTCAAAAGCTACTAAGCCTTATACATCTTTGCATTTCACCTGAAAACTTAGATTTTGCATTTCTCTTAGTAGCACAATCATGTGTTCATTCCTTTTCCTATATTAAACTGTAAGCTACTCAAAGGCAAATGCTGGTACTCATAAGAATGTCTTTTTTAACGTCAAGCGTGGTGGCTCACGCCTGCGATCCCAGCACTTTGGGAGGCTGAGGCAGGCGGATTACCTGACATCAGGAGTTTGAGACCAGCCTGGCCAACACGGCGAAACCCCGTCTCTACTAAATACACAAAAAAATTAGCTGGGCATGGTGGCAGGCGCGTGTAGTCCCAGCTACTTGGGAGGCTGAGGCAGGAGAATCGTTTGAACCTGGGAGGCAGAGGCTGCAGTGAGCCGAGATCACGCCACTGCACGCCAGCCTGGGCAGGCAACAGAGCAAGACTCCGTCTCAGAAAAAAAAAAAAAAAGAATGTCTTTTTAAAAACTCCTCATTGCCATACACTTGCATATATAGAACTGTTAACTGATTCATTCTTCCTCATAAAATTGTCAAGTGAAAAAATTACAAATAGTTCACATCCTTCTCCTTTAAAACTATTTTCCAATTATTTTTATTGTAGAAAATGTCAAATATATATACTAGAAAGAATAGTGTAATGAATACTTCTGTACTCAGCATTTGGCTTCAATAATGGCCAACTCTGTCTCACTATCTCCCATCTACTAACAACCCAAATTATTGTGAAGCAAATATAAGATTTCATATCATTAATATTTGTATATATTCCAGTTCCCATTTATTATTTTTTTCTTTTTTCTTTTTTCTTTTCTTTTTTTTTTTTTTAAGAGGAGGCCTCTCCAGATATTCCCCAAGCTGTTCTTGAACTCCTGGGCCCAAAAGATCCTCCCGACTCAGCCTCCCAAGGTGCTGGCAATATAGGCCTGAGCCACTGCGCCCGGCCTCTCTCATTTATTTTCAATCACTCCTAACCCTGCCTTCCTTCCCACTTCTGCACCCTCAAAAAGAAATGTACAGAATAATGCAAGCAATTGCCGCTGTTTTAGCAGTTTTGCTCATAGCCACTGCCTCTCTTTGGAATTATATTCTATCCCATTCACCAACATCACTGAACTGTCCACCAAGGTATTGTGTTCGGTCCCTATTTCACTCAGAAATATATTGTACATTTTCCCTCCATAATTCCATCCACCTGTCTGAACAAGTGAAAAAAAAATTGTGCCACAATTTCTACTGTCTTGACAAAGATTACTTCTGATTTGCTTCCCCACCCCAGATAAGCTAAAGAGAGCTAAAGGGAGTGGAAGGATTAGAAGAGGAAAGAAACTTCAATACGGTACTCAAAGTCATAGATTTTGCCTAAACTGGTGTGTGCAAATATTTTAAACTATTTTATTTTCAAAATGGATACTTGTAAACATCAGCGGAAATTTTGTCATGAATCCCTTTTAGGCAGAAGATGTTTATAAAATGAATTATCTTAATTTAAGGGAGCTATTGCCCTCAGGATTTTGGTAATAACAACCGTAGCTGCTTCTGTACCTAACAAATGGTTATGTAAAAACAATTAAAGCAAAAGAAAACAAAACAAAAAACAAGGGAGGATGTGCTCTGTTTCTGTAATTGCTCTAACCTTGTTTTATTTTGATATGAGATTTCTTGGCCTCATCTCAGATAGCAACACCACCCTACACTTTCTCCTCCACACCCTTTGCAAATAGAATTCCAAAAGGTAGTTCAGGCACTTTAGAGTTCATCCTGGGAAATGGCTCATCTTGAGGGCATTTCAGTGCAGTAACTGAGATTTCGTCTGCTCCTTCCCGGGCCGCCGCACTGCCCATCCCCTGCCCAGTGATTTCCCCAGGAATCCGGGGACGGCAGGAAAAGAGCTCCATCCACAGCCAGCCCCTCGCCTTTCCGGGGACGGCCCTCAGCCCTGAGGGCTGCCCGTTTACCGTGCGCATCCCCCGGCCAAGCATCCCCGCAAGGCGCCCCTCACCGCCAACTTTCCCCACTGGAAACTATTCTCCGAGCAACCGTTAAAGATCATTGACCCCGCGAACGCCTCTTCCTGAGGTAGATCACGTAAGATCTCTCCCTAACTCCCACTTTCCCCTCCAGACCAGACGTCGCAGTGCCCACATCCCACTCAGGATTGAGCTACCCCGAAAGAACAAGTGCGCCCGGAGCCGCCACGGGCCAGAAGTCCTCGCCTCCAGAGCGAAGACCGCACTCTCGCCCCAGCACCCCAAAACCCGACCCCCGGCGCTCGCCCCGGCCGCCCCGCTCCCGGGGAAGTGCCCGATCCGCCAGCGCCTCCGCGGAGCCAGGACAGAACTCGCGGCCGGGGCGCCCCGAGACCCAACGCAGCGCCGCGCAGCCGGGGCCTCCACGCCCCCACGCCCGGTCCCGGCCCTCCCCGGGCATCCGCGGCTCGCCCCGGGGGATTAGGGCTCGGCCCGACACACACGGCCCGCTCCGGGGCGCCGGGGACAGGGAGGCCCGCCCGCGCCGTTCCTCAGGCCGCCGGGGACCCGCACCAACTCCCCTCGCCTCCGAAGGACAAGCCGGCCCGCACCTCCTGCTCGGGCCAAGGCGGACGAGGGGCATTGGAACCCCGCCTCCTCCCCAGGCCGCGAGGACCCCGACCAGCGCGCCCTCGCCTCCGCCCAGCAGCGCGGCCCGCGCCCCCTCCCCAGGCCGCGGGGAAACGCAGCGCGCGCCCCGCATCTGCCCGCGGGCCCAGCCCCTCACTCACCCAGAGCTCGGTGCCCCAGCTCATGGTGCAGGGGACGCGAAGGGGCGCTCCGCGCGGCGGGCGCGGCTCTCTGGTCCCCCTCCCCGGCGATCCCTTTGCCCCCCGAGATCCCCGCGACGGCGGAAAGCCCGGAGTCCGCGCGGCCTCCTCCGGCTCGCAGCTCCTCGCCCGGGGTCTCCTCGGCGGCTCCTCCTCCCCGCCGCTCCACAGCAAAATGGCCCGAGGAAGCAGCAGCCGCGGCCGCCGCAGCGCCCGCCCGCCCTACACCCGGAGAGCGGGGGAGGGGCGGGAGGGGAGGGGCGGGGCCGGTCTGACAGCTCGCGCACGCGCGCCCGCCCCACCCCGGCCCGGCCCCCTCCCCCGGGCTCCCCCGGCCGGGTCCGCGTCGCCCTGGGGTCCGGAAGGACGCGGAGGGAGGTGTGAGGGACGGCGGGACCCGGATCCCTAGGACTCCCCCTGCCAATCTGGTAATGACTTCTTAGTGACCACTGTCTGCTCGCAGTACTAGCGCTTGCCTTGGAACGCGGCAGGCCCTGGGATCACCGATGCTCCGCCGCGGTCTGAGATCGCTCCCCTGCGCGTATCGCCGCTCTGGATTTAAGGACAATACTTTCCCCTGGCAGCCATGCGCGCCGAGCAGAGTCAGCCCGGGAGGCTCTTTTCCCACCGCCCGAGGGAAGCCCGAGAGTCCCGCAGGCTGGCGCGGTGGGAGTGGGGCGGTGGTAACTGCGCGCTGTGCGAATAGAGACGTCGAGGCAAGCGCGACGGCCTCGAGTGGCTAGGGAAAGAATCCAGGGGCGTGCACCCAGTGATTTCCAATCTCTGAAACCAGTGATTTCCAACTTGTTCAGCCAAGAAACTCTCAGGCGTGAAATCACGTTACCGCCTAGTGGGTAAAAGCAAAGGCGTGGGGTACACAGATAACTTGTTTGGTTCAAATCCAGCCTCCCGCACGTGCTGGCCGGGCGGAGGCGGACAATTGCTCCACCTCTGGAAGCGCAGAGCGCAGTCCACCAAATGGAGGCAAATAACGTGTCCATCTCACTGCCCGGCGGTGAGGATCAGGGGTGGGCCAAGGCCGAAGGTTGGTAAACCCAGCGCTCATTTTATCAGCAGACGGACTCCCTCTCTATATATCCAAAGGTCTGCACAAATGTTCCTGACAAGCTATGGAAAATGTTTGGAATTCCAACTCCTGAATCACTAGCCCTTTCCCCACAGCTTATCTTTCTCCCTCGGTTAATGCTACTACTGGATCCTTTTCTGAGAAACCGTGCGACTCCCAACATGGGCCCCCAGTTAAAAAATATTTTACGATGATGCATTTCTCCAATCCCACCCCACCATTTTCAACCTGCTTATCATTCTCCTCCATTAAAAGGTGGAGCTAACCCGGGTCTGGTGGCTCACGCCTGTAATCCCAGCACATCAGGAGGCCCAGGTGGGAGGATGGCTGGAGGCCAGGAATTTGAGACCAGCCTGGGCAACATCGCAAGACCCTGTCTCTACAAAAAGAAAAAAAAAAAAGTTAGCTGGGCATGGTGGCATGCACCTGTGGTCCCAGCTACTTGGGAGACTGAGACAGGAGGATCGCTTGAGCCTAGAAGGTTGAAGTTGCAGTGAGCCATGATGGTGCCATTGCCCTCCAGCTTGAGCAACAGAGCAAGACCCTGTCTCAAAAATATTAACAATAATGAATTAAAGCCGGGCATGGTGGCTCACGCCTGTAATCCCAACACTTTGGGAGGCAGAAGTGAGTGGATCATCTGAGGTCAGGAGTTTGAGAGCAGCCTGGCCAACATGGAGAAACCCCGTCTCTACTAAAAACACAAAAGTTAGCTGGGCGTGGTGACAGGGCGCCTGTAATCCCAGCTACTCAGGAGGCTGAGGCAAGAGAATCGCTTGAACCCGGGAGGCAGAAGTTGGAGTGAGCCAAGATTGTGCCACTGCACTCCAGCCTGGGTGACAGAGCGAGACTGTCTCAAAAAATAAAATAAAATGAATAATAATAATAAATTAAGAGGTGGAGCTACTAAACAAAAAACAAAACAAAAAAAAACCTCTTGCAGATAAACCTCCAACTCTACTTCCTTTGTTGGGCAGTTACAATAAATTTAAGTTGTCAAAACTGTTTTGGTCTGCCTTTTTTCAGTTACAACCCTCCCTTCCTGCCCACCCCCATTCTTGTGTCTGTATAAATATTTTGCTCTCAGTTACCAGGTCTGAATTCTCTTTCCTCCAGAGACTGCTAGATATATAACAATGAGAACGGCCAGCTACCTATCTCCTAAGGCAGATTAATAGCCAGAGTGAGTTGGAGGGGGAAATTCAAACAATGCTGCACAGTTTAGTCTGCTAAAATTTGGAAACGGTACATGCAATGCAGGTTTATCTAACAAGACATTGCCTCAGTAATCACCTTCCTGCCAGGGCTTGACTTTTTAGTCAAATACAATGATCTAATCTTGACCAAGTTATTGGAGACTTCTCAAAAACAGTGACCACTTGTGAAAATACTCTAATCAAGAAGTAAAACAACCTGCTGCTTTAAAGAGGAGAAAGAGGAAGAGGAAGGGACAGCAGAAGAAAAAAAGAGACCACATGAAGATGAAACTTTTTAAGACGAGTAAGCAGGAGATTGTTAGTTATAGGAAGGAACCCATTAAAAGCTGCCGCAGAACTCTATGGATGTGAGTTAATTATACAACACTGCAAATATCTTTAACTTCATTAAGCTTTGGCAGTAACTGGAAAATGCTTGAAAGTGTCAGAATCTTCAAAAAATAAAGGAGAGAGACACCAATGATCATGAAGCCATGAGATAAAATGAAATAAGCCAGCAGAAAAAAGGCTAAAATATAGCACAGCATTTTTTAGGAAGAACTAAATCCATTTCAGTTTCCCTTCAGAGCAGGAGGAAGTGATTCTAAGACAAGGAAGTATCCCCATTAACAAACTACTGTGACCTGACCTACTTAGGAATCAGTTTTCACCAGGGGTACTCTAAACTCTATGTAAACGCTGATATTATCTAGGGGGTTAATCTGGGTTGCAGATACTGGTTTCACCTCTCAGTAAAATCTAGGGAACACTGATTTACAAAATTATGATCTTGGTGTGATATTACAAAATATATATTTTGTCGTCAACCTTGTTTCCTGAAGTATAGCTCCTAAAATCCTTAAAAACCCCAAAATGATGTCTTTTTATATACTAATGAGATGACTGATGGCTGACAGTCCCTAAGTATTAGTACCTCAAGATGGGACTGGTCACCATAAAGACCAAGACAAGATTAGAGGTGTGGGACTTTTATCTGCACCCACACTGTCACTCCAACCTCCGGGGACTGGGGAGAGGCGCTGAAAGTTAAGTTGTTCAGTAATGGTCAATAGCTTAATCAATCATGACTACATAAAATAAAGCCTCTATTAAAACTCCAAAAAACAAAGTTCTGAGAACTTCCAGATAGCTAAACACATAAAAGTCCCTAGAGAGTTGGCCGGACGTGGTGGCTCACGCCTGTAATCCCAGCACTTTGGGAGGCAGAGGCAGGCAGATCATCCGAGGTCAGGAGTTTGAGACCAGCCTAGCCAACATAGTGAAAGCCCTGTCTCTACTAAAAATACAAAAAAAAAAAAAAAAAAAAAAAACACCAAAAAAAAAATTAGCCCAGTGTGGTCATGGGTGCCTGTAATCCCAGCTGCTTGGGAGACTGAGGCAAGAGAATCGCTTGAACCCAGGAGGCGGAGGGTGCGGTGAGCTAAGATCGCGCCACTACACTCCAGCCACTGTACTCCGGCAACAGAGTGAGACTTTATCTCAAAAAAAAAAAAAAAAAAAAAGTTCCTAGAGGGTGGCATGCCCAGAGAGGGCACAGAAGTTCCACTCTCCTTCCCCCGTACTCCATATATCTCTTCATCTATATCCTTTATAATAAACATGTTTCCCTAGGTTCTGTGAGGCACTGTAACAAATTAAACCCAAAAAGGAGGACTTGAGATTTCTGATTTATAAACAGTTCGTCAAAAAAGACAGATCACATAACCTAAAACTTAAGATTGACACCTACTTGGGGTGGGGGGCAGTCTTGAGGACCAAGCCCTCAATTTGTGATATCTGACACTATCTCCAGGTATATGGTGGCTGAGGCAGGTGAAGTGCGAGGCTGCAGTGGGCCGTGATTGCACCATTAGACTATGGCCAGGGTGACAGCAAGACCCAGTCTCTAAAAAAAAATAAAAATTAAAAGAACACTAAATTAAAGGACACTCAGCTGATGTCCACTACAAAATTAATTACTTGGTTGGTGGTGGGAAGAAATCCCAACACGTTTGGTCACAAAAGTCCCCTATGTGAATTATTAAGTAAAAAACAAAACAGCTGGGCGCAGTGGTTCACACCTGTAATCCCAGCACTTTGGGAGGCCGAGGAGGATGGATCATGAGGTCAGGAGTTCAAGACCAGCCTGGCCGACATAGTGAAACTCTGTCTCTACTAAAAATACAAAAATTAGCTGGGCATGGTGGCGCACGCCTGTAGTCCCAGCTACTCGGGAGGCTATGGCAGGAGAATCGCGTGAACCTGGGAGGTGGAGGTTGTGGTGATCCAAGATCGCACCACTGCACTCTAGCCTGGGCAACAGAGCGAGACTCCATCTCGAAAACAAAAAGAAAAACAAAAAACCCTGTAAGTTTATGTTTTTTTTTTTCCTACTCTCAGTGGGGGACTCAAACATGTTCCACTGAATAATCTGATCACATGGACAGTATTAGCAACGAAATAAGGTATCCGGTCAAACAGAACAGAGACCCTGTATAGATGGCTGTGTGGTTAGAGGCAAACAATTGTATTAGGGCTTTTTGGCAATTCTAACCCTGCTTGCAACTAATAAACATCTAATTCGGGATCTTAGGTGGACAGATATTTATATAGCTGTAGATAGATATGAGATTTTAAAGCAGATAGGGTTTTGAAATTGTTAAATTGGGATCCCAGTGTTCCACTACTTATTAGTTGTGTGGCCTTCTGCAAGTTACTTACATTATCTGAGCTTCAGTTTACTCATTGAGAAGACAGGGATCTTGGCCAGACGCAGTGGCTCACGCCTGTAATCCCAACACTTTAGGAGGCCGAGGCAGGCGGATCGCTTGAGCCCATGAGTTCAAGACCAGCCTGGGCAACATGGCAAAAACCCATGTCTACTAAAAATACAAAAAAATTAGGTGTGGTGGTGTGCCTGTAATCCCAGCTACTCAGAAGGCTGAGGCAGGAGAATCGCTTGAACCCAGGAGGCAGAGGTTGTAGTGAGCCGCGATCGCGCCACTTCACTCCAGCCTGGCGACAGAGCAAGACTCCATCTCAAAAAAAAAAAAAAAAAAAAAAAAAAAAGACAGGGATCTCATAGGTTGTCATTAGTCTGAAATGAAGGAACTGGGGTTGAGTACAGTCTTTGGTGTTAGCCAGATTTGTATAGTTCTGTCCAGACAGCTATAGAGAGCTTTGGCTGAATTACTTTCCTTCTCTAAGCCTCAGTTTCCTTTTTTTTTTTTTTGAGACGGAGTCTCGCTCTGTCGCAGTGCAGTGGCGCGATCTCAGCTCACTGCAAGCTCCGTCTCCAGGGTTCACATCATTCTCCTGCCTCAGCCTCCCAAGTAGCTGGGACTACAGGCGCCCGCCATCACGCCCGGCTAATTTTTTGTACATTTAGTAGAGACGGGGTTTCACCATGTTAGCCAGGATGGTCTCGATCTCCTGACCTCGTGATCCACCCGCCTCGTCCTCCCAAAGTGCTGGGATTACAGGCGTGAGCCACCGCGCCCGGCCCAGTTTCCTCTTTTTTTTTTGAGATAAGAGTCTGGCTCTGTCGCCCAGGCTGGAGTGCAGTGGCGCCATCTCCGCTCACTGCAAGCTCCGCCTCCTGGGTTCAAGCCATTCTCCTGCCTCAGCCTCCCGAGTAGCTGGGACTACAGGCGCCCGCCACCATGCCTGGCTAGTATTTTGTATTTTTAGTAGAGACGGGGTTTCACCGTGTTAGCCAGGATGGTCTCATCTCCTGACCTCGTGATCCGCCCGCCTCGGCCTCCCAAAGTGCTGGGATTACAGGCATGAGCCACCACTCCCGGCCAGTTTCCTCTTCTTTAAAATGTAAATATGGCCATGCACAGTGGCTCATGCCTGTAATCCCAACACTTTGGGAGGCCAAGCCAGGCAGATCGCTTGAGACCAGGCATTCAAGACCAGTTTGAGCAACATGGAAAAACCTGGTGTCCACAAAAAATAAAAAAATTTGCCAAGCACAGTGGTGCACAACTGTAATCCCAGCTACCCGGGAGGCTGAGGTGGGACGATTGCTTGAGCCTGGTAAATTGAGGCTGCAGTGAGCCTTGATCATGCCACTGCACTCCTGAGAGCGAGACCCTGTCTCAAAAATCAAAAAATAAAATAGAAATAATGCTACTTCAAAGGTTATTGTAAAGGTTGAAAGAAAGGTGGCTTATGCCTATAATCCCAGCACTTTGGGAGGTGAAGGTTGGAGGACTGTTTGAGCCCAGGAGATTTAGACCAGCCTGGGCAACATGGCGAAACCGTCTCCACAAAAAAATACAAAAATTAGCCCGGCACGGTTGTGCTTAGCTACTTGGGGGCTTGAGGCAGTAGGATCGCTTGAGCCTGGGAGTTGGAAGCTGCAGTGAGCCGTGATTGCACCACCGCACTCCAGCCCGGGAAACAAAGTAAGACTCTGTCTCAAAAAAAAATAAAAATAAAAATAAAAATTAAAAGAAAGAATACGTATAAAATGTTTAGCACATAATATACACACAAGTATCAGTTCCCTTTCCTTTCCTCCTGTTTTCTGGAGGATTTTTACTTATTGTAGAAAATAAAGCAATCCTTTCAGCATTTTCTTTTTTTGTGTGTGTTTTGTGTTTTGTTTTTGTTTTTAGAGAGGTCTTGCTCTGTTGCCCAGACTGGAGTGCAGTGGCATGATCATAGCTCACTGCAGCCTTGAATTCCTGGATTCAAACCATCTTCCCCAGTAGCTGGGAATACAGGCCTTTAAACATTTCTGATGCAGCAGGACCGCCTGCCTGAACTTACAGTTGATTGGTTGTCTACTGGTGAAGAACTACTTCTAATGAAATTCTCAGGATTTTTTCTTCTTCAAAATTACTTGTTTTTAGCTTAAAATTTCCAACTTCTTTTGCATTCGAACTACTTACTAGGGACTCAAGAAAGCAATCAACTGGAAAAAGTGGAGTAGGATAAAACCAGGAACTCCATGGTGAGTGAAATGCTAAAACTGCAATGAATTTTTACAACGAATAATCCAATTCCCCTGTAAAGATGTACATAAAATCAAGAAAGACTGCCTGTCCTGTGGCTGAGCAAGTTATACACTAGGGTCGTCAGGTTGAGGAGTAATTTTGAAGTTTCTCTCCAATCCACAGGACTCAAAGTGTGTCAGAGCCTGGCTTTTCCATGATCACTTTCTACAAAAAGATGCACTTGGAGGCATTCCCGACACCCCAAGAAATGCATGAAAACTTTAGCTGCAATCCTGGAAGAAATGGTGTTTCAAGCCAAAGAATGAAAAGTAGCATTTGACTTCTGAATGTATTGCTAGGCCCCAATTTGACCACTAGTTTCCTATACTGTCTTAACAGAGGCTTTTGGTTTGCAATATCAATCAACTCTTTTTTTTTTTTTATTTGACAGGGTCTTGCTCTGTCACCCAAGCTGGATAAAAGTGTCATGGCTTACTCCAGTGTTGACTCCTGGGCTCAAGCAATCCTACCACCTCTCTGCCTCCTGAGTAGCTGGGACTACAGGTGCGTGTCACCATGCCCGCTAATTTTTGTGTTTTTTTTTTGTTTTTTTGTTTTTGTTTTTGAGACAGAGTCTTGCTCTGTCGCACAGGCTGGAGTGAATTGGTGCAATCATGCTCGCTAATTTTTTTTTTTTTTGAGACAGAATCTCGCTCTGTCACACAGGCTGGAGTGCAATGGTACAATCTGGGCTCACTGTAACCTCCGCTTCCCAAGTTCAAGCGATTCTCCTGTCTCAGCCTCCTGAGTAGCTGGGATTACAGGCATGCGCCACCATGCCTGGCTAATTTTTGTATTTTTAGTAGAGATGGGGTTTTGCCATGTTAGCTAGGCTGGTCTCAGACTCCTGGCCTCAGGTGATCCACTGACCTCAGCCTCCCAAAGTGCTGAGATTACAGGCCTGAGCCACCGCCCCTGGCCTAATTTTTGTATTTTTTGTAGAGAAGGTGTTTCACCATGTTGCCCAGGCTGGTGGCAAACTCCTGGGCTCAAGTTATCCACCAGCCTTGGCCTCCCAAAGTGCTGGGATTACAGGCATGAGACACCAGCCAGGCCTATCAAGTCTTTTGATAAGAAAAACAAATGGCAATTATACTTTCTTAAACTGGAGACTATTAACACATTAATTACTTAAAAGAGTTCTGAAAATGTCCAAACCGATATCAAATAATTATTTAATAATAATAGCACTAGATTCAACACTACACATTCTAGTAGCAACCTTAAGCTGATCCTGAAAAGTTAGAGAAAATAGTCCAGGCAGGGTGGCTTACGCCTGTAATCCAGCAATTTGGTAAGCCGAGGTGAGCAGATCACTTGAGGCCAGGAGTTCAAGACCAGCCTGGCCAACATGGTGAAACCCCATCTCTAGCAAAAATACAAAAATTAGCTGAGCATACTGGCGCACACCTGTGGTCCCAGCTAGGGAGGCTGAGGCATGAGAATCCCTTGAACCTGGGAGGTGGAGACTACAGTGAACAGATGTCACACCACTGCACTCAGTCCTGGGCAACAGTGTCTCTGTCTCAAAAAAAAAAGGAGAGAAAATAGAAAAATAAAATGTACTTGACTAAGAGAGTAAGGCTAAAAGCCAAGCTTAGGAGATCAGTCTTTCCAGCCCCTGCAGGCTTTTTCAGTCAATACCTTAAAGTGTAATGTCCCTTTGAAAATGTTGCCAGGAGAAGCAGGCATAACTTGTTCTGTTACTCAGCCTGTTTGTTTCCAGTTACAGCATCATGATTATGCAAATAATCTTTTCTTGAAACTATGAAATCACATGGCTAAATGTAATTGTCAAGGCAGCAGTTTTCTAGAATTTAAGAAGTAACTGTAGAGAAAATGCTCAACAATGTCTTTGTAGTCAGTTTTCCCTCATTCTTATTCCTCTCAATTCCAAAATAATGACTGGCACAATACAGCTTTCAAATATGTGAAAGAAGAAGATATCCTCTTAAACCCCTGGACAGACAGCACTGGTATGACCCTATGTAGGTCACATGATAATACCCAAGTATAGAGAAGCAAGGAATGCTATGAACCCAGTTTTAAGCCCTTATAAAACTGTTGTCCAGAAACTAAGACAAAAGTCTCCTATTTAAAACTATTTTAATGTTTCATCACTATTGTATTATAAAATGGGATTAAGATTCTTACCTGATTTTTTTTTTATTGAGACAGAGTCTCACTCTGTCACCCAGGCTGGAGTGCAGTGGCATGATCTTGGCTTACTGAAACCTCTGCCTCCCAGGTTCAAGTGCTTCTCCTGCCTCAGCCTCCCCAGTAGCTGGGACTACAGGCGCGCGGCCGTGATGCCCCGCTAATTTTTGTATTTTTAGTAGAGACGAGGTTTTGCCATGTTGCCCAGGCTGGTCCCGAACAACTGACTTTCAAGTGATCCGCCCGCCTCGGCGTTCCAAAGTGCTGGGATTCAGGCGCGAATCACCACCCTGCCAGGCCTCATTTCGTTTTTAGTACAGTATTATATTCAAATTTAAAACCAGAGATTTTCAAAGATGCCACTTAACTTTAAAAGATAAAAAGTACTCCAAAGCAGGTTGGGCGCAGTGACTCACGCCTGTAATCCCAGCACTTTGGGAGGCCGAGGCGGGAGGATAACTTGAGGTCAGGAGTTCGAGACCAGCCTGGCCAACATGGGAGAAACCCCGTGTCTACTAAAAATACAAAAATTAGCCGGGCGTGGTGGCGCAGGCCTGTAATTCTAGTTACTCCAGAGGCTGAGGCAGGAGAATCGCTTGAACCCAGAAGGCGGAGGTTGCAGTGAGCTGAGATCGTGCCATTGCACTCCAGCCTGGGTGACAAGAGCTAGACTCCGTCTCAAAAAAAAGAAGTTCCTATAATTTCTGAAAGAAGCAAAGAAAGTTTCCATACAGAATTAAGAGAAAAATGTTAAGACCCAGACTTGGGGTTGGATGAAATAGCATGAGGCAACAGAACACAGGAGTTAAGAGCTTCCGTGTGATTCCCAGCTCAACCTGGAGCAAATGACTTATTTCTCAGAGCCTCAGTTTGCTTACCTGTAAAGTAGGAATAATGATAATACGTACCTCCTAGCTCATCAAATTGTTCCAAAAATTAAATACAACAAAAGGCCTAACAAATTGCCTCATAAGGGCTCAATCAATCGTATTATTGCAACCATTTCGCTTGTATTTGAGTGTGAAGCGCCTAGAAAACCACAGGACCCCTACGGCGAGCCGGGAATTTTTAGATATTTTCCTCCGAGTCAACGCTCAGTGAAATCAGTTCAATCAGTGGCCCGACACCGTGCGGCTGACACAGCTTATCCCCCGACCCTGAGATCAGGGGTCCCCGGAGCCCAAGGTCGCTTCCAAAGCTCAGCGAGGCGGAGGTGCGGCCCGGGCTGGTCTGGTTCGGCCACCGTTGTTATGGCAACCGCCAATAGGTTGGCTTCATCTCTAACTGAAAGTCTGCACAGGAGCGGCCGATCGAAGGGCCCCGAGGTGGGCAGCACAGGCTCCTCGACGACTTCCTAGGTCGCAATCTCCAGGAAAACGACCACAGGGTCAGCGGAGCTAGCCGCCGAGCCCCGCTCCCCGGGCCCTTCCGGCGGCTGCGCCCTTTCACCCCGGACGTGGGCGGGAGAGGAAGCGGCTGGTGATGCTGGAACAAACATGGCCGCTCTGGCGCCCGTCGGCTCCCCCGCCTCCCGCGGTCCTAGGCTGGCCGCGGGCCTCCGGCTGCTCCCAATGCTGGGTTTGCTGCAGTTGCTGGCCGAGCCTGGCCTGGGCCGCGTCCATCACCTGGCACTCAAGGTAAAGCTTGGCAAGGCCGGGCCGGGGGGCGGAGGCCGAGGCCACTCCCCGGGTTTTAGGGCAACTTTGGCCCATTGGGGACCTCTGAGCCACTGGACCACCTCTTTGCCCCTGGCTGCGGCCTTTCACTGACAGGTGGCGGGGTCTGTGGGGAAGGCGGGTCTGGGCGGCGCTGGGGTCTTCGGGCTGACCGGCACGGGGCGGGAAGACTCGAGCTGAGGGAGGGGAAGGGGCTGAACTGTGGCGTTGCCCCCACGGACTCGGGAGGCTGCTCTTAAATCCCTGCTGGCTTCCCTGAATTCCTCACTCAGGGCAGCCCGATCGCCTTTCTTCTTTCTCCCCTCCAGCTTTTATGCTGGCTTTCCTTGTCCGCGGTCTCCGCTCTTCTGTGCCCTTGTACTGTACCGGCGGTTTGAAGGTACTTGGAACCTTAGCCTCAGTTTCCCATTTCGGTTTAGGGCGCTCTCTGGAGCGAGACTCTAGAGAAGGAATTTCAAATCTTGCTTAAAACACGTGACTGAGAATGTAAAGCCAGCATTAAGGTGTGTCTCTAATCAAAGGGCCTGCTTTTTCTTCCTCTATCCAGCCATTGTCTAGGGAAGAGAGATTTTTGATAAACCTAGAATGATACTCTGGATCTTGCTTTGTAACTAGCAGAGAAAAGACCTCTAAGGCTGAAACGCACCCTAAGGTGGTTCAGCAGTTTACTATATCTGGGAAATTGTCCAGGTGCTGTGGCTCATGCCTGTAATCCCAACACTGGGAGGCCTATGCAGGAGGATTGTTTGAGCCCAGGAGTTCGAGACCAGCCTAGTCAACGTGCTAAGGACCCCCTCCCCAAACCTGTCTCTACAAAAAATTAAAAATTAACCAGGTGTGGTGGCAAACGCCTGCAGCTTCTGGGGAGGCTGAGGCTGGAGGATCACTTGAGCCTAGGAGGTTGAGACTGCAGTGAGCCGTGATTACTCATTGCATTCCAGCCTGAGGAACAGAGCAAGACCCTTTCTCAAAACATATAAACAAAATTAGAGACATAGAAAAGTAAATTGTTATGACCCAAACTCTTGTACATTATTTTCATACCATACAGTCTTCTAAGAAGTGGAACTGTAGGCGGGGCGCGGTGGCTCACGCCTGTAATCCTAGCACTTTGGGAGGCCGAGGCAGGCAGATCACGAGGTGAGGAGATCGAGACCATCCTGGCTAGCACGGTGAAACCCTATCTCTACTAAAAATAAAAAAAAAATTAGCCAGGCGTGGTGGCAGGCGCCTGCAGTCCCAGCTACTCGGGAGGCTAAGGCAGGAGAATGGCGTGAACCTGGGAGGCGCTTGTAGTCCCAGCTACTCGGGAGACTGAGGCAGGAGAATGGCGTGAACCCGGGAGGCGGAGCTTGCAGTGAGCCAAGATCCCGCCACTGCACTCCAGCCTGGGCAACAGCGCGAGACTCCGTCTCAAAAAAAAAAAAAAAAAGAAGTGGAACTGTAGAAAGTTTGTCTTGTAAAAACACATTGTTTTAGCAAACTATGAAGCATTGTATTTTGTTAATGTAGAATTTAAAGAATACAGAATGAAATTAAAAGCCTGGCTTGACTGGGCACGGTGGCTCACACCTATAATCCTAGCACTTTGGGAGGCCGAGGTGGGCGGATCACCTGAGGTCAGGAGTTCGAGACCAGCCTGGCCAACATGGCAAAACCCCTCTCTACTAAAAATACAAATATTAGACGGGCATGGTGGCACATGCCTGTAGTCCCAGCTACTTGGGAGGCTGAGACAGGATAATTGCTTGAACCCGGGAGGCTGAGATTGCAGTGAGCAGAGATCATTGTGCCACTGCACTCCAGTCGGGGCGAAAGAACTATACTCTGTCTCAAATAAATAAATAAATAAATAAATAAATGCAAGCCTGACTGGATCCATACAACCTTACTTTTTGGTAACAACTTTTGTTGTTTGTAGGTAAAAATTATCCTGATTAAAATGGTTCAATCACAGGGGTGGGGGTGGGGCAAGTGAATTTTGACTCTTTGAGAATCTGTTGAGAGCTATAGAACCTCTCTCCAGAAAAGTGCATGTAGAAATGTAGACAAAACTTGGCCGGGCACGGTGGCTCACGCCTGTAATCCCAGCACTTTCAGAGGCTGAGGTGGGTGGATCACTTGAGGTCAGGAGTTTGAGACCAGCCTGGCCAACATTGTGAAATCACATCTCTACTAAAAATACAAAAATTAGCCAGGCGTGGTGGCAGGTACCTGTAATCCCAGCTACTCGGGGCTGAGGCAGGAGAATCGCTTGGACCCAGGAGTAGGAAGTTGCAGTGAGCCAAGATTGAGCCCCTGTACTCCAGCCTGGGCGACAGAGCAAGACTCCGTCTCAAAATAAATAAATAAATAAAATAAAATAAACATCCGAAGTCAGGGGTGTCCAATCTTTTGGCTTCCCAGGGCCACATTGGAAGATGAAAAGTTGTTTTGGGTCACACCTAAAATAGACTAACAGTAACCATAGCTGATAAGCTTTAAAAAATTGCAAAAAAATCTCATAATGTTTTAAGAAAGTTCACAAATTTGGCTGGGCGCAGTGGCTCACGCCTGTAATCCCAGCACTTTGGGAGGCCGAGATGGGCGGATCACAGGGTCAGGAGATTGAGACCATCCTGGCTAACAAGGTGAAACCCCGTCTCTACTAAAAATACAAAAAATTAGCCAGGCGTGGTGGCAGGTGCCGGTGGTCTCAGCTACTCGGGAGGCTGAGGCAGGAGAATGGCATGAACCCGGGAGTCGGAGCTTGCAGTGAGCCAAGATCACGCCATTGCATTCCAGCCTGGGTGACAGAGCGAGACTCCTTCTCAAAAAAAAAAAAAAAAAAAAAAAAAAAGAAAGTTCACAAATTTGTGTTGGGCCGCATTCAAAGCCATCCTGGGCCGCATGCATCCTGGACAAGCTTGTTCTGAGTTCTTGCCCAAGGAAATGGAAATCATTTGAAGAGAGCCTGTCAGAGCAGCAACTTTAGATTGTCTGTTTTGCTTGAGACTGAGTGAAATAGGGTACTTGATCAGATTAGAGACCCATAATGGCAAGGATAACATGAAGAGGTCACTGAGTACCAGGAGTATGCGTTGATCTCTTAAAACCTGGCTGCGCCTGGTAGCTCACACCTGTAATCTCAGCACTTAGGGAAGCTCGTTTGAGGTCAAGAGTTGGAGGCTGCGGTGAGCTATGATGGCGACACTACACTCTAGCCTGGGCGACAGAGCAAGACCCCATCTCAACAACAGCAACAAAAATTAGCCAGATGTGGTGGTGCATACCTATAGTCCCAGCTACCAGGGAGGCTGAGGTGGCAGGATCCCTTGAGCCTAGGAGTCAGAAGCTGTAGTGAGCTATAATGGCTCCAGCCTGGGGGACAGAGTGAGACCCTATTTCTTAAAAAAAAAAAAAAAAAAGACAAAGCAAAACAACCTTTTTATTGTGGAGAATTTCCAATATACTAAAGCAGATAGAATAGCATAATGAACTCCCATGTGCCTGTCACCCTCAATAACCATCAACACATGGCTGATTCTGCCTCATCCCACATACATCAATTTCTGGTTCTTATTTTTTATTATTTTTAAAATTAGAAATGAGTCCTCTTATATTTTTATTGTCTTACTCCATGCTACATTTTCCACCATTCTTCTGGCTTTCCCAGTCTTCTCACAGTCCATCTCTTTTGACTTTTCCCTATATTCCTTGCCTTTTTATTTATTTATTATTATTATTTTTTTTTTTTGAGACAGAGTTTTGCTCTGGCACCCAGGCTGGAAAGCAATGGCGCGATCTCAGCTTACAGCAACCTCCGCCTCCCGGTTCAAGCGATCTCCTGCCTCAACCTCCCAAGTAGCTGGGATTATAGGCATGCGCCACCACGCCTGGCTAATTTTTGTATTTTTAGTAGAGATGGGGTTTTGCCATATTGATCAGGCTAGTCTTGAACTCCTAACCTCAGGTGATCCACCTGCCTCGGCCTCCCAAAGTGCTGGGATTACAGGCGTGAGCCACCGCTCCTGGCTATTTATTATTTTTGTTTATTTTTTTAAAGACCTGTCAGCAGGAAATACTCCTTGCCTTTTAAGAACAACTTTATTGAGGTATAATTTACATACCATAAGATCACCCATTTTAACTGTATAATGCAATGATTGTTAGTAAGTTTACCGAGTTGTACAGCTATGACCACAATCTAGCCACAGAACGTTTCTGTCACCCCATAAGATCCCTTGTGTTGGTTTAGAATCAATTCCCATTCCCACCACTAGTCCCAGGCAGCCACTAATCTACTTTCTGTCTCTATAAACCTACCCTTTCTGGATGTTTAATGTAAGTGGAATCACAGGATGAGTAGGCTTTTTTTCTTTTTTTTTTTTTAGACGGAGTCTCGGACTGTTGCCTAGGCTGGAGCGCAATGGCGTTATCTCGGCTCACTGCAACCTCTACCTCCCAGGTTCAGGCGATTCTCCTGCCTCAGCCTCCCGAGTAGCTGAGATTACAGGCACCTGCCACCACGCTCAGCTAATTTTTGTATTTTTAGTAGAGACAGGGTTTTGCCATGGCGGCAAGGCTTGTCTCGAACTCCTGGCCTCAAGCAGTCCGCCCGCCTCGGCCTCCCAAAGTTCTGGGATCACAGGTGTGAGCCACTGCGCCCGGCCGATAGGTAGGCTTTTGTGCCCATCTTTCTTTCTTTCTTTTTTGAGCTTCGTTCATTTTGTGCCATGTGTCAGTAATTCATTCCTTTTTACTGTTGAATGGTCTTCCAGCGTGTGGATATATCTTCTTTTGCTTAGCAGTTCACCAGTCGATGGATGTTTGGGTTGTTTCCACTGTTTGGCCATTATGAATGATGGTGCCATAAACGTTCACATTGCAAGGCTTTGTGGGGCCATATGTTTTCATTTCTCTTGGATGATATCCAGGAGTGGAGTAGAATTGCTGGGTCATATGATAGATTTATGTTTAACTTTTTAAGAAACTGCCAAACTATTTTCCAAAGTGGCTCTACCATTTTACATCCCACTAGCAATTTATGAGAGTTCTCTTTCTTCACAATGTTATCAGCATTTGTCATTGTCTTCCTATATTATTTTAAAGCATATTGGCTGGGTGTGGTAGCTCATGCCTGTAATGGCCTTTGGGAGGCCAAGGCAGGTGGATCACCTGAGGTCAGGAGTTCGAGACCAGCCTAGCCAACATGGTAAAACCCTGTCTCTACTAAAAATACAAAAATTAGCCGAGTGCGGTGGCGGGCGCCTGCAATCCAAGCTACTGGGGAGGCTGAGGCAGGAGAATCACTGTAACGCAGGAGGTGGAGGTTGCTATGAGCTGAGATTGTGCCACTGCACTCAAGCCTGTGCGATAGAGTGAGACTCCCATCTCAAAAAAAAATAAATAAATAAAGCAAATCAAAGGCATTGCATCATTTCATTCTTAAATATTTTGATATTACCTGTAAAAAATAAGAGCTCTTTTAAGAACATGGCTACAATGCTATTATAACAAAAAAATCCTTAGTATCATATGTCAGATCAGATTCAAATTTTCATTGGTCATAAATGGATTGAAAAAGTTTTGAAAAATCAGGATCTAAGTCACATCCTCATACTGTGATCAGTTAATACGTCTTTTTTTTTTTTTTTTTTTTTTTGAGATGGAGTTTGTTCTTGTTGCCCAAGCTGGAATGCCATGGTATAATCTCGGCTCACTGCAACCTCTGCCTCCCGGGTTCAAGTGATTCTCCTGCCTCGACCTCCTGAGTAGTTGGGATTACAGGCACCTGCCACCACACCTGGCCAATTTTTTGTATTTTTAGTAGAGACGGAGTTTCACCATATTGGTCAGTCTGGTCTCGAACTCCTGACCTCAGGTGATTTACCCGCCTTGGCCTCCCAAAGTGATAGGATTACAGGCATGAGCCACCAGGCCCAGCGTGATCAGTAAATAAGTTTTATTTCGGGGGGAGGTTGGGGGGCGCACGGAGTCTCATCCTGTCCCCCAGGCTGGAGTGCAGTGGCGCGATCTCGGCTCATTGCAACCTCCGCCTCCCAGGTTCAAGCAATTCTCCTGCCTCAGCCTCCTGAGTAGCTGGGATTACAGGCACCCACCACTACGCCCAGCTAATTTTTGTATTTTTATTAGAGATGGGGTTTTGCCCTGTTGACCGGGCTGGTCTCAAACTCCTGACCTCAGATGTTCTGCCCACTTTGGCCTCCCGAAGTGCTGGGATTACAGGTGTGAGGCACCGCGCCCAGCCTATCCATTTCTTATTAATGGAATAAAAATGATAATCCGAGTTTTTTTTTTTTTTTTTTTTTTTTGAGATAAGGTCTCATTGTGTTGCCCTGGCTGGAGTACAGTGGCTATTCACCAGTGCAAACATAGTGCACGATAGCCTCCAACTCCTGGGCTCAAGCCATCTTCCCGTTTCAGCCTCCAAAGTAGCTAAGACTACAGATGCTTGCCACTGTGCTCGGCTAATCTGAGTTTTACATCAAAAATTGTCTAAATATGATTTTTATATTGTGTTAAAAACACAATATTTTGATGACTGATCATTCTGGCTTTCAAGTAGATGCTGCAAATGAGCAAGTGGACAGGAAGTGCTTTGCTAAAGCCTCAGAAATTTGGGCATTTCTTGGGTTTGATACTTCTATGATAATTATCCACAAATTATAACTCAAATACTCTAGACTTTGTGTCAGCAGCTTAGCAAGGCATGTAGTTTAGAGCAGAACTTGGGAATAGCCAGTCCTCACTGCTGTCGAGTGCAGTGTAACTTCTGGGCTAGTCATATTAGAAGCCTTCCTCGCTGATGGGATCTAGACTAGAAGATGTTGGATGAAAAGATAAGTTAAAGCAGAACATCACACAAAAGGAGTATGCACCTGAAACTTTATTTTGACTTAAAATCTGCCAATATACATTCATTGACTTAAATGAGTGACATTAAGCTTACTGGATGACTTCGCAACACATGCCTTCTGTCTCTTACTCATTCAACAAATACTCTTCAGGTGTCTTTTATATACCGGGTGGGCACTTCTAGACACAGGCTGAGGCAGTGAGCGGGACTAAGCCCCGACCTTTGTGGAGTATTCATTCTAGTGGTAATGGACAGCTAGCTTCTAAACACCTGAATGCACAAGTAATTTAAAAATGGGATAAATTGATGAGAAAATAAAACAGTATTGGAACCAAGAGTAATGGAATTGGAAATTACTGTGGAGAGAGACTCTGAAGAGTTAATATGTGAGTGGACTTAATGAATGAGCCAGGCATTTGAGGGTCTAGGGAAGAATATCACAGGCAGAGGAACAGGAAGTGCAAAGTCCCTGAGTGGGAGCATCTTCATGTTCCCATGTCTATGGAGGCCCCTATGGCTGGAGCAGAGTGATCTAGGGGAGAGGTACACATGAGCCTGGAGGCCATGGTAGGATGTGTGGATTTTATTCTGCGTGATGAGGAACCTGCCCTGGTTTTTGGCATAGGGAAGTAGTTTCCTGAAGAAGTGACATTAAAGCTGAGACTGGAAGAGTAAGAATTAGCCAGGGCAGGCCGGGCGTGGTGGCTCACGCCTGTAATCCCAGCACTTTGAGAGGCCAAAGTGGGCAGATCCCCTGAGGTCAGGAGTTCAAAACCTGCTTGGCCAACATGGTGAAATACTTTCTCTGTTAAAAATACAAAAATTAGCCGGGCATGGTGATGGGCACCTGTAATCCCAGCTACTCGGGAGGCTGAGGCAGGAGAACCACTTGAACCTGGTAGGCCAGTGAGGCCAGTGAGCCGAGATTGCACCACTGCACTCCAGCCTGGGTGACAGGGTGAGACTCTGTCTCAAAAAAAAAAGCATTAGCCAAGGCAAAATGAGGTTAGAGCTTATGTCTGGAAGAGGAAGTGAAAGAGATTGATTGTTCGTGTGCCACTCGGATTCTTAGTTTCCTACTTTGTAAAATAAGGATAATGGTAGCTTTCCCACAGGGTAGTTATGAGGATTAGATAAAATTATGTAAAATAATAGCACTGAGGCTGGGTACGGTGGCTCACACCTGTAATCCCAGCACTTTAGGAGGCCAAGGCGGGTAGATCACCTGAGGTCGGGTTTGAGACCAGCCTGGCCAACATGGTAAAACCCCATCTCTACTAAAAATACAAAAAATTAGCCGGCGTGGTGGCGCATGCCTGTAATCCCAGCTACTCGGGAGGCTGCGGCAAGAGAATTGCTTGAACCTGGGAGGCGGAGGTTGCAGTGAGCTGAGATTGCGCTATTGCACTCCAGCCTGGGTGACAAGAGCAAGACCCTGTCTCGAAAATGATAATAATAATAATAATAATAATAATAATAATAATAATAGCACTGAGTAGTAGACTGATCTAAGTAGTAGTTCATTCATTCAACGTTTATTAAATACCTACTATGTGCTAGGCACTAGAGATATACAAATGAGACAGGCCCATAGACAGGTAGTTATGATATAGCATGGTGGCTCTTTCGCCTGCCTGCCTGCCTGCCTGCCTTCCTGCCTTCCTGCCTGCCTGCCTGCCTGCCTGCCTGCCTTCCTTCCTTCCTTCCTTCCTTCCTTCCTTCCTTCCTTCCGTTTGTCTGTCCATCCGTCTTTTATTTTTTTTTAAATAAGAGTGTCTCACTCTGTCACCCAGCCTAGAACTCAGTGGTGCAATCATAGCTCACTGCAGCCTCAAACGTTTGGGCTCAAGGGATCCTCCTGCCTCAGCCTGCCTGCCTAGTAGCTAGTACTACAGGTGCACACCACCACATCTGACTAATTTTTTTATGTGGATATTTTGTAGAGATGGGGTCTTGCTACTTTGTCCAGGCTGGTCTTGAACTCCTGGTCTCAAGCACTCCTACCACCTTGGTCCTGAACTCTTTATGAGAGGATAAGACAGGGAAGATTTGGTTATTTTAATACCAATGTCTGGCGTATTTGAACTAGAATGACTCCTAACCTCAGTGTACACTGTAAATGATCTTTTTTAAACAGACATTTCAGGGTTTCATCTCTTTTAAGTGTGAATATCTATTAAGCAGCTGCTCTTTAGCATGTGTGTATACATAAAAATATAACATGCTTTTTTTTTTTTGAGACGGAGTCTCGCTCTGTCGCCCAGGCTGGAGTGCAATGGCATGATCTCAGCTCACTGCAAGCTCCACTTCCCGGGTTCATGCCATTCCCCTGCCTCAGCCTCCCGAGTAGCTGGGACTACAGGCGTTTGCCACCACATCCGGCAAATTTTTTGTATTTTTAGTAGAGACAGGGTTTCACCGTGTTAGCCAGGATGGTCTCAATCTCCTGACCTCATGATCTGCCCGCCTTGGCCTCCCAAAGTGCTGGGATTACAGGCATGAGCCACCGTACCCGGCTATAACATGCTTTTTAAATTATTTAAAATTTTTTTCAGTTTTTAATTATTTTTTCCTATTATTTGTTTTTCTTCTTTATTCAAGTTTCCACACTCCACATCAAACATGCCTTTTTTAGTGACTGCTGTTTGGTGGCATGTATGCCAGTGTGCTTCCTTCTGAAAATACCAGTGTAGTATAATAAAATATTTGATTGCTGGGGTTTCTTAATAAAACAGCCCTGGGAAATTCCAGTGATTGCTTTGTCTTTTTTTTTCTTTTTCCTTTGTATTGCTTCCCTTTACTACTACTGTATAGATTTTTTTCTTCATGGAGTTTATTCTTTTTTTTTTTTTTTTGAGGGTCATACTCTGTCACCCAGGCTGGAATGCAGTGGCACGATCTCGGCTCACTGCAGCCTCTATCTCCCAGATTCAAGTGAATCTCTTGCCTCAGCCTCCCAAGTAGCTGGGACTACAGGCATGCGGCACCATGCCCAGCTAATTTTTGTATTTTTAGTAGAGACGGGGTTACACCATGCTGGCCAGACGGGTCTCGAACTCCTGACCTCAGGTTAGGGAGGGTTTGGGAGGCCTTGGCCTCACAAAGTGCTGGGATTACAAGTGTGAGCCACTGCGCCCAGCCAGGGTTTATTCTTTTTGTAACTAATAAAAAGTAGGTGTCAAGAAATTGTATCTGAACTATAAAATAGCTTTTCTTTTTTTTTTTTTTTTTTTTTTTGAGACGGAGTCTCGCTCTGTCGCCCAGGCCGGACTGCGGACTGCAGTGGCGCAATCTCGGCTCACTGCAAGCTCCGCTTCCCGGGTTCACGCCATTCTCCTGCCTCAGCCTCCCGAGTAGCTGGGACTACAGGCGCCCGCCACCGCGCCCGGCTAATTTTTTGTATTTTTTTTAGTAGAGACGGGGTTTCACCTTGTTAGCCAGGATGGTCTCGATCTCCTGACCTCATGATCCACCCGCCTCGGCCTCCCAAAGTGCTGGGATTACAGGCGTGAGCCACCGCGCCCGGCCAAAATAGCTTTTCTTTATCCCTTTCTACATCTGTTTAGTTGCAGAATAACAAAAATATGGGTCATGTAATTAGGCACTAGGACATTTCAGGGTAAATGAGTAAGAGGATGGATCTGTATGTGTTGGGTTGACTAGTGCCCCCACAAGTTCATGTCTGCTTGGAACCTCAGAATGTAACCTTATTTGGAATAGTGTCTTTGCAGTTAACATTAGGTCATATGCGGTTAGGGTGGGCCCTATTTTCAGTGTGCCAGGTGCCATTATAACAAGTGGAGAGGGCGCAGAGGCACACACAGAGGGAAGAAGGCGATGTGATGGTGGAGGCAGAGCCTAGAGTGAGGCAGCTGCAAACCAAGAATGTTAAGAATCCTGGTAATCACCAGGAGCTTGAAAGAGGCAAGGAAGGATTCTTCTCCAGAGCCTTTAGAGGGACTGTGGCCCTGCTGACGCCTTGATTTTGGACTTGTAGCCTCCAGAACTGTGAGAGAACAAACTTCTGTGGTTGTAAGCTACCCAGTGTGTGGCTATTTGTTACAGCAGCCTTAGAAAGAGAATGCAATATATACCAATAACCTCACCCCAAAGCTCTAACTTCATAGGAACGTGTTATTACTTTATTTTTGAGTAATAACTTTCAGAGAACATGTTTAGCCATTAAGTGATATTCGCAGCCGGGCACGGTGGCTCATGCCTATAATCCCAGCACTTTGGGAGGCCGAGGTGGGCAATCACCTGAGGTCAGGAGTTCGAGACCAGCCTGGCCAACATGGTGAAACCCCGTCTCTACTAAAAATACAAAATATTAGCTGGGCGTGGATCCCCAGCTTCTTGGGAGGCTGAGGCAGGAGAATCGCTTGAACCCAGGAGGCAAAGGTTACAGTGAGCCGAGATCGCACCATTGCACTCCAGCCTGGACAACAAGAGTGAAACTCCATCTCAAAAACATAATAATAATAAATAAAAACCCATTAAGTGATGTTTGTAGGCCTGGTGCGGTGGCTCATGCCTGTAATCCCAGCACTTAGGGAGGCCGCAACGGGCACCTCACTTGAGGTCAAAAGTTAAAGACCAGCCTGGCCAGTATGGTGGAACCCCATCTCTACCAAAAAATGCAAAAATTAGCCCGGCGTGGTGGCAGGTGTCTCTAGTCCCAGCTACTTGGGAGGCTGAGGCAGGAGAATCACTTGAACCCAGGAGGTGGAGGTTGCAGTGAACCAAGATGGTGCCCCTGCCCTCCAGCCTGGGTGACAGAGTGAGACCCTGTCTCAAAAAAAAAAAAAAAAAAAAAAAGTGATGTTTGTAAGTAAGTAAATCAAATCCTTCTTTGCACAAATACTGTAGAATCGGTGCCAGTCGATCAGGACCCACCTGATTACACCAGCTTTATGCAGTGGATCTTTCCTAATCCATTGGCTGCAGCCTCACTTTACATACTGCTTTGTGAATTCTGAGTAGGGAGGGATGCATTTATTCACTCCCCCCCAAAAGTATCTGGAAAGTTTTGGGAAATTAAAAGGATTTTCCTGGCCGGGCTTGGTGACTCATGCCTGTAATCTCAGCATTTTGGGAGACCAAGGCGGGTGGATCACCTGAAGTTCAAGACCAGCCTGGCCAACATGGTGAAACCCTGTCTCTACTAAAAATACAAATTTATCTGGGTGTGGTGGTGTGCACCTGTAATCCCAGCTACTTGGGAGGATGAGGCAGGAGAATCGCTTGAACCCGGGAGGCAGAGGTTGCAGTGAGCTGAAATTGCGCCACTGCACTCCAGCCTGGGCAATAAGAGTGAAACTCTGTCCCAAGAAAAATAAAAATAAAAATAAATTTAAAAAGAATAAAAGAGGATTTTCCTCATCTCGTTCCCATTGATTATTATGATTGCGCATTGATGATGATGATGGTGATGATGACGACGATGATGATGATTGTGCCTCATCTCGGGCCCATTGATTATTAGCTGCTCCATTCTGGTAAATCTCAAACCTTTCCTAGGCATGCCTCCAAAACTATGATCAGTATGAAAAATTAATGTTTGCTGCAACTGGGCGCATGTCCATCCGTAGGTTAGCCATGTCTGTCCAGAATTTTTAGTTGGCCATGTGGACCCAGTGAGGTAGAAAAGGAGACAGTGTACTGTCGCAGCAGTGTGTGGTCAAGCCCAGCACACTGGGCTTTGTCTTGGGAGTGTAGAAAAGAGCTTGCTTGGCCGGGCGCGGTGGCTCATGCCTGTAATCCCAGCACTTTGGGAGGCCGAGGCAGGCAGATCACGAGGTCAGGAGATCGAGACCATCCTGGCTAACACGATGAAACCCCGTCTCTACTAAAAATACAAAAAAATTAGCCGGGTGTGGTGGCGGGCGCCTGTAGTCCCAACTACTCGGGAGGCTGAGGCGGGAGAATGGCGTGAACCCAGGAGGCGGAGCTTGCAGTGAGCCGAGATGGCGCCACTGCACTCCAGCCTGGGCGACAGAGCGAGACTCCGTCTCCAAAAAAAAAAAAAGAGCTTGGTTATGGCAGCCAAGAGCTTACTCAAGCTGACTTGGATGGAAGGACAATAGGAAGAGAGCTGGGAGAATGTGACACTGAGGGAGATAGTGTTGATACATTTAGTGTCCTTTTAAATCTTTCTTCCCTCTTATGTATGCAGAGAGAGTTCTAGTATAATGAGACTGTGCTGTGTACGCAGAAAGGTTGAGACTACTGAGCTAATAATGATAACTGTTTTGAGCTTATTTGGGGAAAATGAAGTGTCCTATAAAATCCAAATATTAAGTGATAGTAATAGCTGCTTGTTATTAAAGCATCTGTGATAAGTCAGAGACTGTGCTAAATATTTGATGCTTTTTATTCGACTCCTCGTAGCAGCCCCTTGAGATAGATGTTATTATCCCTGCTTTATAACTTAAGAAAATGGAGCTCTGGTTAAATAAGTGGAGGAGTCAGAGTTTGAACCCAGGTTAGCGCACCTTCCATTTTACCTGCACTGGGTAAGCTTCCAGTGCCTAAAGCCCTCAGTGACTGTCTGAGAAGACAGCCCGTTTGCCAGCAGCTCAGTCTTCTGTGTAGTTCTTCTCTCACTTCATGTGCTTAGCTGGTGGATTTTTGTTATGTGAGTGAATTTGACCCCATTCCATTTGTGAATTGCTATGTATGTGCAATGAGCCAAGAATTATAATATTAAACTTCTTAGGTTAGTTTCTCCTACCACTAATAGAAGGCAGCTAATGACTGGTAGTCCCCCCCCACCGCCCCCTTTTTTTTTTTTGAGACAGTCTCACTCTGTCATCCAGGCTGGAGTGCAGTGGTCTAATCTTGGCTCACTGCAACCTTTGCCTCCCAAGTCCAAGTGATCCTCCTGCCCCAGCCTCCCAAGCAGCTGGGATTACAAGCGGGCGCCACCACGCCTGGCTAATTTTTGTATTTTCAGTAGAGATGAGGTTTCACCATATTGGCCAGGCTCAAACTTCTGACTTCAAGTGATCCTCCCACCTCAGCCCCCCAAAGTGCTGGGATTACAGGTGCGAGCCATCGAGCTCAGCCATGATTGGTAGTCTTATTCTTGTTTTCTTTTTTTTTTTTTTCTGTATTAGTAGAGAAATTGCTTGTGGTGCCTGAAGGTACTTTTTGCTTACCTTTTGGATCTGATTTTTGTTTTGATCAGTGGTCACAAATTCAAGATGCGGTTAGAAGCCAGCTTGGTTTTGTAAGTCGGCTGGCTCAGTGAGACCGCAGGGGAAGGGGTAGCAGAAGAGCACAGGCTCCTGCCACAGTGGCCCCTGCTCGTTGCTCCAGAGAATGGGTTCTTATTGTACTGGAACGTGGCCTACAAGCTCTGGATCTTGTGGCTTTTTTTTTCTTCTCTTTTTTTAAATAAGAGAAGCTGGAAATTCATGTTTTTACGCGGAATTCATTGGCAACTGATTCAAATTTAAAAACAAAAGTAAAACAAAACACTGTGTTAGCCATGTATAACATGTGGGTTAATATAAGTCTGTAGACCCCCAGTTGGTGAGGTGAAGCTAGCTCAGTTAAGTGTTACTGTATTTCTTATTTTCTAAAATTCAGTTTATAAGAAAAACTAAATTGAGGTATCATTACTCTATTTTTTTTATGACTGAAAGCAGTTTAATATGAAGTCGGTGCAGAAGTTCTGACATTTAGTTAAAATAGCAGAACTGTCAGTATAAAACAACCGTTTTTAAAGTGAGGAAGAAAAGAGCAAATACATCAAAACAGTATGTCCTCTTTTTTATTTTTTTTGAGACGAGGTTTTGCTTTGTCACCCAGGCTGGAGTGCTGTGGCGCAATCTTGGCTCACTGCAGCCTCCGCCTCCTGGATGGGTTCAAGTGATCCTCAGCCTTCTGAGTAGCTGGGACCACAGGTGCACACTGCCACACCCAGCTAATTTTTTGTATTTTTGGCAGAGATGGGGTTTCACCATGTTGCCCAGGCTGGTCTCAAACTCCTCAGCTCAAGTGATCTGCCTGCCTCGGCCTCCCAAAGTGCTGGGATTACAGGTGTGAGCCAGCGTGCCCTGCCCTAGGATATACTTTTTATTTGGTTGTAAAAAGTATGTGGTAGTTAAAAAAATAGATTTGGGACTTAATTCTGAGTTAGGTTACTGGCCCTGCCATCTACTAGCCTAATGATTTTATGCAAGTTTTAACTCTGAGCCTCTGTTTCCTCATCTACCAAATGGACATGTTTGAGGCTACTTGCCTCATAGAGTTGTAAGAACTTGAGGTGATGTATGAAGCTCTTAGTGTAGTACTGGAGACAAGGTCAAGTGCTTGCAGTCTCTGAAATCCTTGGTGAAACAGGCACCCTTTACCACGGTGTCAGTGCTAATGGAAATGATAGGCTGGAGTTTGAGAATGTAGCTGAACCTCCATTGCCTGTGTCAGTGCTAATGGAAATGATAGGGTGGAAGTGGAGAAGGTAGCTGTATCTCCATTGCTTGTATCTGGTATTGTTATCCTCATGCTGCTTTGTCACATCCTCCTCGCTTGTACTTTCTTCAGTCTCAAGATATCTATGCCTCTATGACTTTTATAGTGAGGTATAGTTTACGAAGTCACTTCCATACATATCTTATTTGACATGACACGATAGCTTAAAATGGAGGTGGGGAACAGGTTAGGTGAAGGTCCTACAGATATTATTGGCAACAGTACTTTCTTTCTTTTTATTTTATTTATTTTTTGAGACAGAGTCTCACTCTGTCACCCATGCTGGAGTGCAGTGGCACGATCTCAGCTCACTGAAAACTCTGCCTCCCGGGTTCAAGCGATTCTCTTGCCTCAGCTTCTCTAGTAGCTGGGACTACAGGCATGCACCACCACACCCGGCAAATTTTTGTATTTTTAGTAGAGATGGGGTTTCATCATGTTGGCCAGGCTGGTCTCAAACTGACCTAAGGGTATCTGCCCACCTTGGCCTCCCATCGTGCTGAGATTACAGGCATAAGCCACCGTGCCTGGCCTCTTTTTTTTTTTTTTTTTTTTTTTTTTTAAATTTTTTTGAGACAGGGTCTTGCTCTGTTGCCCAGGCTGGAGTGCAGTGGCATGATCTTGGCTCATTTGGCCTCGTGGGCCCAAACTGTCCTCCCACCTCAGCCTCTTGAGTAGCTGGGACCATAGGCTTGCACCACCACACCCGGCTAATTTTTTTTTTTTTTTTTTGGTAGAGATGGGTTTTCACCATGTTGCCCAGGCCGGCCTTAAAATACGGGGCTCAAGTGATCCTTCTGCATTAGCCTCCTGAGTAGCTAGCATCACAGGCACCTGCTATTACTCCTGGCTATTTATTTATTATTTATTTTGAGACAGAGTCTCGCTCTTTCGCCCAAGCTAGAGTGCGGTGGCGTGATCTCGGCTCACTATAAGCTCCGCCTCCCAGGTTCAAGTTATTCTCCTGCCTCAGCCTCCCACGTAGCTGGGATTACAGGCATGTGTCACCATGCTTGGCTACTTTTTGTATTTTTTGTAGAGATGAGGTTTCGCCATGTTGGCCAGGAGGGCCTCAAACTCCAGACCTCAGGTGAACCACCTGCCTTGACCCCCCAAAGTGCTGGGATTACAGGCGTGAGCCACCGCGCCTAGCCAAAAAGAAAAAGTTGAAAGGATATATATTTGCCCTTATTTATGAAAGACTTGAAAGAAATTCACGAAAGTATAAAAAAGTCAGTGCCAGTGGGATTGTGGGTAACAATTTTTTTTTCTTTTTTTCTTTTTTTTGGAGATAGCCTTGCTTTGTCTCCCAGGCTGGAGTGCAGTGGTGTAATCATAGCTCACAGTAGCCTCAAACATCTGGGCTCAGGGGATCCTCCATCTCAGCATCCCCAGTAGCTGTGGCTACAGTTGCATGCCACCACGCCTGGCCAAATTTTAAAATGTTTTGTAGAGGTGGGGGTCTTTCTGTGTTGCCCAGGCTGGTCTTGAACTCCTGTCCTCAAGTGACCCTCCCACCTCAGCCTCCCAAAGTGTTGGGATTATAGATGAGAGTCACCAGGCCCAGTCCTAACTTTTTTTTTTTCTTTTTTTTTTTTTTTTTTGAGACAGAGTCACACTCTGTGGCGCAGGCTGGAGTGCAGTGATGCAGTCCCAGCCCACTGCAGCCTCGACATCCTGGGCTAAAGCAATCGTCCCACTTCAGCCTCCTGAATAGCTAGGATGCCACCACAACTGGCTAATTTTTTTTTTTTTTTTTGCTAGAGATGGGGTTTCTCTGTTGCCTAGGGTGGTTTCAAACTCCTGGGCTCAAGCAGTCTGCCTGCCTCAGTCTCCCAAAATGTTGGGATTATAGGCGAGAGCCACCTCGCCTGGCCCCTCACCCTTTTTTTTTCTATCAAATGTTACTGAATATAGCTTTTTACATTTAATGTTGTATCATGATTACTTTCCCTTGTTAGGAAATGATAATGTGAAAATGGCTCTCATATCAGATCTAGTTTGAAGCCCCAGCTTTATTAGCTATAGTCTGCTTGGCCTCAGGTAGTCATTTCTCCTCTGAACTGGTGTCTTCATCGCTACCGTGGGGCTGCTTCTCTTAACCACACTGAGCTGAGCGAGGGTCAGAAATCATAGGTAAAGCCCTTGGCACATAACCTAGTTCTTGGAAGACTCTGAAAACTGGGAGTTGTGATGCTGTTGTTATTATCATTATTATTATTATTACTATTTTTGTTTTGTTTTGTTTTTTGCGATAAAGTCTTGCTCTTGTCCCCCAGGCTGGAGTGCAATGGTGCAATCTCCGCTTACTGCAACCTCTGCCTCCCAGGTTCAGGCGATTCTCCTGCCTCAGCCTCCCAAGTAGCTGGGATTAACAGATGCCTGCCAGCAAGCCTGGCTTATTTTTGTACTTTTAGTAGAGACGGGGTTTCACCATGTTGGCCAGGCTGGTCTCAAACTCCTGACCTCAGGTGATCCGTCCGCCGCGGCCTCCCAAAGTGCTGGGATTACAGGCGTAATCCAGCCTTATTATTATTATTTTTGAGACAGTCTTGCTCTGTTTCCCAGACTGGAGTGCAGTGGTACAACCCGGCTCCCTGCAGCCTCTGCCTCCTCGGTTCAAGCACTTCTGCCTCAGCCTACCAAGTAGCTGGGATTACAGGCACACACCACCACACCTGGCTAATTTTTGTATTTAGTAGATATGGGGTTTCACCATGTTGGCCAGGCTGATCTTGAACTCTTTCTATTTATTTATTTTTTTATTTATTTAATTTTTTTTTTTTTTTGAGATGGAGTCTCGCTGTCGCCCAGGCTGGAGTGCAGTGGCGTGATCTCGGCTCACTGCAGGCTCCGCCCCCTGGGGTTCACGCCATTCTCCTGCCTCAGCCTCCCGAGTAGCTGGGACTACAGGCGCGTGCCACCTCGCCCAGCTAATTTTTTGTGTTTTTAGTACAGATGAGGTTTCACCGTGTTAGCCAGGATGGTCTCAATCTCCTGACCTTGTGATCTGCCTGCCTCGGCCTCCCAAAGTGCCGGGATTACAGGTGTGAGCCACCGCGCCCGGCCTTGATCTCGAACTCTTGACCTCAGGTGATCTGCCTGCTTTGGCCTCCCAAAGTGCTGGGATTACTGCCATGAGCCATCGTGCCCAGCCGATGCTGTTTTTATTGTTTAAAATAGTCTTCAAAAACCTGTTTTTCATGGCATTGTATCATCAAATGAAATGATGATGCAAAGGTTTAAAAAAAAGGAATGTACTATTTATGTTGGGGGGGGAACTGCTATCAGGTTGCAATCGAAACATTTTCTGGAAAAAAAAAACAAAACAACAAGAAAACCTGTATTGTGGTGGCCTAAGTATAAATGAAAGCCTAGCAGGTTTCCATTCTGCTGCAAAGCAGCTTCATGCTGGACCAATTAGAAAAGACATACTTTTAAAATTAAAACTTTATTGAAATGTAATATACATGGCTAAAAATTACTCATTATAAGCAAACAACTCAGCGCATTTCCAGAACGTAGACACACTCATGCAGCCCGCAGGAAATGAGGCAGAACCATTACCAAGCCCCTCCAGAAGCACCCTAAGCCTCACCTTCCCTCAAGTCCCAGGAAAGCCCCTTTCTCCTGAGAGTGGTCACTGTCTTCACCTCCGTCACCACAGATGATTTCCCCCTGCATTCCAGTTTGTTTTACATGAATATGGCTGTGATTCATATACGTTGTTTTATGTGGCAGAAATTGTGTGTTCATTTTCCCTCATCCTCTCCCTCTGCAGTCCTGCTCCACTGAGGATTCTGCCAGAGAATGAAGCCCTAATGTGCTAAGGCATCCATTTATGTAGTTGAGTTAATGTCTCCTGTGCCTCTAGGAGGGTAGTCATCATATACTGTCCTTGAGAGAATTGAGAAAATAGATACTGAAGACATTTTCCGTGGGTTTAATTCTCTCAGAGAATTCCAAGAAAGGCTGGGAGCCTTAGCTTTTCTGGCTTTTACCATTGACCCACTCTTGTAGATTCCAGGAGATGACCTCTGTTATCTTATCTGGCTTTTCTAATTGTTCTCTGTGAGAATGTTGGTTTGCTGCAAGCCACTCCAGCCCACCAGGAAGTGGAAATCCAGCAAACATGTTTTCACCACATAGCCAAGCTCCTAAGAAAATAAGGGAAATTCCCAGGGGCCCAAAAAAGGGAAGAAGGAGCTGAAACTCCATTGGGGAAAGAACAGGGAAGCCAGGGCTTCCCTGTGACGTTGCAGAAACTTGAAGCCCAGAGGCCTGGGTTTTTTGTTTGTTTTGTTTGTTTGTTGTTGTTGTTTTTGAGACAGAGTCTCACTGTGTCACCCAGGCTGGAGTGCCATGGCACGATCTCGGCTCACTGCAACCTCTGCTTCCCGGGTTCAAGTGATTCTCCTGCCTCAGCCTCCCAAGTAGCTGGGATTACAGGCATGTGCCACAATGCCCGGCTAATTTTTTTGTATTTTTAGTAGAGACAGGGTTTCCCATTTTGGCCAGGCTGGTCTCGAACTCCTGACCCCAAGTGATCCTCCTGCCTCGGCCTCCCAAAGTGCTGGGATTACAGGCGTGAGCCACCACGCCCGGCCGAGTCCTGGGTTTTTAACAGATGTTGAGGGGAAACAGGGACCATAGCCTTAGGCCTGAGCAGGGAGGTGAGTTGGAACTGTGTCCCTCTGCTTCTCAGCCCATAATCTAGGGCTGTCAAAAAGCTATGAATGCAAGAGTGGGCAGGAAAGAAAATCCTGCTAGTGATAGTGCAGTGTGGTGTAGTTCTGTGGGGGAGAGGAGGGGATTTAGTTTATGCTGTTTCTGCCAAAGATCTGCTCCACAGCCTGTCCTCACAGGCCTTTGGTGTTTGCCATTAGACTACCCGGGATGTCCAGGAAACCCCAAATCTAGAAATAAAAAGTTACCCTTCACACCAAGAATCAAATTGCAGACTTACGGAAGGTGTTGCAATTTAGCCAAATCTCAATATAAAAATTGTTACACAACATAAAGTGTGTTTGTGGAAGCCCAGTTTTAGAAGTGTTCACTGACACCATTGCTCTGTTGGCCCTGCAGTGTACTGACTTAGTTGAGATTGGAGTCAGGATGTTGAGACAGCATCAAGCAGGTGGGGTAGGCGTCTGCCCATGTGATTCAGTCTCACCAAACCTTAGGATTATCTTGTATCCAAAAGACTCTGTCTCCATGTCGCTAATTCCTATTCCTGGGATTCCTCTTGCATAAGGCTTTGTTCCCTGAAAACCCATCATCTACTGTATCACTTTTAGGTGAAAATTCACCTTTTTAAATAATTGACTTATAGCTTAGCTTCATTCTTTATCCTGCCAATGGGAGGAGCCAGGTACACACAAATTGATAAGAGGATTTATATAAATGAGTGTATTCTTGGAACAGCTTCAGCCGCTCCTTTTCTTCCTCCCCACCCCCCAGCATGTTTTGAGTGCCTACTAGATGCCAGGCATTGTACTATCAGGAAGGATGTGGGGATGACGATAACATGGTTCCTCCTGCCCTGGAATTCACATTTCAGCCAACCACTGAGTTTGCCCCTAGAACCCATACCAATGCATTGGAGTGAATTTGAATCCATTGAATACTTCCTTCTGCAGAAACTGTTGATATCTTTTGGATTTCCGATGAGTTGTCTTCAGCTTTTGGAGAAAGACATGTTACCACAGCTGTGTATGTTACTGAGCATATGGAAACATTGGCTGGCTAGCAAGAAATAAGATATCATAGTTTTTCTCTTCTTTTCTTTTACCTTTTTTTTTTTTTTTTTTTTTGAGACAGAGTCTTGCTCCGTCACCCAAGCTAGAGTGCAGTGGCATGATCTCGGCTCACTGCAACCTCCACCTCCCAGGTTCAAGCAATTCTGCTGGCTCAGCTTCCCAAGTAGCTGGGATTACAGGTGCCCGCCACCATGCCCGGCTAACTTTTTGTATTTTTAGTAGAGACAGGGTTTCGCCATGTTGGCCAGTGTGGTCTCAAACTCCTGACCTCAGGTGATCCACCCGCCTCAGTCTCCCAAAGTGGTGGGATTACAGGCTTGAGCCACCGTGCCCAGCCTGATATCATACTTTTTAAAGCAAATGAATAGGTTAAATAATCAAAAGCACTTTTCCATATGACTAATTCCACCACTACAAATCTCTTTAGGATGATGTGAGGCATAAAGTTCATCTGAACACCTTTGGCTTCTTCAAGGATGGGTACATGGTGGTGAATGTCAGTAGCCTCTCACTGAATGAGCCTGAAGACAAGGATGTGACTGTAAGTACCTTTTAATGAGATCCAGGGGTTTACTCTTTTTTTTTTTTTTTTGAGATGGAGTCTTGCTCTGTCACCCAGGCTGGAGTGCGGTGGCGCAATCTCAGCTCACTGCAACCTCCACCTCCCGGGTTCAAGCAGTTCTCTGCCTCAGCCTCCCGAGTAGCTGGGATTACAGGCACCCACCACCATGACCGTCTAATTTTTGTATTTTTAGTAGAGACGGGGTTTCACCAACTTGGCCAGGCTGGTCTTGAATTCCTGACCTCGTGATCCACCCGCCTTGGCCTCCCAAAGTGCTGGGATTACAGGTGTGAGCCACTGCGCCCAGCCCAGGGGTTTACTCTTTTAGCTTAGGTGAGAGTCACCTTCCAACCCCAATGCTTAAATATAAAATACCAGAATATGGAGATAATTAAGCATGTGAGTAGCAAATTATATATCAGGCATCAAATAATTTCACTTTTAACACTTAAAATGTAATTCTGTAATAATTCTAGTAATTAGTGACTTTGCTTGAGTGATTTTACTTTGCCTTCTTACAAAATGAATGCTAAGAAAACAGAGGAGACCACGTTAGAAGTACCACTTTTTCTGCTTTTTGAGTAAGAAAAGTATGGACAATTGTGTAGATATTTACTTCTACTGTTTTTACTCCCCATTAGATTGGATTTAGCCTAGACCGTACAAAGAATGATGGCTTTTCTTCTTACCTGGTGAGTATTAAATGTGTGACCTGATTCATCTCTTCACCTGAGCCCAGGCCATTGAACGGGAACACCCTACTTCTTGCAGTTCCATTTTCATTTTTTTTTTGGAGTACGGTGGCACAATCATAGCTCACTGCAACCTTGACCTCCCAGGCTTAAGCGATCCTCCCGCCTCAGTCCCCTGAGTAGCTGGGACTACCAGCGTGTGCCACCACGCCTGCCTAATTTTTGTATTTTTAGTAGAGACAGGGTTTCACATTTTGTTGGCCATGTCTCAAACTCCTGGACTCAAGGGATCCACCCACTGTGGCCTCCCAGAGTGCTAGGACTGCAGGCGTGAGCACCACGCCTGGCCACAGCGCCATTTCTTGAGGTAGTGGCTGCTTTGACTTCCAAGCATTTTTGAGAACCCACAGTTGGTTTACTTTTGTTTTTTGTTTTTTTTTTTGAGACAGAGTCTCACTCTTGTTGCCGAGGCTGGAGTGCAATGGTGTGATCTTGGCTCACTGCAACCTCCGCCTCCCTCGTTCAAGTGATTCTTCTGCCTCATCCTCCTGAGTAGCTGGGACTGCAGGTGCCCGCCACCACACCTGGCTAATTTTTGTATTTTTAGTAGAGACGTGGTTTCACCATGTTGGCCAGGATGGTCTCGATCTCCTGACCTCACGATCCACCCACCTCGGCCTCCCAAAGTGCTGGGATTACAGGCGTGAGCCACCACGCCCACCGGTTTACTATTTTGAATGGAGTTTGAGCCACGTATTTGCTATGTTCCTGAAAACTCTGTTCTTGTTCTAGTGTGAATGAATAAGATGATGTACAATTGGCTCTTCCTTTCTCAGGATGAAGATGTGAATTACTGTATTTTAAAGAAACAGTCTGTCTCTGTCACCCTTTTAATCCTAGACATCTCCAGAAGTGAGTAAGTAATTCTAAAGTTCCTTCAGTTCAGTCCTAGAGTAGAGTCGGGGAGAATTTAGTAGTATGCTAACATTCCTTGGGTGTCTGCCATGTGCCAGAGACCGTGCTGAGTGCTGGAGATTCAAGACAAGGCTAGGGAGACAGAGGTCCTGTCCTTGATGGGAGAGACAGAACGGAAATACACATGATCACCGCCAAACAGAGAAGTGGAAGGGAAGAACTCATGAATTGTAGAAAGGAAGGAGAGGCTTCAGATAAGTGTTGGCCCAAGCAGCTTTCTAGTGAGTAGCCTTTTACCAGATGAATAAGTAAAGCATTCCAGGCAGAGGGCATAGTCTATGCAAAGGCAGAGTGGAAACAAGACTGGGTCCACGTAATGGCTTCTGCCACTCACCAGCCCTGTGACTCCGGGCCTCAGTGTCCTTACCTACTTCGTGATGATGGTATCTGCCTCATGAGATTGTTGGTGAGGATTTCTGACAATTCAGCCTCTTTGAAAATGTTGAGGCCGGGCATGGTGGCTCATGCCTGTAATCCCAGCCCTTTGGGAGGCCGAGGCGGACGGATCACGAGGTCAGGAGATTGAGACCATCCTGGCTAAAACAGTGAAACCCCGTCTCTACTAAAAATACAAAAAATTAGCCGGGCGTGGTGGTGGGCGCCTGTAGTCCCAGCTATTCGGGAGGCTGAGACAGGAGAATGGTGTGAACCCAGGAGGCGGAGCTTGCGGTGAGCCGAGATCGCGCCACTGCACTCCAGCCTGGGTGAGAGAGTGAGACTCCGTCTCAAAAAAAAAAAAAAAATGTTGAACTTTGATGAATTATCAGACTTTGTGTTTTCAAGTTCAGCATACTTCCAACTGCGTACTTTGTAATTGCTGAGGGAGCCTTTAAGGTAGGAATCATGTGCTCAGACTTGCCTGTAAGGTAGACTCCTAGCAGCCCAGAAGAGGATGGATTTGAGATGAACAAGACTGGAGGTAAGAAGACTAATGAATAAGCTTCTAAAAAAAAAATGCTTTGTCATAAAACCATTGTAGACCCTAACTTTTAAAATATTCTCCGTGATAACCTCTGTTTTCATTTAAGAAGATTGATCTGACAGTCTCCTGTATTGGTCAGTCTACTTTTGGAAGCAAGCAACAAAAGACTTGACTTAGACTCTGGCGTGAATAGTGAAGACATTGATTACCTCACCTATGTGCAGTGGGGCAGGCGAGAGACAGGCCTGCGGTGGCTTGCTGATGTTAGGGACTCTGGTGCATTTCATCTTTCTGCTCTGCCATCCTGAGTGTTAGCTTCTTCCTCAGGCAGGTTTCCCAGCCATCACAAGGTGGCTCTGCTCCATCATTCATATCCAGCCAAGGGACAGAGAGCAGGCTCCTCCTCCAGGTAGAATGAGAAGTGCTTGAATGTGCCAGCTTAGGTTGGGCATCCACTCAGTCATGGGAACTGTCACTGGCCCCTCCTGGGTGGGATGGGGTAAACAAAATTGGGTCTCATGAGAAGGGGGAAGGGTGGAAATGGATATTAGGAGGCAACTAACAGTGCCACTGCCCTCTCGTGCTTCCCTGGATTTCACTTGCTTTCTTTATTTTTTGAGACGGGGTCTCGCTCTGTGGCCCAGGCTGGAGTGCAGTGGCACGATCTTGGCTCATTGCATCCTCCACCTCCCAGGTTCAAGCGATTCTCCTGCCTTAGCCTCCCAAGTAGCTGGGATTACAGGTGCATGCCAACACACCCGGCCAGTTTTTTTTTGTAATTTTAGTAGAGACAGGGTTTTGCCATGTTGGCCAGGCTGTTCCTGAATTCCTGACCTCAAGTGATCCACCCGCCTCAGCCTCCCAAAGTGCTGAGATTACAGGCGTGAGCCACCATGCCTGGCCTGGATTTCACTTTAAAGTCTTACTGATGTTTTACATTTTGTCCGTTTCTCTTGTGCACCAATTTGCTGAGCATTTTAACGATACTTAAGGAGAAAGATGTACCTCAGAATTGTGTGGTTACTAAGATCTTAGGCTTAAGAGAGACTACCTGGATCCTCGTCCAACTACTTCCTAGCTTGGTGCCCTTGGGCAAGTTATTTAACGTTTCTGAGCCTCAGTTTTGGTATCTGTAGAATGTGGATAATAGAATCTACATTGTAGAACATGATAAGGACTGCATGAGCTTGGCACAGGGCCTACACGCAGCGTGCTCAGTGGCCAGGAGCACTGCTTTGACCTTTTTTCCTTCTGTCTTATTTGAATGTAGGGTAAGAGTAAAGTCTCCACCAGAAGCTGGTACCCAGTTACCAAAGATCATCTTCAGCAGGGATGAGAAAGTCCTTGGTCAGAGCCAGGAGCCTAATGTTAACCCTGCTTCAGCAGGCAACCAGACCCAGAAGACACAAGGTAAACCGTAAGGTGGAAACTGGCTTTCAGTTTTCACTACCTGCTTTGTAGCTTTTTTGTTCCTAATTAAAAGTAAAAGTAAAACATGATCTGTTGTCGTCTTAGCATTATATTTTGGAAGTTACACAAAAATACGTAAATGTTAAAGAAAAATGTGGAAAATCTGAAGCAGATGGAAAAACAACAGTCATTTCTCCTTATTCCCAGTGTTAGAATTTTAGTAATTTATGTTTTCTTATAAGCTTGTTTCATAAGTCTAGAACATTTGATTTTTAAAATTCAGTCATGCTTATAATTTTATATACATGCCTGATTACTTTTTAGCCCATTTCATACCTATCATATATCCTGTTAAGCAGATACTGTAATTTGCTCAACCTTTCCCCTTAAGGAGACACATTTCCATTTTTGTGTGATTATGAATATTGCTGCAGTGGACTTCTTTATGCATAGAACTGTCTTCGTATAGCGAACGTTCTTTAAGATGGTTTTCAGAATTGCAATTTCTGGTTCAAAGGATATGAATGCATTTGAGAATATTGATGTATATTTTTAAATTCCTTTCCAAATGAGTTGTGTGGATTTATATTCTTATCAGAAATATGTAGGAATAGTGGGCACATTATCATGTCCTAGCCAATATGGGGTATTTTCTTTTCAAAAAACAAAATCCTAAAATGAAAGGCAAAAAAGGTATTCCTGTTTATTTATTTATTTATTTATTTATTTATTTATTTTTTGAGACGGAGTCTCGCTCTGTCGCCCAGGCTGGAGTACAGTGGCGCAATCTCGGCTCACTGCAAGCTCCGCCTCCCGGGTTCACGCCATTCTCCTGCCTCAGCCTCCCAAGTAGCTGGGACTACAGGCGCCCGCCACCATGCCCGGCTAATTTTTTGTATTTTTAGTAGAGACAGGGTTTCACGGTGTTAGCTAGGATGGTCTCGATCTCCCGACCTCGTGATCCGCCCGCCTCGGCCTCCCAAAGTGCTGGGATTACAGGCGTGAGCCACTGCGCCCGGCCCTGTTTATTTATATTTACTCTTATTACTGAGACTGTACTTTTTCTCCATGTGTTGATTAACCAATTTATATTCACCATTTTTTATTAACTGTCAGGTTCATCTGATGATTCATGTGAGTTCTTTAAAGATAATTTATGGCCAGGTGCAGTGGCTCACGCCTATAATCCCAGCACTTTGGGAGGCCAAAGTGGGAGGATCACTTGAGTCTAGGAGCTTGTACCAGCCTGAGCAACATAGCGAGGCCCTGTCTCTGCAAAAATAAAAATAAAAAAATTAGCCATGCGTAGTGGCATGTGCCTGTAGTCACAACTCCTCAAGAGACTGAGGCAGGAGGATTGCTTGAATGTGACTGGTCTAGGCCACATTGAGCCGTGATGCACTGCAGCCTGGATGACAGAACAAGACCCTGTCTCCGAAATAAATACATACATACTTACTGCTTATACAATGTTTTTCTCAAAGGAGGCTGGGCATGGTGGTTCATCCCTGTAATCCCAGCACTTTGAGAGGCCAAGGCGGGCAGATTACTTGAGGTCAGGAGTTCAAGACCAGCCTGGCCAACATGGTGAAACCCCATCTCTACTAAAAATACAAAAATTAGGCCGGGTGTGGTGGCTCACGCCTGTAATCCCAGCACTTTGGGAAGCCGAGGTGGGCAGATCACAAGGTCAAGAGATTGAGACCATCCTGGCCAACATGGTGAAACCCCGTCTCTACTAAAAATACAAAAAATTAGCCGGGCATGGTGGCACGTGCCTGTGATCTCAGCTACTCAGGAGACTGAGGCAGGAGAATTGCTTGGACCAGGGAGATGGAGTTCGCAGTGAGCCAAGATCGCACCACTGCACTCCAGCCTGGCGACAGAGTGAGACTCTGTCTCAAAAAAAAAAAAACAAAAAACAAAAAACACAAAAATTAGCCGGATGTGGTGGCATGCGCCTGTAGTCCCAACTGTTGGGGAGGCTGAGGCAAAAGAATTTCTTGAACCCAGGAGACAGAGGCTGCAGTGAGCCGAGATTGCGCCACTGCACTCCAGCCTGGGTGACAGAGTGAGAGCCTGTCTCAAAACCAACCACCACCACCGAAAAACAACAACAACAACAAAAAAAGAAGAGGTTTAATTGTCTAATTGCCTCACAGTTCTGCAGGCTATACAAAGCATGGCGCCGGAATCTACTCCTGGTGAGGGCCTCAGGAAGCTTCCAATCATGGCAGAAGGCAAGAAGGAGCAGGCAGGTCACATGGCGAGAGCAGGAGCAAGAGAGAGTGGGGAGGTGCCACACTCTTTTAAACAACCAGATCATGCCTGAACTCGGAGCAAGAACTCACTCCTTACCACAAGGAGGGCACCAGCCATTCATGAGGGATATGTCCTCATGACTCAGATACCTCACACTAGCCCTCACATCCAACACTGGGGACTGCCTTTCCACATGAGATTTGGAGGGGACAGACATCTAAACTATGTCGTTCAGTCTGTCCAACTTGACTGCAGTTAAAAGCCACACAGAAAGACTGCATTTGTGCAATGGTGTAGGTTAATGCCTGTGCACCATCTGCTTCTTGTCTGGCTTCTTTGTGCTCATATCACCGTTCTCTGGGAAGAAAATATTCTTTTCTTTCTCTTTATTCTCTTCCTTCCTGCAGGGAGCCTGAAGTCCAGTCTTTCCCAAAAAGAATATCTTTTTTTTTTTTTTTTTTTTTTTTAGACGGAGTCTTGCTCTGTCTCCCAGGCTGGAGTGCAGTGGCGCGATCTCGGCTCACTGCAAGCTCCACCTCCCAGGTTCACGCCATTCTCCTGCCTCAGCCTCCCGAGTAACTGGGACTATAGGCACCTGCCACCACGTGGCTAATTTTTTTGTATTTTTTAGTAGAGACGGGGTTTCACCATGTTAGCCAGGATGGTCTCAATCTCCTGACCTCATGATCCGCCCATCTCAGCCTCCCAAAGTGCTGGGATTATAGGCATGAGCCACCGCACCCAGCCCAAGAATATCTTAAGTGAAAACAAAAGATAGATGCCCACTCTGTTCCATGAAAGAAGCCATTAGCAATCTTCTTGCTGTAGGGAGGAAAGTATCATTATGCTAATATTACTTGCTGTTAACTTTTTCAAGTGTGTAAATGTATCTCATGTTTTTCTTTTTGAGATGGAGTCTCGCTCTGTCACCCAGGCTGGAGTGCAGTGGTATGATCTCAGCTCACTGCAGCCTACACCTTTTGGGTTCAAGGGATTCTCCTGTGTCAGCCTCCCGAGTAGCTGGGATTACAGGCATGCACCACCATGCCCGACTAATTTTTGTATTTTTAGTAGAGATGGGGGTTCGCCAGGTTGGCCAGGCTGGTCTCAAACTCCTGACCTCAGGTGATCCACCTGCCTCAGCCTCCCAAAGTGTTGGGATTGCAGGCATGAGCCACCGCACCTGGCCTTCTTCTTAAAAATTGTGTTTTCAAATGTGATTACTTAGAAAATTAGGAAGTCATTCCATGTGGCCTCTCTGGCAATAACATAAGCTAGAATATCCAGAAATGAATTCTGTTGTTACTATTACCGGTTACTAGATACCATTTATAATATAACAAGGTCTAATTTGCTGCTTCGACAGTACAAGAATTATGTTTTGGGACCTGAGGAAATGGCAGTCCCCAAGATTATTTTGTTTAATTATTTGATATTAGACAAGCTGAAGCCTCATAAAATGATACTGTAATATATATATGTATCTGTAAGTTGAGTCATGCAGCACTCTCTTTTAAATGTTCTTGCTTCTAGATGGTGGAAAGTCTAAAAGAAGTACAGTGGATTCAAAGGTAAGAACTAACCACCCTTTTGTGCTCAGCTTTTCTGGATATGTGTGTACGTGTGTGTGTTATATGCATGTGTGTGTGTGTATTGATATATATACATACATGCATGCACAGACACATACATATACAGTCGTCCCTTGGTGACCACAGGGGATTGGTTACAGGAACCCTAGTGAATATCAAAATCAGTAGATGCTCATGTCTCTTATATAAAATGGCATAGTATTTACACATAACCTACACACATCCTCCTGTGTACTTTAAATCATCTCTGGAGTACTCATGATACCTAATACAACGTAAATGCTTTGTAAATAGTTGTTACACTGTGTTGGATTTTTATTTATGTTATTTATTACTATTACTTTTTCATCTTATTTTAAAAAATATTTTTGGTTGGCAGTTGGTTCAATCTGCAGATGTGGAACCTGCAATACAGAGAGCTAACATATATATATATATATATATATGTACACACATACATACATACACACACACGCATATCTCATCTACAGGGGGCCAGATGTGGTGGTTCATGCCGTAATCCCAGCACTTTGGGAGGTTGAGGTTGGGGGATCACTTGAGATCAGGAGTTCGAGACCAGCCTGGCCAACATAGTGAAACTCTGTCTCTACTAAAAATACAAAAATTAGCTGGGCTTGGTGGTGCATGCTTGTAATCCCAGCTACTTGGGAGGCTGAGGCAGGAGAATCACTTGAACCTGGGAGGCAGAGGCTTCAGTGAGCCAAGATCGCGCTACTGCACTCCAGCCTGGGTGACAGAGTGAGACTATCTCAAAAAAAGTTAAAAAAAAAAAAAAATCTACAGGGAATTGTCTCCTATTTTGGGGGAGAGCATTGACATACTGAAACAATTTCAAAGGACAATTGATTCCTGGCTGGGCATGGTGGCTTGCGCCTGTAATCCCAGCACTGTGGGAGGCTGAGGTGGGTGGATTAATTGAGCCCAGGAGTTCAAGACCAGCCTGGGCTACATGGCGAAACCTTATCTCTACAAAAAATAGAAAATTAGCGGGCATGGTGGTATGCGCCTGTGGTCGCAGCTGTTCTGGAGGCTGAGGTGGAAGGATCACCTGAGCCTGGGAGGCTAAGGCTACAGTGAGCTATGATTGTGCCACTTCACTCTAGCCTGGGTGACAGAGTGAGACCCTGTCTCAAAAAAAAAAAAAAGGAAAAGAAAATTGATTTCTAAGTTGCACAGCACTTACATGATGTAGGATCAGGTAGTTAGGGAAGGAAGATGCCAAACCATCAGAAAAGCCCTCTGGAAGGAGCTGTCGCCGGGGCTGAGTCTGGAGTTTGTTCAGGGAAGAGAAAGACAAGGGAGGGGAGGAAGAATGCCATACGCAAAGACTGGATGATGACAAATGCTGAGCACTGGCTCGTTTGAAGTAAAAGACACATATTTGGGAGCAGAGAGAGGTCTTAGATAATATAGGGCCAAGCAATAGAGGAATTGATGAGCAGGCTACGGGAAGTCATCCTGAGTTCCTGATTGGGAAAGACTGTTTATTAAAGATCATAATTCTGAAAGTGACGTGAAGGGTAGCCTTGGAGAAGGAGAAAGGGTTGTTAGAAGGACCAGGAAGGACACAGTTGTGAGAATACAGGTTTCGGGTGATGAGGATCTGGACTAGAGCAGAGCCTTGGATGGTAAACGACTGGGAAGCCAGTTAGGGTCATGGGAGGGAAAGAGAGGAGCAGAGGAGTGGGTCGTAGAAATAGCAGAAGTGGAAAAACTGGGAAAGTTTTGGTTGGCGATATCTTGATTTCTCCATGAGGGGGACATCTAAATGGTGATGTTTTGTCTTAACAGCTTTGTTGAAGTATAATTGACCTAAAATAAACTGTAGATATGTAAAGCAGCAATCTGATAACTTTGACTTATCAATCAAGGTAGTGAAATATCCATCACCCCAAAAATTTCTTCTGCCTTTTTGTAAGCCCCCTGTCCCCAAGCAATCACTGATCTGTCACTGGGGTATAGATTAGTTTTATAGAACTTCATATAACTGAATTATGCAGCACTCTTTTCTGTCTTATATTCAGCATAATTACTTTGAGTTCATCCACATTGTTGCATGTATCATTTCTTTTCATTGCTCAGTTTTACTGTATAAATGGCAATATTTTGATTTTTTTTTTTTTTTTTGCCGGGGGGAACGCAGTCTTGCTCTACCACCCAGGCTGGAGTGCAGTGGCACGATCTCAACCTCCACCTCCCAGGTTCAAGCAGTTCTCCTGCCTCAGCCTCCGGAGTAGCTGGGATTATAGACACGCACCACCACGCCTGGCTGATTTTTGTATTTTTAGTAGAGATGGGGTTTCACCTTGTTGGCCAGGCTGGTCTTGAACTCCTGACCTCAAGTGATCTGCCCACCTTGGCCTCCCAATATGTTGGGATTACAGGCGTGAGCCACTGTGCCTGGCCAATATTTTGGTCATTTGATGTCAGGAGTGGAATTCAGGGGATGTAACAGGGCATGGCCTGGGTCAGCACCCTTAGTCTGACTGAAGCTTCAAGGGTAGACAAGCTGTCTAGCCGAAAGATTCAAGGCAGGGGGTGGAGGTAGGGGTTAGTGCAGAGGCAGAAGAGACAGGTGAAGAACAACTACCATTCTCTGTGAAAGCAGATTTCAGCCATCTCGAAAGGATAGTTGGTTTTATTTTCAGAGAGCTTTTTTGAAGGTCAGCAAATTTAGAGTTTAAGAAACATGTTTTGTTTTGTTTAATAAATTACTTTTAATTAGCATGCTTCTATGCCGGTGTCATCCTAAAACATACTATTATGTCTTTTTAGGCCATGGGAGAGAAATCCTTTTCTGTTCATAATAATGGTGGGGCAGTGTCATTTCAGGTATGTATGCTCTTTGTGTAAAGCCTCCTAGAATTTCTCTCTACCATGTAAAAGGGTAATTTTTTTTTAGAGGAATTTTGAATTTAGGAATAACAACTTAGGTATGCCCTGTATCAGTCACTTAAATGCAGTAGCTCTCCTTATAACAAGCCCACAAGGTGGATATTGTTACCCATCTACTTATCAAATCAGAAGTCTCTGAGAGTGAATAACTTTGTGACTATCTAGTGTAGGTGACACGGTACAGTTTCCAACCCAGTCCTGCCTGGCTGTTCCCATGACCCCTTTGCCCCAATCCCATGCTACCTCCCATTCAAAGTGTGCCAGAAGCATAGTACCCCATTCTGAAAGGACCATTGATGATGATTTACGGTGATGTTGTAATTTTAGAGATGATTTCACCTAGACTCAGAGGCTTTGAGTGACCTGCTTAGCTGTCAGAGTTATTAATTGCCCATGAGTGTTTAGGGGCAGCATAATAGCATACGTATGGGAACAAGATACTGGACTGGGCCTCAGAACCCACTTACTAGCTGGGTGTATTGGACACCTCACTTCATTTCTTTTTGTTTTGTTTTTGAGACAAGGTCTCACTCTGTTGCCCAGGCTGGAGTGCAATGGTATAATCACGGCTCACTGCAGCCTCAACCTCCTAGGCTCAAGTGATCCTCCTGCCTCAGCCTCCCAAGTAGTTGAGACTACAGGCATAGACCACCATACCTGGCTAATTTTTAAATTTTTTGTAGAGATGAGGTCTTGCTCTGTTGCCCAGGCTGGTCTTGAACTCCTGGGATCAAGCAGTCCTCTTACCTGGGCCTCCCAAAGTGCCGAGATTACAGATGTGAGCCACCTTGCCTGGTCTCACTTACTTTCTGAACCTCACTGTTTAATCATCTAAAAATAAAAAATGGCAGGGCGTGGTGGCTCACGCCTGTTATCCCAGCACTTTGGAAGGCTGAGGTAGGCGGATTGCTTGAGCCCAGGAGTTTTGAGACCAGCCTGGGCAACATGGTGAAACATCTCTACAAAAAATACAAAAATTAGCCAGGCATGGTGGTAGATGCTTACAGTCCCAGCTACTAGGGAGGCTAAGGTGGGAGGATCACTTGAGCCCAGGAGTTCAAGACTATCCTGGGAAATGTGGTGAAACTTCATCTCTTAAAAAAAATTACAAAAAGTAGCCAGGTGTGATGGCATGTGCCTCTAGTCCCAGCTACTAGGGAGGCTGAGGCAGGAGGATTACTTGAGCCTGGGGGGTCAAGGTTCACACAGTGAACCTCGATCATGCCACTGCACTGCAGCCTGGGTGACAGAGTGAGACCCTGTCTCAAAAAAAAAAAAAAAAAAAAGCCTACAGTGAAATGCACAGGTCGTGTCTTAAGTATACGGTTTGTTCAGTACTGACAAATGCATATATACCCATGTAATTCACTGTCTCAATATTTCTGTGTTTCCATCTTCTGCGAAAGCCCCTCTATCCCCATAAGCACTGTTCTGATTTCTTTTTCCATGGATCATTTTGCCTGTTCAACAATGTTTGTATGTTCTTTAAGCTTAGTAACCATCATTTTCGTCGCCATCCTTATTAATAGCTAACGGTTATTGAGAACTTGCAGGGTGCTCATTTGCTCAGAACCCTCCAACAGCTTTCCATCTGTCTTGGAGTAAAGCCCAGGTCTTCCCACTGGTCTGCAAGGCCCATGTGGTCTAGCCCCTGTTGTCTCTCTGATCTCAGCTCCTGTTGTTCACACTCTGCTCTCCCACACAAGCCGCCTTGCTTTTTCTCGGACAGATCAGGCTTTAGGCTCTGCTCTCGCTGTTCCCACAGGCAGGAATGCTGTCTCTCAGAATTCCGTAAGTCTTTGCTGAAATGTCACCTTCTCAACAAAGCTTCTCTTGTTTGTAGCTCACTCCTATTTCCCTCATTGTGCTCTGTCTTTCCTTAGTATTATCACTTCCAACATGCTGTATACTGTACTTAGTTATGTTTATTGCCTGTCTCCCCCTCTACAGAAGATACCTTAAGGGCAGGGGTTTTCTGTCTCTTATTATTGATGTATATGAAACTCCTGATCTTGGCCTTGGGCCTATATTTATAGAGACTAATGAACCAATACCAGGCATTGTGCTAAGTGCTTCTATGTCATTATCTCAGTTAATCCTCTAAACAACTCTGTGAAGTCGGTATTGTTATTTTTTCTCTTTTACCAATGAGAAACTGTGCTCAGAGAGGTAATGTAACCTGCCCTAAGCAGGGGATTCAGATCCACGTTTGTTTGACTCCAAGGCCCATGTGTTTAACCACTTTGCCTTTTACTGCCTCCTTGAGAAAATACAAAAGGCACTTTTCTCTCTTCCTTCTCTCACTTTAAAATGCTTGTTAATAAAATGAGTTTTTAAAATGTTTTTCAGGCCAGGCATGGTGGCTCACACCTGTAATCCCAGCACTTTGGGATCACAAGGTTAGGAGTTTGAGACCAGCCTGGCAAACATAGTGAAACCCCGTCTCTACTAAAAAAATAAATAAATAAATACAAAAAATTAGCTGGGTGTGGTGGTGGTGGGCGCCTGTAATCCCAGCTACTTGGGAAGCTGAGACAGGAGAATTGCTTGAACCCGGGAGGCTGAGGTTGCAATGAGCCGAGATCACGCCACTGCACTCCAGCTCGGGCGACAGTCTGAGACTCCATCTCAAAAAAAAAAAAGTTTTTCAAATGCTTCCCTCTTTTTTAATCACAAAGGAAAGTGTTACAGGATGCACACGTGTCAGGCACCAGTACTTTGTGTCAGGCGAACATCCAGGCACAGCAGTCTGCATGGTGATTAGCAGCACGTGCTGAAACAGCCCATCCGCAGGGTTCTTGGGATGCGTGGAGCAGGCAGTGCATGGGTAGCTTGCGTTTCTCTGGCTTTCCCCCACCTTGGAAAGAAGTCGTCATGATTTCTCGCTGTTCTACCCAGTGTCTCCCAGTCTTGGATGGTGCAGTCCACTCTGAGCGCTTCTGCTTCATTCATGGCGTGGGGATAGTGGTTTATCTACCTAAATACAGGAAGGGGACTGTCAGGGCTTACTCCAACTCTAGAGTTGACATTTTTGTTTTGTTTTTTTCTCTAAGGGTCAGATGCCTACTCTGATCAACTATGATGATTCTATTGATTTTTTAAAAAAAATTATATCTTTTAAACTTTCATATCTTTTTTAGACTTCCCCTGAATCTTTTAAAATAGAAGTTGTCCATGTGTTTAGAAAAGTTTTCTTATTCTGGCTAGCTCAGGGGATTAAAATACACATTCACATTCACCATTGAGTTTGGCACATGGTTTAACATATTAATCATTCCAGCTCATGTGTTCTTGGTCTTTTATTTTTATTTTTGTCAGATGTCTATTTTTCCCCGTTTTTTTAAATTGTGAGGTACAGTATACATGCAGAAGAGTGTGAAGCACTTATATTGAGTTTTAACAAGTAACTATGAACAGTCACCTTTATGATCCACCACCCAGGACAAGAAATAGAACAGTTCCAGCACCTGAGAAACCTTGTGTCTCCCTCGCAGTCCTTCCCAACTCTAGAGCAACCCGTCATGAAAAATGCTACCGTAGTCACTTCCTAGCTTTTCTTTGTAGTTTAATAGGTATATATATGTAGCCCTAAAAATGTATTTCAGGGAGATTTCTTTTTATTGGTAGAACTTATGGCTGAAGTAAAATTTTCTTAGGCTTGACCAAGAAGTCATATTCTCTAAGTCTGTCTGTCTTTTGGTTTACATTAAACTTCATTTAAACTCATGAAATGTATGAAAAACAGAAAACTGTCTAAATGTAGAAAATGTAGCCTTTATTATTCTTCTCTAAAACCATAGTTGTAAATTTTGATGAGGAAATATTGATTGGTTTTCAAGTATAAGATGAGCCTCCTTTTTAAAGAGTATTTTATACCTATAAAGAGCAAAATAATACGTTAGCTTGAAGACTAGATAACCACATCTTAGGTTATCTTTGAAGACTTCCACAAAGCCATCACAAATGGCTAGATCTGTGATAAAACAGGCATAGTAAAATGTTCACTGTAGAAGTGAGGTTGTGGCTATGTATCTTTCACTATACAATTGTCAGCTGTTCTGTATGCTTGAAAATTGTTGTAACAAAATATCGGAAGGGAATCATAGAATAAGAAGATATCTCTTTAAACTCTGCCGTGGGAGAGTCGATAATTTAAGCAGTCTGTCTTTATTTCCTTCAATCCATTAATATTCATAACTTATTTCTAAGGTTTAGAAATATAGCTGAGTAGAATTTGAACAAAAAAGTAAACAATACTTTAAAAGAAAAAATAAAAGAAAAAATATATATCGCTGAGGATTTGGGTACCTTTAAATGTTTTCTTCTTCACTTTCAGTTTTTCTTTAACATCAGCACTGATGACCAAGAAGGCCTTTACAGTCTTTATTTTCATAAATGCCTTGGAAAAGAATTGCCAAGTGACAAGTTTACATTCAGCCTTGATGTGAGTACTGTTTGGAGATTGTTCTACGTGGATTTTGTCAGCATAAAACGGGAGATTTGTTTCTGTATAAGATTAGATTTTAAGAATACTTAAGAAAAGAATGTGGGCAGACACACATTCCTGCCACTGTGCAGGATACTTCAGCAGAGGATTCATAGGAAAATACAAAGCAATTTAGGATGTGTCTGCACTTTAACCTGTGCGTTAAGAATGTGGTTGTTTTGGCTGGGCATGGTGGCTCATGCCTGTAACCCCAGCACTTTGGGAGGCTGAGGTGGGCAGATCACCTGAGTCCAAGAGTTTGAGACCAGTGTGGGCAATATGGCAAAACCCTCTCTCTACAAAAAATGTGAAAAATTAGCCAGGCGTGGTGGTACACACCTCTAGTCCCGGCTACTCAGGTGGGAGGATTTCTTGAGCCCAGGAGGCAGAGGTTACAGTAAACCGAGATTGCATCACTGCACTCCAGCCTGGGCAAAAGGGTGAGACCCTGTCTCAAATTAAAAAAAAAAAGTGGTTGTGTGGTTATTTGCTGGTACTCACTTTTTTTTTTTTTTTTTTTGAGATGGAGTTTCATTCTTGTTGCCCAGGCTGGAGTGCAATGGCATGATCTTGCCTCACCGCAACCTCCATCTCCTGGGTTCAAGTGATTCTCCTTCCTCAGCCTCCTGAGTAGCTGGGATTACAGGCGCCTTTCACAATGCCTGGCTAATTTTTTTTTTTTTTTTTCCAGACGGAGTCTTGCTCTGTCACTCAGGTTGGAGTGCAGTGGTGCAATCTTGGCTCACTGCAACCTCTGCCTCCTGGGTTCAAGTGATTGTCCTTCCTCAGCCTCCCAAGTAGCTGGGATTACAAGGGTGCGCCACCACACCTGGCTAATTTTTGTGTTTTTCGTAGAGACAGGGTTTCACCATGTTGGCCAGGCTGGTCTTGAACTCCTAACCTTGTGATCCACCTACCTCGGCCTCCCAAAGTGCTGGGATTACAGGCGTGAGCCACTGTGCCTGGCCCTAATTTTTTTTGTGTTTTTAGTAGAGACGGGGTTTCACCATGTTGGCCAGGCTGGTGTTGAACTCCTGATCTCAGGTGATCGTGATCCACCCGCCTCAGCCTCCCAAAGTGCTGAGATTACAGGTGTGAGCCACCATGCCCAGCCACTGGTACTTACTTTCTTAAGCTTAAGTGAAACAACTGAGATTCCAAATTGCTGAATAAGGGATGATATGTTTCTGAAAAGTAAAAATTAATTTCATGCTGGTTTCAGATTGAGATCACAGAGAAGAATCCTGACAGCTACCTCTCAGCAGGAGAAATTCCTCTCCCCAAATTATACATCTCAATGGCCTTTTTCTTCTTTCTTTCTGGGACCATCTGGATTCATATCCTTCGAAAACGACGGTAAACTATTTCTCCCTTCAACTTAAGAGTGTGTTGAGATTTGAATAATGTCACTGTTTGTTGGCTCCTGAACCTGGAGGCAGTTGTCACTTAGCAGTGTTGTTCCTTTCAAAGGGCATCTTCCCGGAAACAGTATGAAGATTGTGCGGGAGCATTATGGTGTGGGAGCCCTTTGCATGCCTTGGTGTCTGTTCACTTCCTGTTGTTTTGTTTAAAAAGCAAATCTAAATTATTATAATTTTTTTTTTTTTTGAGACATAGTCTCACTCTGTATCCCAGGCTGGAGTGCAGTGGCGTGATCTCAGCTCGCTGCAAGCTCCGCCTCCTGTGTTCATGCCAGTCTTCCACCTAAGCCTCCCAAGTAGCTGGGACTACAGGCGCCCGCCACCACGCCCGCCTAATTTTGTTTTTGTATTTTTAGTGGTGATGGGGTTTCACCGTGTTAGCCAGGATGGTCTTGATCTCCTGACCTCATGATCTGCCCACATGGGCCTCCCAAAGTGCTGGGATTACAGGCATGAGCCACCGTGCCTGGCCCTAAATATTTTTAATGGTATGCAAGCAAAATAGACTGTATAAGCTAAGTGTTTCCATGGTGGAGATCCCACAGTCCAGGACTGAGAGTAAACACATGGGTCTCATTCAGGGGCTGTTGCTTCTGGAGAGGAAGTTAGTGACGATGAGCACTGCCTGGCGAGAGCATGGAGTTACTGCTTAGAACTGAAGGTCTTGGCTCAAAGCTGCACTGGGATAGATTCTCTGCATTGACTTCCAGATACTTGTCACTGGACAAAACCTCTTCAAAGCCCATCTGCCTGGCTTTTAGCCTTTTTTTTCTGAAACCCCCGAGGCTTTAACTTCCTGTACTTGGTTCTTGAGGGGAGCAGCTGCATATGCGTGAATTCTTTCTCCCTCCAAGAAAATTGAAAACAAAATATTAATATTCATTTAGAGAATCGTGTAAAGTATTTATTATAAGGCTCATAAACTGAGTAAATGATAGTATGCGAATATGCTATTATAATATGGATTGATTTAAATTCATAGAATAATTAAGCACCCTGAAATACCTCTTTCTCTGGAGCATTGGGGTGGAAATTGAGACTTTTTAAGTCCTTGGTAGCTTGATTGTCTTCTAATGAACATGCTCGGAGTCTGGTATATTAGACTCTGGCTGGGTTCAGTTGCTGGTACCTATTTGTTGTGATATCCTGTACACCCACCAGATAGAAAGAGTTTCTTGTTTACTTGGGAAGGAGCTACATAATCATGTTTGGACTAGATTTTCAAGCAGCAATTACTAAGAAAAATCCTATGGGCGAGGTGTGGTGGCTCACACCTGTAATCCCAGTGCTTTGGGAAGCCAAGGCAGGAGGATCACTTGAGTCTGTGAGTTTGAGACCAGCTTGGGCAACATAGCAAGACCCCCATTTCTTTTTTTTTTTCAAGATGGATTCTCACTCTCTCCCCTAGCCCCCAGGCTGGAGTGCAGTGCCTAATCTCTACTCACTGCAACCTCCACCTCTGGGTTCAAGCGATTCTGGTGCTTCAGCCTCTGAAGTAGGTGGGATTACAGGCATGTGCCAACATACCCAGCTGATTTTTATATTTTTAGTAGAGACGGGCTTTCACCATGTTGGCCAGGCTGGTCTTGAACTGCTGACCTCGGGTAATTTACCTGGCTCAGCTTCCCAAAGTGCTGGGATTACAGGCGTGAGCCACCACACCTGGCCCAGCAAGACTCCATTTCTACAAACAAATTTAAAAATTATCCAGTTGTGGGCTGGGCGCGGTGGTACACGCCTGTAATCCTAGCACTTTGGGAGGCCGAGGTGGGCGGATCATGAGGTCAGGAGATCGAGACCATCCTGGCTAACACGGTGAAACCCCATCTCTACTAAAAATACAAAAAATTAGCTGGGCGTGGTGGCAGGTGCCTATAGTCCCAGCTACTCAGGAGGCTGAAGCAGGAGAATGGCGTGAACCTGGGAGGTGGAGCTTGCAGTGAGCTGAGATTGTGCCACTGCACAAAATTAAAAAAAAAATCCAGTTGTGGTGGTGCACACCTGTAGTGCTCACTACTTGGGAGGCTGAGGTGGGAGGATTGCTTGAGCCCAAGGGTTCGAGGCTGTAGTGAACTATGTTTGTGCCACTGCATTCCAGCTTGGGACACAGAGTAAGACTCTGTCTCTAAGAAAGAAAGAGAAAGAGGCAGATGGAAGGAGGGAAGGTTATAAAAATTTAGGCCATTAAAGTTTTTGGGTGGGTTTTTTTATTTTGTTTTGTTTTGTTTGTTTTTGTTTTTTTTTGTTTTTTTGAGACACAGTCTCGCTCTGTCGCCCAGGCTGGAGTGCAGTGGTGAGATTTCAGCTCACCGCAACCTCTGTCCCCCAGGTTCAAGCGATTCTCTTGCCTCAGCCTCCCGAGTAACTGGGATTACAGGTGCCTGCCACCATGCCTGGCGAATTTTTGCATTTTTAGTAGAGACTGGCTTTTGCCATGTTGGCCAGGCTGGTCTTGAACTCCTGACCTCAGGTGATCCACCTGCCTTGGCCTCCCAAAGTGCTGGGATTACAGGCGTGAGCCACTGCGCCCGGCCTCTGTTGTTTTTTTTTATTTTTTATTTTTTATTTTTTTCAAAGAAAGTTCTACTTTTGCCTTTACTGGAAAAGTAAGAACTAGGAGTCAGACCTGATTTCAGGTGTGAACTTGGACAGTGACTGCCTGTGTGCCTTGCTTCACTGTAAATCTCTTTTTTTCTTGGCTATGAAACTGGGACAGTAATAGTTACTCTGCCTTCCTGTAAGAGTCTTGGATTCTTAGACATGTTGTGTGATTCTCCCTAAGATAATGTGTATGAGAGGGCTTTGCAAATCAGGGCGCAATCCAAACATGAGGTGTTTATAAAATAGTTTAGTAGCCAGGGGTTCAGTGGTGTTTTAATTTTCCTTTAGTTATTGGTGGCAATAGTCATTGTCACTGGTTCACTTGTATCAAATTGTGGTAACAGTTTTCTTTATTTTATTTTTTTTGAGACAGAGTCTCGCTCTGTCGCCAGGCTGGAGTGCAGTGGTGCAATCTTGGCTCACTGCAACCTCTGCCTTCTGGGTTTGAGTGATTCTTCTGCCTCAGCCTCCCAAGTAGCTGGGACTACAGGCGTCCGCCACCATGCCTGGCTTATTTTTGTATTTTTAGTAGAGACGGGGTTTCACCATGTTGGCTGGGATGGTCTTGATCTCTTTACTTCGTGATCCACCTGCCTTGGCCTCCCATTGTGCTGGGATTACCAGCATGAGCCAGTGCACCCAGACCGTGATAACACAGTTTTCAATCTGTGGTTAAATGAGGCTGACCTATTGTGTACAAGTCTCATCTGTAATTTTTGTTGGAGTATAGTGTGCATGGGGGAAGGTCAGTTAAGTCCTGCCCATGTTTTCCCGGGAGTCTTAGAGTCAGTTCTGGTAGGCTGGAAACCCACATGATATAAAGGCATATGACCAAGGCCGCCAGGCGCATTTCACTGGCCCCTGAAAGCTGGAAACGACTAAGAGATCTTTGCCTCATTTATTGAGGCCCAGAGAGGGGAAACGAGAGCCAGTGTCACCCAACAGACCTGGGACTGGAACTCGGGTCTGCTTGCTAGTATGTATCAGGCCCCTCCCAACTTCAAGTGTAGGTAGAACTAGTATTTGAGCCGAGGTCAGTGAGTATTCTTTCCATCACATCTCTGCCCCATCGTAGATATTCTAACCATGGACTGCAAGTCAAGGTTGCCAGAGTGTGAATGAGCACAGCTCTTTGTGGTGGGTGGTTTTACACTCTGGGTAAATCTCATTGGCATTCAGTAGTTCCAGGCTATTCTGGCCTTGACTTCCCTTTTGACCTTCAAGTAGGTGGGCACTGGAACAGGAAAGTACCAGGGAGGAAATGAGCCCAGAAACTGATATCCCTTTGTGGTACACTCTCATTCTCACTTGGTGCCAGGCCCCTCTCCTGCTCTATTGTTCCCCTTCATTTCCTGTCCCCTCTCCCACTCCTTCCCAGTAGTGGAGAACTGCTCAAATGTGTTGCATATACATTTTTGGACTTTTTTTTTTTTTTTTTTGAGACCTCGTCTCACTCTGTGCCCCAGGCTGGAGTGCAGTGGTGCAATCTCAGCTCACTGCAACCTCCGCCTCCCGGGTCAAGCAATTCTCGTGCTTCAGCCTCCCGAGTAGCTGGGACTACAGGCGCCTGCCACCATGCCCGGCTAATTTTTGTATTTTTCGTAGAGACGGGGTTTCACTACGTTGGCCAGGCTGGTCTAGAATTCCTGACCTCAGGTGATCGGCCTCCCAAAGTGCTGGGATTACAGGCGTGAGCCACTGCGTCTGGCCTGATTTTTGGATATTTCTATATTCTTATAGATAAGTACTGTTTACTGGTGTTGCATTTATTTTAAGTTTACATAAAATATCTATAGACGTTGTTGTACATTTTTTACTCAGTATTATCCTTTCTGCGATCTAGCCATGTGGCTGAGTGTGCATCTCATTCATTGATTTTTACCTACTCCACAGCATCCCATGCTCTGTGTCCTCACGTTTGACTGCTTTGGTCCTTTAGTGATAGACACACGCCTGGACTGCCTACATCTCCCTGCTACCTCAGCCAGTGCTGGCATGTACCTCCAAAGATCCCCTGTGGATCTGTGCAGCCTCCGAGCTGCAGTCCCAGAAGGAAGCACACTGTGCCATGGGTAGTTAATTTCTTTTCTTTACTTTTCTTTTTTTTCTTTTTTTTTTTTTTTTTGAGACAGAGTCTCACTCTGTCACCCAAGCTGGAGTGCAGTGGCACCATCTTGGCTCATTGCAACCTCCACCTCCTGAGTGCAAGCGATTCTCCTGCCTCACCCTCCTGAGTAGCTGGGACTATAGGCATGTACGCCCATGCCGGGCTAATTTTTGTATTTTTAGTAGAGACGGGTTTTCACTGTGTTGGCCAAGCAGGTCTTGAACTCCTGGCCTCAAGAGATCCTCCCGCCTCGGCCTCCCAAAGTGCTGGGACTACAGGCATGAGCCACTGCGCCCAGCCATCAGTTAATTTCGTTAAGGGCCAGATTGCCTTCCAGTGTGGCATATAGGTTTATACGTCTACCAGTGGTGCATACATAATAAGGTTTGCTGTTTCTCCACATTCTTACCAATACTGACATCTTAATTTTTGCCAATCTGATAGGTGTAAAGTGGTATCTTGCTTTATTTTGCGTTTCTCTGAATATTGGTGATGTGGATTATCATTTTAGAGACTTAACCATTTCCCCTCTTGTGGCTGCCTGTATTCTTTGGGTTTTTTTTTTTTTTTTTGAGACAGGGTCTCACTAAGTTGTCCAGGCTGGAGCAGTGGCGTAATCAAGGCTTACAGCAGCCTCAAACTCCTGAGCTCAAGTGATCCTCCCACCTCAGCCTCCCGAATAGCTGAAACTATAGGGACGCACCACCACTCCTGGCTTAATTTTTGTTTGTTTTGAGACCGTTTTGAGACAGGGACTCGCTCTGTCACCCAGTCTGGAGTGCAATGGCACAGTCACGGCTCATTGCAGCCTTTGCCTCCTGGGCTCAAGTGATCCTCCCACATCAGCCTCCCAAGTAGCTGGGACTACAGGTGTGCACCGCCACACCCAGCTAACTTTTTGTATTTTTGGTAGAGATGGAGTTTTGTCATCTTGCCCAGGCTAATCCCAAACTCTTGGGCTTAAGTAATCTTCCCACCTCAGCCTCCCTAAGTGTGGGATTACAGGCATGAGCCACTGCACCTAGCCTCATAATAGTCTTAATATGTTCTATTAGGTTAATTCCTAAGGGGAGGTGGGAAGGAGTAGAGGAATTTAATGCCCGGCAGCCGAAAGGTGGACTAGTATCTGTGATGGGGTGGGCATGGGAATGGGTGCTTTGTCTCATTGGCCTGGGGTATTTGCAGACACCAGCCATGAAGGAGAGAGAAATGGGCATGACCCTGGCACTTTCTCCTCACACATCCCTACTGCTGGCTCCCAGTCCCCCTACTCTGGGCTGCAGACTTCCCCTACAGCTATTTGTAATCGCTTTCTGCTTTCCTAGGAGTTCTGTGCTGTTTTCTCAGGTCCATCTACCTCATTCTTGCCTCTGGCTTTCCCAGGGTGGTTTCCGGGAACAAGCTGGCAGCCTGTGTTAGATTTCCATTTACTCAAGAGTTGGAATCCATCATGTCTAGCTTTGGTGCATAACTCTCAGGTTCATTCACAACATTAAATTGTGTATTAGAGATTACTTTAGGACTCCATTCAAGGCCTTTTTTACCAGCAAAACGTACTTTATAAAAAAAGTGGCTGGGTGTGGCGGCTCACCCCTGTAATCCCAGCACTTTGGGAGGCAGAGGCGGGTGGATTACTTGAAGTTACAAGTTCAAGATCAGCCTGGCCAATGTGGTGAAACCCTGTCTCTACTAAAAATACAAAAATTAGCCAGACATCTTGGCGCACGCCTGTAATCCCGGCTACTCAGGAGGTTGAGGCGGTGGGGGGGCATCACTTGATCCCGGGAGGTGGAGTTAGCGGGGAGCCAAGTTTGTGCCACTGCACTCCAGCCTGGGTGACAGAACGATACTCTTGTCTCAAAAAAAAAAAGTTTTAGCTGGGTACAGTGGCTCATGCCTGTAATATCAACACTTTGAGAGGCCGAAGTGGGTGGATTGCTTGGCCAGGGGTTCAAGACCAGCCTGGGAAACTTAGCAAAACCCTTTCTGTATAAAAAATACAAAACAAATTAGTTGGGCATGGTGGCATACACCTAAAGCCATCCTCCCACCTCAGCTTCCTGAGAGCTGCTTGATCGCTTGAGCCTGAGTTCAAGGCTGCAGTGAGCCGTGATGACACCACTGTCCTCTAGCCTGGGCGACAGAATAAGACCCTGTCTCAAAAAAAAAAAAAAGTTTCATGTTTGTGGTTTGCACAGATTATATTTCCTGTCTCCTTATAAATATAGCTAATGTCTGGAGCTTTGGCTGTCCTTTGGGAGAATGGAATCTTCCTTTAATTGTTTTCTCTCTGTTTTTATAGGAATGATGTATTTAAAATCCACTGGCTGATGGCGGCCCTTCCTTTCACCAAGTCTCTTTCCTTGGTGTTCCATGCAGTATGTATTAGCATTTTGAGGATCATTCATGAAATTACGTATAATGCCTGTGTGAGCAGGCAAAAGAAATTTGAAGAAAGGGGATAGATTGGTGGGAAACAAAGACAAAGAATACATTTCTCATAAAGCCTCCTCTTGTCTGGGAGGGCCTGGCCATGCGGGTAAATGATTACCACCTCCCCTCATATTAGACTTCAGACATCTTCTAATACTGCTTACAGACCTACAGTTTTTCTAGAACACTTATTATTGTTTTTATTTCTTTGTTTTTGGTTTGTTTTGTTTTTTTACCATTTCTAGAGATGAGAGTGCCACCTGCTGACTTGTTTCCACGACTTTTTTTTTTTTTTTTTTTTTTTTTTTTTTTTTTTTTTTTTTTTGAGACGGGGCCTCGCTCTGTTGCCCAGGCTGGAGTGCAGTGGCGTGATCTCTGTTTACTGCAAGCTCCTCCCCTCAGGTTCACGCCATTCTCCTGCCTGAGTCTCCCGAGTAGCTGGGACTACAGGCGCCCGCCACCACGCCCAGCTAATTTTTTTGTATTTTTAGTAGAGACGGGGTTTCACCGTGTTAGCCAGGATGGTCTCGATCTCCTGACCTCGTGATCCGCCCGCCTCAGCCTCCCAAAGTGCTGGGATTACAGGCATGAGCCACCACGCCCGGCCTCCACGACTTTTTTATGTTTCCAGATATTCCCTCATGTTCCTCTGTGATTTGAAGTTCAATTCAGTATTAGCATATTTATCTGAGAGAAAATTGATGCTATAAAGCTGGAGGCATGAGAATTGAGCCTCAGCTTTGTATATTTGGAACTTATGCAAATTAAAATGAACTTGCCCAAGGGGGTAAGATCACAACTTCTCCTGTCTGTGGGCCTCCAAGTGCCCGTGGAGCACACTTGCAAGGATGACAGTCTCTAGACATGTACTCTTTGCTGTACTTGAAAGTGGCCTCCTTGGAAAAGGCAATAATATATCCAGTGGCAGCGTCACCAAATGACAATGATTTGGATAATTTCCCAAATGGGTCCAAGTTAAAAGATTCTTTGTGGAGCCATGTAGATAATGAGTGATTCTGAAATGCAGTTGTTTGATTTCAGATTGACTACCACTACATCTCCTCCCAGGGCTTCCCTATCGAAGGCTGGGCTGTTGTGTACTACATAACTCACCTGTAAGTATGCAGGTCCATGTGAAATACACCATGAAATGACATACAAGACAAGGGGGGTGGGCAACAACCTGCCCCAAGTTAACCAGCCCTGCCCTCCTGTGGCAGCCTGTCTGGGCCCCTGCCATACCAGAGGAGTGTAGCTCATGGGTGGCTGTCCAGACTTGGGAAGTCGGGCTTAGTGGCATACTCCTGCCTCTCTGCGGCCATTGGCTGTCCAGGCTGTGGGGTGCAGAGCTAACTGTGTGCCCTGAAGGAAGTGGTGCTCATGTATGATGGATTTCCTAAATTTGGCTGCCCGTCTTTTGTAAGAAGCTTGTGAACTCATAGAATGAGCTATGCAATCTAACTGGCAGTGAGAGTCTAAAGAGACCTGCTGGTGTCTGTTCCTTGTTTTCTCTTCCAGTTTGAAAGGGGCGCTACTCTTCATCACCATTGCACTCATTGGCACTGGCTGGGCTTTCATTAAGCACATCCTTTCTGATAAAGACAAAAAGATCTTCATGATTGTCATTCCACTCCAGGTAAAAGAACCCTCATCCCATTTGTCACTTCCTTTCTTGGCGCTTAGCAGGGCTCAGCTCCAAGCCTGTATGGGAAGAGGGAGTCACCTCACCCTGAAACCCCAGCTTCTGCTAGTGGAGGTTGAAGACTGAGATTCTCTTTCTGAATTCTGAACAGACTTCAGGTCATTGCACTGGGAGATGCTTGGGCATCAGTCAGCCACTGGCCTTTGGGGGCCTAGATTTTGAGTAGAGAGCTGCTGACAGTGACAGGGAGACACACAGTAACACACAGTACTGTTTTCTCTTCTGCATCATTTGCTTCATAACTAAATGGTGCCCTTGGCAAGGAAGCTCAGAGATGTAGTGATTTTATTAACAAAGTATTTTAAAACCGTGAACTACACCAGTGAGTTTCCACAGGTAGAATATGGTAGTAGACGTGAGGGGCAAACATTTCCTAAATCCTTACCATGTTTGGGGCCGAGGGCCAAGGCCAGCCTTACAAGGCTGTGAGTCTTTTGCGGGAGGAGCCTTGTCTTACTGGAAGCAGAACTTGGATGTAAAGAACTTACAATGAACAGAGAGGTTTTAGCAGGGATGCACAGCTACCCTGCTCTGCTTGACCAGACAGCGTCTGTTTGACAGAGTTGTCCCTGTGAACTTTTCTCACATTTTGGAGCACAAAGTAAATGTGGAAGGTTGGGGGTGGAAGGGGACAACTCCTGAGGCACCCAGATCAGCCGTCCCAACTCTGGCAGAGTTTGCAGCAGAGCTCCTCTCGGAGTTCTAACAGACCTCATCCACCCTTACGTTCAATAATGAGGAACATGTGTTGACATCAAATGAATGGGACAGGCCAGTTGCTCTGTGTTTCCAAGGAGAGAATAAGCACTCAAGTTGGAAGGATCAAGGAGGGCTTTGTGACAGAGATAGGGCTGGCCTGGGTGTTGAAGGAAAGGAATGTGACAGAGGCAGTAAATACACATGACCCTGCTGTCTGCTAAGCAAAACATGCTGAGGGACTGTGCCGGTCTTTCGGCTGTCGAGCCACCGTGGTCACTTCTTCAGCCAGACTGAGTCCTACAGCCTGCCGAGGTCTCGGAGTTGTGAATGACGGAGACTGGGTTGTCACCCGGCTGCGTGTGCCTCTTCCCTTTAGTAGAGTCCCTCATCCCTCTAGAGTCTCCCCCCACCAGCCTGAACCAGGCTGTCGTGGGGCATAGCCTTCCAGGAAGCCCGTCCTGGGCTTCCCTGAAAGACAGACACACAGAGTTCCATGGAATGTCAGTCTGAGAAGATAAGGACATTTAACAAATTAAGAAAGTCATGAGTATTTAGACAATAGAACTAGTCTGGGAGGGCCTTAAATGTCAGCCTGAAAAGTTAAAACTGCTTCCTTTTGGCCATGGGCAGTGACAGAAAGTTTCTAAGTAAGGAGTAGATGATGTCCCTGCAAAATGGTGTTTCAGGAACACTCTTGGCACGTTGTTCAACACTGGGAACATTCTGTCTCTCATGCAGTGTGTGAATTAAGGACAAAATGGAATTTTGAATTTAAGATGTGAAAGCCTTTGTTTTCTACTTTGTCCTCTTACTTTTAGACAGGGTCTCACTCTGTCGCCCGGGCTGGAGTACAGTGGTGATCATGGCTCACTGCAGCCCTAAACTCCTGGGCTCAGGCGATCCTCCTGCCTCAGTCTCCCGAGTAGCTGAGACCACAGACGTACACCATCACACCTGACTAATTTTTAATTTTTTTTTTTTAATTAGAGGCCGTGTCTCACTATTTTGCCCAGGCTGGTGTCAAACTCCTGGGCTCAAGCAATCCTTCTGCCTTGGCTCCCCAAATTTCTGGGATTATGGGTATGAGCCACCGCACCCAGCCCTACTTTGTCTTTTTAGATGGAGCCACAGATGCTAGTGTTTTGGATAGACAGGGCTTCACGAGCAGTGTGGGACAGGGAAGGACCCAGAAGCTGGGGGTCATTGGAGAGGCTGAAATTTCAGATAATTTTTGCATTAGTTTTAAATGAAATTTCGGATAATTTGATTCTAAGTCCTGTATAGAAAGAGAAATTAAACTTAGAGACTTCCTAAATAATAGCACTACAGATTTTACATGCAAAGTGTGGAGGATTACCTTTTACAGCAAGTCAGGCAGAGATTTGGGACCAGGGACTTCTCATGGGGTATATAGGTGGAATGATAACCTCTGCATCCATTCCCAGTGGTAATCTTCAAAAGGATGTATTAT